>NC_000008.11:7314841-7617127 GCF_000001405.40 Homo sapiens | reverse complement strand
GAATTCCGCCTGCAGGATGACATGAATGCACCTTCCCATTGCCTACCAACAGACCTTTTTTGAGCATCACTGTGGACCAGGTGTGGTGATGGGGGAGGGGATATTGTGGAGAACATGACAGGCATTGCCTTCACCAAGTGGGGCTCAGCGCTGGGTGGGAAGGCATTGAGAATGGACATTGTCAATTGGGCCAAAGGAGGCCAAGGAGAAGTGCTGGGGGCATGGGAACTGAAAAAGACAGGAGGCTCAGCAGGTCTTGGAGCTGGGAAAGTGACAGCAGCAGCGGCTGTTCCAAAGGAAGCAACAGCTGAGAGAGGTCTCGGAGAGTTGTTCTCAGCCCAGTGGAGGGTGTTCAGGCAGAGGGAACAGCGTGTGCAAAAGCCCAGAGGCTGGGAAAGAAGCAGAAAGAGGACTGTGGGGCTGGAGCATGGTGGGCAAGGGGAGGAAGGTGTGGTGGGCAGACAGATTGACTGGGACCCAGCTGTGCAGGGGCAGAGGAGATAGGGGATCCTTGCAGGCCCCCAGCCGGGGCTCAGGCACAGAGACAATGCAGGTGGGCAAAGGGAGGAGACGTGGAGAAATATTTTGGAGGCATGCCCTGATGAATGAGCCCAGGATGCACCCTTAGTGTCAGTGTGGAGCTCCTTCCTTGACTGTGTGATGAGTTGAACTCGGGGGTATTTTCTGGACATTGAGGTGCTACACCAAGAGCCCAGGACAGGCTAAGTGAGCACTAGCAGCTCCTGGCCCACCTCAAAAGCAGGAGAGACAGGGGAGACTGGGGAGGCCGGGGTGGAAGGGGAAGCCAGGAAGGTAGGAGAGGCCAGGGAAGCAGAGGAGGCCAGGGAGGCAATGGAGGCAGGAGAGGCTGGGGAGGTTATGTCCTTTCCATGATTCTGCCCTGGATCCTAGGCCCCTGAACTCCCTGAGCTTCCCCACCCCAAGCGCTGGAACCAGGTTGCACAATGGTCTCCCCACTAAGCTCCTGATGGCAGCCCCTACCCTGCTGTGCTCCCTATTTCAACCCTAACAGCTCTCACAGTGGGCAGCACATAGTAGGTGCTCAGGAAACACTGGTGGGAGAGCACGTGGGTCTGCTCAGCACCTTCCTCTCTCCTCCAGCTCTCCCCATCATGAAATAATTCTGATAACGACACATGGACTTTGAGACCCTCTTCTATTACTTTCCATATGCTAATGCATCTATACCTCACAGCAGCCCTGGGGGAGGGTGCAATGAGGATGCCCATTTTATAGAGGAGGAGACTGAGGTATAAAGAGGGTAAGTGACATACGCACACTACAGGGGCTGGGGCCAAGTGATCAGAGCACTCAATCCCCAAAGGCAAGGTAGATGCAGTTATCATAAAAGACAGCAGAGTCAAAGCTGCAACCAGAATAGCCTGACTCCCAGCGACCTATGGTGCCTGCTGATCGTGGCTTTCCTAGAAGTGAAATAGATAAGAAGCCTGCCACATTTCACTTGATCTGTGTTTGCAGAAGTGCTCTAGGTCAAGTGAGCAGAAGTCTAATCTGAATCATAAAAACAGAGTCACAGTCCCCAGTCAATTTCCAGACATAAGCCAGTTCACAGACCTGGAGTCCCTTGTCTGAATGAGAAGCCAGGTCCCCTCCAGAAAGGACTCTGCTCCACTGCCAAAAATTTATACTGTCAGTCTTTCTCCCAACCTGCCCCCAAGGGAATACACAGCCTTTCGCCAGGATGACTGAACAGGAGAAAAGGAACTAATGAGACCTGTGCAGGATCACTGGACACAGGCTCTGAACTGGCACTAGGGCGAGACTAGGTTCTACCAGTCAGAATAGGCATTTTGGAGGTCAGGTGAATGTTGGTGCAAGTTCATGTCACGGTAGGTCCATTGGGTCCCCAAATCCATCCTCTGGTTATATACAAAGCGGCAATGCTGAGATTCAAATTCAGGGCATCCGACATAGAGCCTGGGCTCTTACTCATGAAACATTCTGACACTAGTAACCAATTTAAAAGTGTAAACACCTCCTGGGACTAGAATGGGTCCCCAAAACAGTCATGTAAATTGGTTCTGTCAAGAATTTCCTCCCACCCCCTGCTGAGAGCCAGTTGTAAGGAGAGACTAGGGAAGGGCATTGGGTAACTTTGTTGCTAAAAGCTCTTCTGGATAAAGACGTATGGGAAAAGAAGCAAATAGAGTTCAGCAGAAGAGGTAAGAAAGTAAGTTTATGTTTGGCCAGGCACGGTGGCTCACGCCTGTAATCCCAGCACTTGAGAAGGCCGAGGCGGGCAGATCACGAGGTCAAGAGATCGGACTATCCTGGCCAACATGGTGAAGCCCCGTCTCTACTAAAAATTCAAAAATTAGATGGGCATGATGGCGCGCGCCTGTAGTCCCAGTTACTCGGTAGCCTGAGGCAGGAGAATCACTTGAACCCAGGAGGTGGAGATTGCAGTGAGCGGAGATCATGCCACTGCACTCCAACCTGGGCAACAGAGTAAGACTCTGTCTTAAAAAAAAATTAAAATAAATAAATGCTATGCGCAGCATTTTCCATGTACTGTCTTATTATCTCGGTGAATCCCATATAACCTTCCTATGAAAGTGTATCTCATTTATCTCCATTTTATAGATGAGAAAACTGAGGCCCCTGGAGTAGTATTAATTTTCCAAGACCGCATTGCTCATAAAGGGTACAGCAGGGACCCAAGCTCGACACTCTCACCCTCAAACATTTATACAAGTGTGGACCAATGGCTCTCAACTGGGGTGGTTTTGCTCACGTACCGCTCCCTTGCCCCACATTATTTGAAACCATCTGGAGACGTCTGGGGTAGCCATAGCAGGGAGGGTAGAATGGCACCTAGAGGATGGAGACCACAGATGCTGCTAACCATCCTTCAATACACAGGACAGCCCCACCACCAGCACCACGAATGGTCTCACCACAAATATTCTGACTGTGCCAAAGCTGAGAAACCCAGGTTTCTCCTCAGCAAGAAGGAAAATCCCTGCAACGTGGATGCACCTCTACAGGAGCCCCAGGCTGACAATAACCTTCCTGATCTGGTTTCAACCCTGGATGCTTTTACCTGGTGCGTCCATCAGGGATTTCAGGGACTCCAGTGAGTTATCACCCTTGAATGCTCGGTTCTGCCTGACAACCCAGAAATCTCTGCCGAGGTGCCTGGTCTTGCGGAAGACTCAGCAAGTGGTTGAGGTGGACAACCAAATACCTAGGAGAGACTTTTCTCTCCCTCCAGGAGGAGCTGTGGGTCAGACACACACTGGGATCATTCACAAGCGGTCAATAAAGGCTTGAGGAGGGGCAGATTTTCTAGGCCTTCTCAATGGGGTGGGTGTTTGTGGATAAACAAGAAGCCTGTGAAACTTCTGATATTGGGAGGAAATCAATGCCCCCCCCTCCACCCTCCCCCACCTCCCCACCATAAACACATGCCCTGCAGCAGGACTTGACACTCAGGGGCTCCTGGGGTCCCGATTAATCTGCTAAAACATCCTCTAGCCACCACCGAATAAAGCAACCGCTTGCCACCCAACCACAAGAGCACAGCCTGGGAGCCACTCCAAGGGACATCCAGTCACATTAAAACCTCAGCCATCCAGAGCACCAGTCCTGGTGATGAGAAAGAACATTTTATCCTTAAAAGCATCTGAATGCCCATGCTGCTTCTTGCAGAGAAAAGTCCAAAATAATCTGTTATTAAAGAACGAGGATGGTTTTGACATTTTTACCAAGCTAGTGGTCTACGCAGACAAAATCTCATAAAAGGGCACTCTGTTCTTCTTGATCCACTCAGACATGGCCTGTGAGTGAAGAAACGGGCTCTCCTCCTCAAAGAAATCACTGCTGATCCTCGTACCAGCCTGACACTGCTTCATGGGTTCTTCAAAGAGAGTATTCCCATAGGAACTAAAAGGGAAGAGGAATGTGTCTGGCGGGCATTGTGGGCAGCAGTGAGCTTTGGGCCAAATTTTAAGTTTGAAAATCAAGATTCCCTCTTTTCAAGGGGCTGCCGGACTGAGCAGATACAGGCACCGTGAAAAGAGCGTGCCATGTTCAGATTCAGGAAACAAGGATGGTTTCTGTTCAGTTCCTCCATCATCCTTCAGGTCATGCGATTCCCATTTCCCTCTGTGGACCAAACAATTCAGTGGGGTTTCTGCCTTTTAAACATTTCATTATCAACATATCATCCTTTTAGCCTCCAGAAAGCATTTTAACATGGAGATTCTGGCTTAAGACTTTTGTGGGTCTGTCTCTCTCTCTTTTCCTTGAAACGGTCTCACTTTGTCACCCAGGCTGGAGTGCAGTGGCATGATCACAGCTCACTGCAGCCTGACCTTCTAGGCTCTAGCAATCCTCCCACCTCAGCCTCCCAAGTACTTGAGACTGCAGGCACTCACCACCATAACTGCCTTTTTTTTTTTTTTTTTTTTTTGGGAGATATGAGGCTTCACCATGTTGCTCAGGCTGGTCTTAAACTCCTGGGCTCAAGCGATCCTCCCCCTTCGGCCTCTCAAAGTGCTGGGATTATTGGCTTCAGCCACCATGCCCAGCCAAGAACCTTGTCTCTTGTGACGTACTCCAGAACAAAACATCACTGCAAAAACACATCAGGGCATGAGTTTTAGTCTTAAGTCCCACTTATCCACCATACACTATGTGCCAGGCACAACGCTAAGTGCTTCTATGGACGAGCTTCCCTTAATCTCAGCAGCAACAACCCCAGGCAATGGAGCCTGTTGACAGATCCATTTGCCACTGAAGACAGTAAGGCTCAGACAGGGTAAGTGGCTTGTGCCATGTCAGCCAGCTAAGGAGGGGCAGAACCAGGATGCAAACCCCAGCCGCCTGGCTCCAGAATCGCATTCCCAAGGTCTCACTACACTTGGCCTCTCCACCGCATTCTGGTATCCTGGTCTTTGGCAGAGTCCACGTAAAAGAGGGAGGTAGAGGGAGTGAGAGGGACTTCATGCAATAAAGTTTCCCGGCGTTACACTGACACCATAATTGTGTCCCCGACCAGGACCTCTCCCTTCTCATCCTTTCCGTGATCGGCCCTGGAAAACCTTCCAAAGAACTGTCCTCCTTCTCCCGGGATCTCAGAGAAAATTCACCTGAGTTCAGTGTCCAGGTGACCCAAGCTCTGAATGCGGTAACGTGGACGGGGAGATGAGGATGTCACCATGAGCAAGCCTCCCAGACAGCATCCAGGAGCAACCCCAAGACTGGGCGGGGGGGCTCTGATCCTGCCCATGGCGAGGAGGGCTGCCCATGCTGCCTAAATGGGTTCAGAATGAAGGCTGCACTCCCAACTTCAACCCGGGGACGGCCACGGAGCCTCCCGACGCCCCTTCGTCGCGTCCCCGGCACCCCCGAGCCCCCGGCACTCCCGGACCCCCGCGCCCGCATCACTTACTCCTTTGCCGTCGCCACCTGTCTGGGTGCCGGTCTCCTTCCTGCCTGGCAGCGGCGGGTCCTCCCCGTCCTCGCAGTCCTCGGGCTGTGCGCTTCCCCCCTCCAGCTACAGCCCCAGCCTCTTCTCTTCGGGAGGGACGTCCTCCTCCCCCATCCTGGGACTGCCATCCCTGCCTCGGGGCTTGCCAGTGGCTTCGGAGCTGCTGGAAGGGCTGGCCATGGCTCCGCGGGCTCTGCCTGAACTTGGGGAAGAAGAAGGACCCGGCTCAAGCGGCTTCTCGGCGGAGCTGGGGCGTCTGAGCACGGGCTCGGTGGGTCCGCGCGGCGCGGAGCTGGGTATCGGGGCCGGCCCGGGCTCCTCCGCGGGCCGCGCCTGGCTCTCTGGCGCCCTCTTCTGGCCGCTCTCGCGCACCTCTGCCACGCCGGGCCCAGGCCTGCGCAGCTGTCACATGTCCTGGCCCAGGAGGTCGCTGTCCCTTGCCCATGGACAGGCCCGCTCTGGCAATGCCCTGCACCACCTCCCCGCCCCAGCCAGGTTGCACCCCGATGGTCTCCCTGCCCAAGGAGGAGAGAAGAGAAGGGACGCCACGAGAGGGTGGACATCGGCCACAGCCACCTTGTCTTTGCTCTTACCGTGTGTCTTCCATGATTTGGAGGTGGTGGGAAACCCGAGGCTGCTCAAAACTCGTGGAGAATTCCGCCTGCAGGATGACATGAATGCACCTTCCCATTGCCTACCAACAGATCTTTTTTGAGCATCACTGTGGACCAGTCGTGGTGATGGGGGAGGGGATATTGTGGTGAACATGACAGGCATTGCCTTCACCAAGTGGGGCTCAGCGCTGGGTGGGAAGGCATTGAGAATGGACATTGTCAGTTGGGCCAAAGGAGGCCAAGGAGAAGTGCTGGGGGCATGGGAACTGAAAAAGACAGGAGGCTCAGCAGGTCTTGGAGCTGGGAGAGGGACAGCAGCAGCGGCTTTTCCAAAGGAAGCAACAGCTGAGAGAGGTCTCAGAGAGTTGTTCTCAGCCCAGTGGAGGGTGTTCAGGCAGAAGGAACAGCGTGTGCAAAAGCCCAGAGGCTGGGAAAGAAGCAGAAAGAGGACTGTGGGGCTGGAGCGTGGTGGGCAACAGGAGAGAGGTGTGGTGGGCAGACAGATTGCCTGGGACCCAGCCGTGCAGGGGCAGAGGAGATAGAGGATCCTTGCAGGCCCCCAGCTGGGGCTGAGGCACAGAGACAATGCAGGTGGGCAAAGGGAGGAGACGTGGAGAAATATTTTGGAGGCATGCCCTGATGAATGAGCCCAGGATGCACCCTTAGTGTCAGTGTGGAGCTCCTTTCTTGGCTGTGTGATAAGCTGAACCCGGGGGTATTTTCTGGACACCGAAGTGCTACACCCAGAGTCCAGGACAGGCTAAGTGAGCACCAGCAGCTCCTGGCCCACCTCAAAAGCAGGAAAGACAGGGGAGACTGGGGAGGCCGGGGTGGAAGGGGAAGCCAGGAAGGCAGGAGAGGCCAGGGAACAGAGGAGGTCAGGGAGGCAGGGGAGGCAGGGGAGGCTGGGGCGGCTGTGTCCTTTCCATGATTCTGCCCTGGATCCTAGGCCCCTGTAGTCCCTGGGCTTCCCCACCCCCAAGCACTGTAACCATGTTGCACAACGGTCTCCCCACTAAGCTCCTGATGGCAACCCCTATCCTGCTGTTCTCCCTATTTCAACCCTAACAGCTCTCACAGTGGGCAGCACATAGTGGGTGCTCAGGAAACACTGGTGGGAGAGCACGTGGGTCTGCTCAGCACCTTCCTCTCTCCTCCAGCTCTCCCCTGTCACGAAATAATTCTGATAACGACACATGGGCTTTGAGACCCTCTTCTATTACCTTCCATATGCTAATCCATCTATACCTCACAGCAGCCCTGGGGGTGGGTGCAATGAGGATGCCCATTTTATAGAGGAGGAGACTGAGGTATAAAGAGGGTAAGTGACATACGCACAGTACAGGGGCTGGGGTCAAGTGATCAGAGCACTCAATCCCCAAAGGCAAGGTGGATGCAGTTACCATAAAAGACAGCAGAGTCAAAGCTGCAACCAGAATAGCCTGACTCGCAGAGACCTATGGTGCCGGCTGATCGTGGCTTTCCTAGAACTGAAATAGATAAGAAGCCTGCCACATTTTTACTTGATCTGTGTTTGAAGAAGAATTCTAGGTCAGGTGAGCAGAAGTCTAATCTGAATCATAAAAACAGAGTCACAGTCCCCCGTCAATTCCCAGACATAAGCCAGTTCACAGACCTGGAGTCCCTTGTCTGAATGGGAAGCCAGGTCCCCTCCAGAAAGGACTCTGCTCCACTGCCAAAAATTTATACTGTCAATCTTTCTCCCAGCCTGTCCCCAAGGGAATACACAGCCTTTACCAGGATGACTGAATAGGAGAAAAAGAACTAATGGGACCTGTGCAAGACCACTGGACACAGGCTCTGAACTGGCACTAGGGCGAGACTAGGGTCTACCAGTCAGAATAGGCATTTTGGAGTTCAGGTGAATGTTGGTCCAAGTTCATGTCATGGTAGATCCATTGGGTCCCCAAATCCGTCCTCTGCTTATATACAAAATGGCCATGTTGAGACTTAAATTCAGGGTATCCAACTTAGAGGCTGTGCTCTTACTCATGAAACATTCTGACACTAGTAACCAATTTAAAAATGTAAACACCTCCTGGGGCTAGTGAGAGTCCTCCAAACAGTCATGTAAATTGGTTCTGTCAAGGATTTCCTCCTACCCACCCCCCCCCACCACTGAGAGTCAGTTGCAAGGAGAGACTAGGGAAAGGCATTGGGTAACTTTGTTGCTAAAAGTTCTTCTGGATAAACAAGAGCCTTATCCAGGAAAAAGAAGCAAAATAGAGTTCAGCAGAAGTTGCGAAAAGAAGCACATAGAGTTCAGCAGAAGAGGTAAGAAAGTAAGTTTATGTTTGACCAGGCACGGTGGCTCACGCCTGTAATCCTAGCACTTTGGGAAGCCAAGGCGGGCAGATCACGAGGTCAAGAGATCGCACCATCCTGACCAAAAAGGTGAAGCCCCGTCTGTACTAAAAATTCAAAAATTAGCTGGCCATGATGGCACACGCCTATAGTCCCAGCTACTCGGGAGCCTGAGGCAGGAGAATCACTTGAACGCAGGAGGCAGAGGTTGCAGTGGGCCGAGATCATGCCACTGCATTCCAACCCGGTGACAGAATTAGACTCCATCTCATAAAACAAAACAAAACAAACAAAAAAAAGTAAGCTTATTTTTAAGCCTGAACAAGTGTAGTGGTTTAGGGGTTCTGCAAACACGGCCCCAATCAGGCTACAAGATGTTCTGGCAGCAATATTTACAGCCAGTCACTCCTGGCCGGCTGAGCCACTTTTCAAAACACCCTTGCACAGCTGTGCAGAGAGGCTGGCTCCACTGGCTGCCGGCAGAGCCATAACTCACAGTGTCACCGCTGCCCTCAAACCACTTCGGTAAGCACTTTGTATTTTTGAGACGGAGTCTTGCTCTGTCATCCAGGCTGGAGTGCAGTGGCACAATCTCGGCTCACTGCAAGCCCCGCCTCCTGGGTTCATGCCATTCTCCTGCCTCAGCCTCCCAAGTAGCTGGGACTACAGGTGCCCGCCACCATGCCCGGCTAATTTTTTGTATTTTTAGTAGAGACGGGGTTTCACCGTGTTATCCAGGATGGTCTCAATCTCCTGACCTTGTGATCTGCCTGCCTCGGCCTCCCAAAGTGCTGGGATTACAGGCGTGAGCCACCGCGCCCGGCCTGGTAAGCACTTTTAATCAATGCAACAGGAATAAACATTTGCTGCAGAGCGGCAATGTGCAGGGAAGAACATGCTTCCACTTAGGATCAGAAAGCAAAACCTCCTGGCTGTTTGCATCTATGCAAGAGCTCACAGGAAAAGCCCTCTGTGTGGCTGCCAGCCTCACACACTCCCCCCAAGGGGTGAATTTCTCTTTCCATGTTAATCTATGCTCTGACGTGCCATCTGTCAACCACCACACCATTCTCAGTTGACATTTCAAAGCATCTTTGCCCTGAGAATGGTCACCAGCTCTGCCCTGCAAGCCCCCAGGTGACAATGAACTTAAATGAGAGAGAAAACAGGTTTCGAGGTGGATTTCAGTTCAGCATCTTGGAGTCTCTGTGTGGACATGAAATCTGTCTCCCCAGCTGTGGACTGCATCCTTGTTTGTCATCTGGTTTGGTTCTTGGGGACTTGGAAACTCGTGGGCACCTTTGCAATTTGTCAAGAAGCTGCATGGCCCTTCCAACAAAAGCAAGGAATAGAAACAGAAGCCCAAGGCTTCAGATCAAGGTGCAATTTAAAGCAGCCTCAGTATAAAAGCAAACAAGAGCCAGAGGGATGCCTAAGGCAGAGTCTAGACCCCAGGGCAGCTATAAGGCAAAGAGAAAGAGAGAGAGAGACAGAGACAGAAAGACAGAGAGAGATGGGAGGAGACATGAGGCACCCAGGCATCTGGATCAAAATCCCTACAAGAGGAGCCTCCTAAAAATGCAGGAGGCTGAGGTGGGTGCACACAGAAGTTCAAGACTAGCCTGGGCAACACAGCAAGACCGTGTCTTTACAAAAAATACAAAAATTAGCCGGGTGTGGTGGTGTATGTCTGTGGTCCCAGTTACCCAAGAGACTGAGGTGGGAGGATTGCTTGAGCCCAGGAGATAGAGCTGCAGCAAGCTGAGATAGCACCACTGCACTCCAGCCTGGGCAACAGAGTGAGACTTCATCACAAAAAAATTTAAAAAATTTTTTAAAAAGGATCACCCCGGCTACTCGAATGGGTAATAAGAAGGTAAGAGCAGAAGCAAGGAGACCAGCAGGGACATTCTGCAGGTGGGAGTCCACAGAGGTTCAGACCAGGCTGGGGCTGAAGACTGCCTGAATTCTGTGTATATTTTGATGATGAAGCAACTCACCGACTCTTGAAGAGTGGGCTCCAGGAGATGGTATTTTTAACAAGGTCTCAGAGGATTCTAATGCAGGCTGAAGTTGAAGAACTGCTTTAGGTGAAGCTTCTGTTTCATCCTTGGGGAAGTACCTACTGACTTTTCTCTAAGCCACCACAAAAGAGGTGCTAGACAAGATGTGCTCCAATGTCTGAACATGTGTGCACAGCTGTAGAGCCAACCTAAGGACACTGAGTCAAAGGTTAGGAGTACAACAGTGAACAACCACTGTCCTCTTTTCAATAAGCTTTCATTTAATGAGAGAAATAAAAAGCAAAAAAAAAAATCATTTTCAACTCAGAATGGTAAGAGTTATGGTGACAGTATGCCTGGGGCAATGGGAGCACATAGAAGGGGCACCCAATCGGCCAGGTGCAGTTGTTCATGCCTGTATTCCCAGCACTTCGGGAGGCCAAGGTGGGTGGATCACTTGAGGCCAGGAGTTCGAAAACAGCCTGGCCAACATGGTGAAATCCTATCTTTACTAAAAATACAAAAAAATTAGCCAGATGTGGTGGGGGGCACCTGTAATTCCAGATACTCAGAAGGCTGAGGTGGGAGAATTGCTTGAACCCGGGTGGTGGAGATTGCAGTGAGCCAAGATCGCACCACTGCATTCCAGCTTGCATGGTCAGAGCGAGACTCTTTCAAAAAAAAAAAAAAAGAAAGAAAAAAGAAAAAGCTCGGAGGTGGGTGGGCATGCAATCTATATCGGGTGGTGAGAAATCCTTCTCCACCACAGGACTCCTCAGTTGAAGACTAGAAAATGGTAGGAACTAGCCAGGTCGATAGGAGAGGTGTGGAAGATCATTCTCAGCAGAGGGAAGAGCATGTGTAAAAATCGAGACGTGAGAGGGTGAGGAGCTGAGAGATGTTCATATAATTGTAAAAAGTGAGTAATATAGAGGTAAGTTGGAGGCAAATCTTAAAGGCTCTTTGTCGTGTCTATCCTGTAGAGAAAGGGAGACAGTAGATGTTTTTATGCAGGGGAGTAATGATCCACTTTGTGCTAGAAGAAGAGCAGTCTGGCTGGAGGAGAGTGGGTGGTGAGTAGACCAGGTAGGAGGCTGCAATACGCCAAGTGAGACAAGATGGTTGGCTGGACCAAGGCTGTGGCAGTGAGGATGGAGAGGAGACAGTAGACTAACTTGACTGAGAAAGAGGGAGGAATGAAGGAGGAGGCCCAGGTGATTTGGAAGCTGGGTGGATGGTGGTGTGAATCTGACGTGGTGAGCCCTGGCAGAAGAGGAAATCAGGAGAGGAAAGGTAAGATGAGGTCAATGCAAGACAGACAGCCAAGTGGAGATAACAACTGGGCAGTTGGATTCATCAGCCTGGAGTTATACAGAGAGCTCTGGAATGGAAATAAAGAGGAAAGGACTTTGGGAATAGGTG
Source organism: Homo sapiens (assembly GCF_000001405.40). Taxonomy (NCBI): domain Eukaryota; kingdom Metazoa; phylum Chordata; class Mammalia; order Primates; family Hominidae; genus Homo; species Homo sapiens. The sequence goes on along the minus strand of NC_000008.11, from coordinate 7,605,287 downwards.
AATCCTCCCAGAATAATGTGTAAGAAAGGAGCATAGAACACAGGGGACAGAAAAAGGGAAGAGATTTGTTATTAAAACCAACCATCCATCAGACATCTTCCAATAAAACACTTGTTAGAGGTTTCCTCAGTGTGAGTTATTCAGGACCAGAGCTAAAGACCATATTCCCAATAAAATAACTGCTGGGAAGGTCTTCATGAAAACATTTAATGCTGCTTTTAAAACAACAACAATAAAAAGGCTTTAGCTACTGCACAGACCCTGGAGCAATTTTTCGGCAAGAGTCTATCAAACACGAATCTGATCTGACTCAAGGAGGTGTCATATCAAGTGTAAAAATCCAATTCCAATGTCCATAAGAGCCTTTCTGCCAGGTACAAGACCCTAATCCAGTTGAAGTGATTTTCTATTGATTAATAGGCTGGGAATACACAGGTTGTTGGTTTTTGAGATTTCCCTCCCTGTGCCTTCATGCCAGCTGTGAAAGAGTCAAAAGGCTCCTAACTGTCAAAATAAAAATGACACTTGGTCACAGAGGAAGCAGATTATAGGTCAATCACATTGATGACTTTTTAATTATGAGAAGCCATTAATGTTACTGAATAAGCAAATCTGTTTGCATAAGCAGATTTTTATAGGCTACTGGGAATAAAGGTTTTCCTAAGTGGGTGATTTGTACAACGATAGCCTTTGGGTCTCTGATGGAACAGCTCTGATGAGGAAATGTTCCTTTAATTATGTGGAAGGCCAATTACCACGTTATAGCCACATTGTTTTGCAGATTGCATATAATTTCACCATTTCCATAGTTTCAGCACTATAATTCTGGAGAAAATTCAGGCACCAAGGAGACACTTGAGGCACACTATGCTGGAGACAAAGATGTTTTAGCGAATTCAATTTAAGCTTCAACATTAAAGTTATTTTGTTGAATAAAACATAATGCAATAATGAGCTTGTGTATGTCAACTCTATAGTGCAGGTAATAATAGCTAGAGAGAGCATATCCCGTCTCCTCTTTTTAATGCTCATTTGAGTAATACATAATGCTATAGAGAGAACTTTTCTCTAATATGTGCTTCACCTCAGGCTAAGCGTGTTTTGGGCAACTGTGCTTCATGAAAAAAAGGTAAAGGATCTAATTTGGGAGCCACTCACAAAAGTGCTACCACTTGATGTTTTTTTATACTCTGAGATTTCTTATTCCCAGTGCCTACCAGGAATGGACTTTCTGGAGAAGCTCAGATTAATCACTCCTTATGAGAGGTAACAGCGTGTTGGCAGCCCTCACAGCCCTCGTTCACTCTCGGCACCTCCTCTGCCTGGGCTCCCACTTTGGCAGCACTTGAGGAGCCCTTCAGCCCACGGCTGCATGGTGGGAGCCCCTTTCTGGGCTGGCCGAGGTCAGAGCTGGCTCCCTCAGCTTGCAGGGAGGCATGGAGGGAGAGGCATGAGCTGGAACTGGGGCTACGTGTGCTGCTTGCCTGCCGGCTGGAGTTCTGGATGGGCGTGGGCTTGGTGGCCCTGCACTAGGAGCTGCCGGCTGGCCTTGCCGGCCGGGGCTGTGAGGGGCTTAGCACCTGGGCCAGCAGCTGCTGTGCTCGACTTCTCACCGGGCCTTAGCTGCCTCCCTGCGGGGCAGGGCTCGGGACCTGCAGCCTGCCATTCCTTAGCCTCCCCCCTCTGTGGGCTCCTGTACGGCCCAAGCCTCCCCGATGAGCACCGCCCCCTGCTCCATGGCGCCCAGTCCCATCGACCACCCAAGGGCTGAGGAGTGTGGGTGCATGGAGAGGGACTGGCAGGCAGCTCCACCTGCAGCTCCTGTGCTGGGTCCACTGGGTGAAGCCAGCTGGGCTCCTGAGTCTGGTGGGGACTTGTAGAACTTTATGTCTAGGTAAGGGATTGGAAATACACCAATTGGCACTCTGTATCTAGCTCAAGGTTTGTAAACACACTAATCAGCACCCTGTATCTAGCTCAGGGTTTATGAATGCACCAATTGACACTCTGTATCTAGCTACTAGGGTGGGGACTTGGAGAACCTTTGTGTGGACACTCTGTATCTAGCTAATCTAGTGGGGACGTGGGGAGCATTTGTGTCTAGCTCAGGGATTGTAAACGCACCAATCAGTGCCCTGTCAAAACAGACCACTCAGGCTCTCTGTAAAATGGACCAATCAGCAGGATGTGGGTGGGGCCAGGTAAGAGAATAAAAGCAGGCTGCCCGAGCCAGCAGTGGCAACCCACTGGGGTCCCCTTCCACACTGTGGAAGCTTTGTTCTTTTGCTCTTTGCAATAAATCTTGTTGCTGCTCACTCTTTGGGTCCACACTGACTTTATGAGCTGTAACACTCACCGAGAAGGTCTGCAGCTTCTCTCCTGAAGCCAGCAAGACCATGAACCCACTGGGAGAAATGAACAACTCCAGACCTGCAGCCGTAAGAGCTGTAACACTCACCGTGAAGATCTGCAGCTTCACTCCTGAGCCAGCGAGACCACGAGCCCCACCTGAAGGAAGAAACTTCAAACACATCCGAACATCAGAAGGAACAAACTCCAGACACGCCACCTTTAAGAACTGTAACACTCACCAGGAGGGTCCACAGCTTCGTTCTTGAAGTCAGTGAGACCAAGAACCCACCAATTCTGGACACACTTATACACTTGGCACTGGGAGGTCTGTATGGAGCAAGTGAAGAAATCAGCAGAGTGAAGATAGAAGGAGAACAACATGATGGGGGAAAGGCAAAGTTAGTGCCACATTGGTTTCAATTCTGCCACTCATGAGTGAGACCCATGACCTCCTCTCTCTAGGACTCTGTTTTTCTTATATGTAGAGTGGAGGAATAGAAGGGCCTTTTAAAGTATTAACATTTCCTGACCTATCTGTAAAACACTTTCATTCAAACTGATGGGAATCTTGACTACTTTGCCAAGAGGACATAATAATCATCAAGCTGAATGCACCAAACAGCATTGCCTGAAACTATCTAAGCAAAAACTGAGAAAGTTACACAGGACAGACAAACCTCCTATGAGAGTAAGAACTCTTCAGCACATGCTTAGTGTGTCAAAGACAATACTGTGTTCACACCATTCCTCTTCCTGGACATGCAGAAAGACTACATTTCCCAGCCTCATTTGCAGTTAGTTTGGAACCATGTGACTGCATTTCCACCAATAGGAATGTAAGAAATCACTTCTGGGCCAAGGTTATCAAAGTGTGAGCTATGTTCCCTCTCTTCCTATCCATATGGCTACAAGTGAAAAACTCTGAGATGGCAGAATTAAAAGATGGAAACCTCCAGAATCTCTGAATCACTGTTGGACAAGGGCCCCCAAGGAGAACCCCTGCCCTGCACCAGACTATGCTATGGGTGTCAACCCACTGAGAGTTCAGGGTTTATTCGTCTCAGCAGCAGTCTATTGTTACACTGACTAACATCCTGAGGTTTGAGAGGTCTAGCATATTGTTAACTGAAGTTAGATTTCAATTACACTGAGAACCTTATCTATTTCAAAATAAAAACTCTCCTAAAAAAAAAATCCACATTCCTTTTAACCACATGTGGCAAATTTGCAAAAAAAAAAAAAAAAAAAAAAAAACTGGCCACATATTAGGCCATAAAGAAGTCTCAACAAAATCCACTATACGATTGACAGTGTCCAGACCACATTTTCCTGACCATAATGCCACAAAATTAGAAGTCAACAGCAAGAAGATAGCTAAACACAAGCATATATTTGGAAAATTAAAAATATCCTTTCATGAGTTAAATGAAAAATCACAATAGAAATTACTAAACATTTACAACTGAATGAAAACACAACTTTATATATATATGTATATATATATAATATGTATATATATATATATATATATATATATATATATATATATTTTTTGTGAGTCTTCCAAATTTGTTCTTCTTTTACAAGGTTATTTGGGAAATTCTGGGTCTCCTGCAATTCCTCTTACAGTTTTATGCTGTGTGTCAATTTCTGTGGCTGGGTCTATGAGAACTTATCGTAGTTCTCATAGACCAGGGTTTGCATGTTGCTGTCTAGAGCCCGGATCTGCTGCACCATGTCCGTCTCACTATCCATCAGCTGGGCCAGAGGGCACTCTCTAGGAAGCTTGTCTAGGTAAACTTCCGGGTCGAAGTGTACCCCGTTCATATCAGTGGGGTCCAGGGGGTCGGTCCCCGCAGGGAGTCCCACCGCCTCCACTTCCGAGAGGCCGTTGTAAAACTTCAGCATCCTGTCCGCCTTCCACCGACGCTCCTTGAGCCTCCCCCTCGGGCCCTTCTGGGGAGTCCCCAGGTCCACACCCCGGGCTAGGCCCAGTGACAGCTGCCGCCGCCATAGCTCCAACTGCAGCCCACGGGCGTAACTTTTATATTTTTAAGTTGGATACATGGAGCTACTTGGCTTTTGCTTTCATCACCTCTTTGAGGAAAGAGCTGGTTGCTTATGGTACCCCTGTTTTTACTGCAACGTGTAATGGATGAGAACCTCCCTGTTGCAGAGAGCAAAACACTGAACTAAATTGTGCTGTAACACAGCTCTGTATTGGGGGAGTGGGAGTGATCATGCAAACGCTTGCAAATTTGCACAGTGACAGAGACAATCGTTTGGGCACCTGTTCACTATATGAAAAGGCAATTGACCAAAAGTCAGTTACTGAGCTATCTCAATACTTTCATTTTATTTTAACTTTTGGCAGCAGCGTGCAATTAAAGGAGAGAAAGAAAACAAAGTGATAAGTGTAAGATAATGTACACACATGTGTAAAAGAAAATGACAAGACAGGATGACCATTTGTCTCTTGGTTAGCTCCTTGGGCTCTATGTCTCCTTCCTCGGAGAACCTCGTTTTCCTTTGTCCAGATTTGTTAGGGTGGGTAATCCAGGCGCCTGCTCCCCCATGATGGAAGCCAAAGACATCCCTGGAGCAGCGTCCCGCTGCATCCTTTCCTGCACTGCCCACATGGACACAACTCAGCCGATTAGTCTTCCTCTCAGAACTTTAGTCTTGAGCAAAGGGATTAAAGGGTGAAGTGACTAAAGGTATGCCCTTCCAAAGTGGTACGTGAGCTAACGGCTAAAGTTTGCCATTTTTTCGTAATTTTTATTTATTTATTTTTTTGAGACGGAGTCTTGCTCTGTTGCCCAGGCAGGAGTGCAGTGGCGTGATCTCGATTCACTGCAACCTCTGTCTCCCGGCTTCAAAGGAGTCTCCTGTCTCAGCCTCCCCAGTAGCTGGGATGACAGGCGTATGCCACCATGCCTGGCTAATTTTTTTGAGTTTTTTTGGTATTTTTAGTAGAAACAGGGTTTCACCATGTTGGCCAGGCTGGTCTCGAAATCCTGACCTTGTGATTCGCCTGCCTCAGCCTCCCAAAGGGCTGGGATTACACACTTGAGCCAACGCGCCCAGCTTCAAAGAGTTTTAAGCAGAGCTCAGAGGTCTTAACCACAGGCACATCGGAGGAGCATTTTTGAAACACTTTCCAGCTTCCTCAATAGGAATGGAAGCCAAACTCCGAATTGATGACTCCTTTGAGGAAGTTGAGAGCTGTAAGGAAAGCCAGGAACAGGGGCAAGGGAGAGATGCGTCCCGAATGATCCTGTGCAAATTCTTTCTGGAATCCTTGATGTGATCTCAGCTGCCCTTTCTATACATGACACAGTGATTGTGGCACCCACTGGTCTAGCTGTGGTCAACAAGGAACCCACAAAGGGAAGGGCACAGTGAGTAGGGGCATCCGCCTGAGTGACGAGGATTTGAGAGGGCAGGTTGGTTGCAGGGAGAGGACTTGCCAAATGCCATGTGTCTGGACTTAGACTGCCTGGTTCAAATTGGACTTCGCCCTTTTTGACTTCGTGATCTGGTACAAGCTGCATGAAAATCCGTTGCGCTTTTTCTAGTCTGTAAAATCATCATGAAATGTGCACTAATAACGTGGAGACTATGCAGATGAAATGAAACAAGCTGCATAGAGCACAGAGCTCAGAGCCTGGCCTTTAGGAAGCCCTCAGTAAGGGTTCATGATGCCATGGTGTCTGTCGTCATCCTCTTTATCCTCATCATCACCTTCATAATCTCTTTGTTGTTCTTAGGGAATAGTTAGAGGGACTGATTCCCTGCTATCATGGGTGAGATGTTTATGAAAAGGACAACCAGTGGGGGAGGAAAGCAAAATTTTGAATAAGATTTCTGAGACCCCCAGCACAACCAAGAACATAAACTGCACAGTCTGCTGAGCAGAGAGTTGCACATTGGTCTCCTCACATCTGCCCACCGCACTCTCCTGTTTGTCCTGAGGATGAGGAAACAAACAAGTCTCCCGACCGTCCCTCAGCACTCACTTGAAGGGGTGGCCTCCTCCTCCACAGCTGTGGGTATTTCCAGTCGGGTAGGACGAGAGACTGAGAAAAGAAATAAGATACAGAGACAAAGTATGGAGAAACAACAGTGGGCCTAGGGGACCGCCGCTCAGCATACCAAGGACCTGCACCGGCACAGGACTCTGAGTTCCCTCAGTTTTTATTGACTATTATTTTTATTATTTTAGCAAAAAGGAATGTAGTAGGAGCGCAGGGTGATAATAAGGAGAAGGTCAGCAACGAACATGTGAGAAATAGAATCTATTTCATAAGGAATTTCAAGGAAAGGTACTATGACTGGATGTGTACGTAAGCCAGATTTATGTTTCTCTCCACCCAAACATCTCAGTGGAGTAAAGAATAACAAGGCAGCATTGCTGCAAACATGTCTCGCCTCTTACCATAGGGCGGTTTTTCTCCCATCTCAGAATTGAACAAATGTACAATCGGGTTTTATACCGAGACATTCAGTTCCCAGGGGCAGGCAGGAAACAGCGGCCTTCCTCTCTCTCAACTGCAAGAGGCTTTCCTCTTTGACTAATCCACCTCAGCACAGACCCTTTACGGGGGGCGGGCTGGGGGATGGTCAGGTCTTTCTCATCCCACCAGGCCATATTTCAGACTATCACATGGGGAGAAACCTTGGACAATACCCTGCTTTCAAGGGCAGGGCTCCCTGCGGCTTTCCACAGTGTATTGTGCCCCTGGTTTATTGATACTAGAGAATGGCGATGACTTTTACAAAGTATACTGCTTGGAAACATCTTGTTAACAAGGCAAGTCCTGCATAACCCTAGATCCCTTAAACCTTGATTTCATACAACACATGTTTTTGTGAGCTTCAGGTTGGGTCAAAGTGGCTGGGGCAAAGCTACAGATTAACAACATCTCAGCAAAGCAATTGTTGAAAGTACAGGTCTTTCTCAAAATGGAGTCTCTTATGTCTTTCCTTTCTGCATAGACACAGTAAGAGTCTGATCTCTCTTTCTTTTCCCTACACTCACTGAACTGCCTCTCCCCTCTGCTGGGACATGACCACGGAGAACAGGTCCACTGTCCTCCCTGCGTGGTGCACCATGGAGGCTCAGGCTCCGTCCTCAAGGCTGGCAAGAAGACAGGGTGAGACATGAGCCTCCTGATACAGGTGACGGCTGTGGAGCCCACAGGACTGCAACCTCACACTGCAGGGCTGGAGGCACAGACTGAGTATTTACTATCCTGTGGCCTGGGGGGCTCAGGCACAGAGCTCCTCATTAGCCAAAGCCGCCCAAGTTCCCCAGCCTCTAAGGATGTCCTCATAATAATGCAAGAAGAAGAGAAAAGTGAGTGTCCATAGAAACTTTGGGGCTCTTCCTCTAATCAGAAGAAAGCTGGTGTGTATTCTTCGCTTCTTTCTTTTCTTTTTAAACATCCAACTGCTTTAATTTTCATCTTTTATAATGGGAAAATATACCACGTATAAATATTAAAAATTATAAATATATATTAGTTCATATAGAATGGCCAGTATAAACATTTACAATTTCCACTCTTTTTCAGTTTACAGATTAATGACATTAAGTACGTTAACATTATTTAGCAAGCATCACCGCCATCATCTCAGGAACAGTTTTATCTTTCAAAATGGAAATTCCACCCATTCACCAAGCTCTCCATTCCTTTCTCTCGCCCACCCCTGGGGGCCACCTTTCTAGTTTGCAACTCTATGAGTTTAACTACTCTAGACACTTGATAGATAAGTGGAATCATACCGTGTTTTTTTTTTTGTTTTGGAGACAGAGTCTTTCTCTCTCACCCAGTCTGGAGTGCAGTGGTGTGATCTCGGCTCACTGCAACCTCCACATCGTGGGTTCAAGCGATTCTTGTGTCTCAGTCTCCCGAGAGGCTGGGATTACAGGCGTGCGCCACCACACCCTGCTAATTTTTGTATTTTTAATAGAGACGAGCTTTCACCATATTGGCCAGGCTGGTCTCGAACTCCTGACCTGAAGTGATCCGCCTGGCTCAGCCTCCCAAAGTGCTGGTGTTACAGGTGCGAGCCACTGAGCCTGGGCCTGTTTATCCTTTTGGGATTTATTTATTTCACTGACGATAATGTCTTCAAGGTTCATCCATGTTGCGGCCTGCCTCAGAAGTGCCTGTCTGTTTTTTTTTTGTTGTTTTTTGTTTGTTCGTTTGACTTTGTTTTGTTTTGTGTTTCCATAGAGTCTCACTCTGTCGCACAGGCTGGAGTACAGTGGCACAATCTGGGCTCACCTCCGCTTCCCGGGTTCCAGTGATTCTTGTGCCACATCCTCCCGAGTAGCTGGGACTATAGGCACACGCCTCCATGCTCATCTCATTTTTTGCATTTTCAGTAGGGACAGGGTTTCCCCAAGATGGCCAGGCTGGTCTTGAATTCCTGACCTCAGATGATCCGCCCACCTCGGTCTTCCAAGACGCTGCGATTACAGGCGTGAGCCACCGCACCGGCCAGAAGTGCCTGCCTTTTGAAGGCTGAATAGTCTTCCATTGTATGAAGGAACTGCAGTGGGCTTTTTCATTCATCTGTCCACGAACCCTTGGGTTGCTTCCACATTTTGGCTCTTGTGAATAATGCTGCTATGAATATGGGTGTACACAAATCTGTCTTCCACTCCTGGCTTCTTTTTGTAGGTACCCACAAATGCAACTGCGGCAACATATGATCATCCTGTTTCTAATTTTTCCAGTAGACGCCATACTATTTTCCCCGTTCCTTCACGGTTTTACATTCCTTCTGATCAGATTCGAGCATTCCTACTTCCCTCTAGTCTCACCAATCCTGTTTGTTTATCATATCCATCCTAATGTGTGGTGTCACATTCTTGGTTTGATTTGCGCTTCCCTATGATGAGTGATTTTGAACATCATTTTAGATGCTTATTGGCCATTGCTATATCTTCTTTAGGAACACGTCTACTTGAGTCTTCTGACCATTATTGATGGGATGCTTTGGGTTTCTTGTTCTTTAGTTCTGCCTGTTCTTTATGTATGATGGATATCAGCCTCTTTTCAGATATATGCTTTGAAAATATTTTTCCTAATCCATGGGTTATCTTTTCACTCAGTTTGCCGTGATTTTGCTGCACAAAAGTGTCTGTCATTTCGATGTAATCCAAGGAATCTAATTTTCTTTTGTTGCCTATGCTTTTGGTGTCATATCCCAGAGAACATTGCCCAATCTGATGTCATGAAAGCATGGCCAATGTTTTCCTTTAGGCGAATGATTCTTTTAGCGCTTGGGGTGAGGTCTTTGATCCAGTTTGTGTTAATTTTTGCCCCTGGTGTGACATAGTGTCCACCTTCATTCTTCTGCATGTGGAAATCAAGTTTCTCCAACACCATTTCTTGAAAAGGCTGTTTTTCCACCAATGAGCTTTCTTACCACTCATGTTAAAAATCGTTTGAACATACAGGTGACAAGTTATTTCTGGGCTCCAAAATAAACAAACAACAGCAGACAACAGATAATGTTACAGCATGGGCCGGGCCCGTCGCTCACGCCTGTAATCCCAGCACTTTGGGAGGCCGAGGTGGGCGGATCACCTGATGTCAGGAGTTGAAGACCAGCCTGACCGACAGGGAGAAACCCCCGTCTCTACTACAGGCGCGTGCCTGTAATCCCAGCTACTCGGGAGGTGGAGACAGGAGAATCGCTTGAACCCAGGAGGCAGAGGTTGCGGTGAGCCAAGATTGCACCATGACACTCCAGCCTGGGCAACAAGAGCAAAACTCCATCTCAAAACAAAAAACAAAAAACAAAAAACCAGCATGATTTCAAGAGCAGAAAGAGAAGAGCTGAAAAACCAGCATAATGAGAAAATTAGGAAGTTTCTTACCAAAGCATCTGGAAATATTCAAGAAATTCTTGTGAACTAAAATTTTCATACTGTACAATCAAACACTAGAACTCACTTATTCCATCTTTCTGTATTTTGGGACCCAATTATCCACTTGTCTTCATTCCCCATCCCACCCCTTTTCTTCCTAGCGTCTGCTAACCACCTTTATACTTTCCACCTTCCTGAGATTCCTTTTGTGTGTAGGTGTGTGATGGAGTCTCTTTATGTTGCCCAGGTTGGAGTACACAGGCACAATCCGGGCTCACTGAAAGCTCCGCCTCCCGAGTTCAAGCGCTTCTTGGGCCTCAGCCCTCCGAGTAGCTGAGACTAGAGGCACGCGTCACCACGCCCGGCTAATTGCTTGTTTTTTCCGTAGAGACGGGGTTTCACCATGTTGGCCAAGCGGGTCTCGAACCCCTGGACTCAAGTGATCCCTGCGACTCGGCATCCCAGAGTGCTGGGATTACAGGTCTGAGCCACCACGCCTGGTCAAGGTTTCCTTTTTTCTTCCTACGTAGAAGTGAGGACATGAAATATTTGACATTCTGTGCCTGGCTTATTTCATTTAATATACAGACCTGCAATCTCATCCATTTTGTCTGCAGCGGAGAGGATTTTCTTCCTCTTTAGGCTGAATAATACTTCATTGGGTGTGTATACCACAGTTTCTTTATTGAAACAAATTTCTAAAGAGCAAATATTTTTAAAGTCTCAGAATGTGAAACTTCAGGGATACCGTGCCCATTTTATTCTTTTCTATTTCCCATCTTATGTATCTGCAAGTGTATAACAAAGCAGCAATTGATGTGTGTATAAATCGATAACTTCAACAATTGCAAAATGTAAATGCTAAGTGGTGGCTGGGCGCGGTCCCTCATGCGTGTAATCCCAGTACTTTGGGAGGCGGAAGCGGCCGGATCACCTGAGGTCGGGAGTTCAAGACCAGCCTGACCAAAATGGAGAAACATTGTCTCTACTAACAATACAACAACAACAACAACAACAAAAAGATAGCCAGGCATGGTAGCGCATGCCTGTAATCCCAGCTACTTGGAAGGCTGAGACAGGAGAATTGCTTGAATACGGGAGGCAGAGGTTGCAGTGAGCCGAGACCGTGCCATTGAACTCCAGCCTGGGCAACAAGAGTGAAACTCTGACTCAAAAAAAAAAAAAAAAAAAAAAAAAAAAAGGACAAGAAGGAAATAGAAAATGCGAAATGGTAAGAAAAAACAGCATAATAAACATTCGTATGGTGTTGATGGACAATGCATTTGAAGATAATATTTGAAGAAATCATATTACAATTAATTTCTGTTCTTACTCATTGCAGCTTGATGCCTCTAAAAACTTCGTCATTGGAACCACCTCTGGTGCTTTAAAAGAAAAAAAAAAATCCACACACTCACACAGGTGCAAGGAAATCAGAATCTCAGGTATTGAGAACCAGTCCTCATCATGTGTAAGCTGCCCAGGTGATTTGACTCAAAGCCAAGATTGAGGAACGGCGACATGGATATCTACACAGAACCTGCCTAAATAGATTCTCTAGAAGAAGTTTATAAAGAAATTCCACATGAACTGTGGAAGAGGATATGAATTTGATGTACAGTATGTCCTCACTTAACATCTTTGAAAGTCTCTTGGAAACTTCACCTTGAAGCAAAATTATGTATAGTGAAACCACTTATTTTTCATCAACAGTATAACTACACGACTTTGAACAACCAATGCTGTTGGAGGACCTTCTGTACATTGTTTCCATAAAGTCAGTTTTCAGGGAATTCCAAAACGAAGTGAGGACTTCGTGTATATAAAATGATGGTTGTGATTCCACCTGGATGGCATGGTTATTGCTCAGAGACTAAAAGAGGCCACCTAGGTATAGAAGATTCTGTCATGAGGTTTCTGCTAAACCAAGGATCCCAGAATCGTCACTCATTCCAGATAAAGGCATAACGAAGAAAGCAATATTCACAAAGGAAATGCGGAAAGGAATAAAAGCCATCAAGCCACAAAAAGAATGTGACTGAGGGGCAGGATTTGCAGATGTAGAGATTTAATGTGGTTGCCCTTTCTCACCCACACAAGAAAAAGGATGGAACAGATCATGATATTCGACTGCTCTGCTGCGCAGCCTCCGCAGGGCACTTTGTATGTCCCTGTTTCTCAGGCTGCAGATGAAAAGGTTCAGCATGGGGTGACCACAGCGTACATCACTGAAGCCACCACACCATTCCTGGGGGGTGGTGACCCAGCTGAAGTCAGGTACAAGCCAATGCCTGTTCCATAAAACCAGCAAACAACTGCTAGATGACAGCCACAGGTGGAGAAGGCTTTATACTTCCCATCTGACGATGAAATCCTTAGAATGGAGGGGACAATTTTATAGTAAGACAAAAAGATCCCTGAAATGGGAAGAAAACCAAACATAGTACTATCGAAATATATGAATATGTTATTGATGACGCTGTCAGAACAGGCAAGTTTGAGAAGTTGAGAGGGGTCACAGACCAAATTAGAGATTTCCACATTCTTGATGATGGTTAATTGTAACACAATCCAACTGTGCAGCTGGGAATCCAACAGGCTAAGGAAAAAGGACACCAAAACGAAGAAGACACAGAGGTGAGGATTCACGATGATTGAGTAGTGCAGAGGGCGACAGATGGCTACAAAGCAGTCATAGGCCATCACAGTCAGGAGCATGCCTTCTATACATGCAACAAGGAGCAGGAAAGACATCTGTGTCAGGCAGCCCGCATGAGAGATGACTCTGCTATGCGACTGCGTGTCCACAATCATCTTGGGAACCATGGCCGAGGTGAAACCGATGTCAGGCCAGCACAGGTTGGAGAGGAAGAAGTACATGGGGGTGTGGAGGGGGGAGTCAGAGCTGACAGCCAGGATGCTGAGCAGGTTCCTCAGCACCGTGACCAGATACATGGACAGGGACAGGGACAGCAAAGCGAGGACCGGCTGCAGTTCTGGATCCTCTGAGAGTCCCAGGAGGAGGAATTCTCAGACATCTGTGAGATATTAGTCCCAACATCCCAGAGGGTGTACACTACCCCTGTGATATTGTCCCTAACTTCCAGAGGGGAGAGGATGACATCACTCCCAATATCTCAGAAGTTGTACATCCCCCGTGATATTGTTCGTCATATCCAGGGAGGCGCAGGATGACATTCCATTGAATTTCGCGACAGGCCTACACGCACAGTGTGATACTGTTCCTACTATCCAAGAAGGGAGAGGATGATATTACTCACAATAAAGCAGTGGGTGTACATCACCCCTGTGTTGTTGTCTCTAATATCCGGGGCCGGGGGAGGAGGGGAGAGGATAACATTGCCTCCAATTTAGCAGGTGGTTTGACGCCCCTTGTGCTGTTGTTTTAAATATCCAGCGGGGAAGACAGTAGTACTATTTTTGATAGTCCGATTCATCCTCTCCACCTTTCCGGAACTCTGAGGCCGGGAGGCGGCATGTAGTTTCCGTGTGATCCCCAATACCTTTGCCGTTTTCTGTACCAAGGCAGCCAAAAACGCAGGCCCGTTGTCTGAGCCGATCCATAAGGGCGGTCGAAATCTAGGAATCACATCTCGAAGAAGCACAGGGGTTACTTCACCAGCTTTCTCAGTTCGTGTTGGATAGGCCTCCACCCACCCAGGGTAGGTACGCCCAAGAACCAGTACATGCTTGTTACCTCCACACTTTGGCATCTCTGTGAAGTCCACCTGGAGACCTTCAAAGGGGGCTGCTCCACAAGCTCGTATGCCGGGCGGAACGGCTGGACCTTGACTCCCATCATGCTGTCAGCAGGTAACACACCGCTGCCTCACCGTTTTGGCAAGGGTTGACAAAGGCGAGATGTAGAAATACCGGCCTAACAACTTTTCCAGTGACTCCTGACCTCGATGGGTGTTTTCTTGCACAGCCAGTACAACTGCAGCTCCTAGCAGCTGTGGCACAGCTACTCTCCTATCTGGTAACTGAATCCATCCTTCCTCCATCACTTGTCCTTCCCTCTACCTGGAGAAAGTCCTTTCTTCTTTAGAAGAAGCAGGTCCAAGATCAGGTGCTTGAGGGAGCACTGATGCCCAGAAGGGGGCAGTTGCTGCTTTTCGAGCCTCTGACTCAGCGCGGGAATTCCCCAAACACAGCAAGGTGGAAGCTCGCTGGTGTCCTCTGCAATGCCTAACTGCCACCTTGTGGGGTTTCCATACTGCTTCTAATCATTGCAAGATTTCTTGTGGATATTTTCTGTCTTTCCCCCCAGAATTCAATAGGCCCTTTTCTTTCTATCACACTCCATGCACTTGAAGGGTTAAAAAGACATACCGAGAATCAGTGTAAGTGTTGACAGTCTCACCCTCACTGAGTTCTAAGGCCCAAATGAAAGCATTGAGTTCAGCTTTCTGGGCTGAAGTGGCCTGGGGCAACGACCTGGTTTCAACAACAGTGTCCAGAGTTATCACTGCATACCCTGCACCTCTCTCTCCTTGGGGGTTGAAGAAGCTGCTCCCATCCACGTGTGGTTCCCAGTCTACTGATGCCCAAGTCTGGTCCCGGAGCTCAGGTCTGCTAGAGTCAATTGAGTCCAACACTTCTACACAATCAGGCTCGACAGGGCTCCCTGATACCGGCAGCAAGGTGGCGGGGTGTAGGGTGTTACAAACTTCAATGGTTATACGGGGATTTTCACAGACCAAAGTTTGGTACTTGGTGAGCCTGGCATTCGTTAGCCAATGACGTCCTTTAGTATTCATCACCACAGCACGGGAGGCCTTTATGTTCAGGTTTCGCCCAAGAGTCAGCTTATTTGCTTCTTATACTAGCAGGGCAGTTGCTGCCAAGGCCCTCCAACAGGGGGGCCATCCTTTAGAAACCCCGTCTAGTGGTTTACAGAGGTAGGCCACCAGCCTCAGCCAGGGCCCCACAGTTTGGGTTCAAAGTCCAGCTGCCATCCTTTCTCTCTCTGATGCATACAATGGAAAAGGCTTTGTCAGATCGGGTAGCCTCAGGGCTGGTGCTGCCAGAAGTTTTTCCTTTAACTCATGAAATACTTGCTGTTGTTGGGATCCGCATTCCAAAGATTCACCGTCCCCGCCCCCCTTGTGACCTCATACAAAAACTTGGCTAATACTGCAAAGTTTGGGATCCACAGTCTACAAAACCCCACAGCTCCTAAGAATTCTCTTACCTGCCTTCTGCTCTTAGGCTCCGCTAGATGGCAAATGACCTGCTTTCTTTCTGATCCCGGGCTGCGTTCCGACCCCTGTCGGATAGTAAATCCCAAGTAACGTACCTGCTGTCGGCAGATCTGAGCTTTTTTCTTGGACACCTTCTACCCACAGTCCTCCAGGTGCGGTGTAGGGCATCTGTTCCCTTGGCACACCCGACTGCCGTGGGGTGTCCCAGCAGAAGGTCATCAACCTACTGGAGCAACAAGCATCCTAGGTCTCTGCTAGGAAACTTCTGGAGGTCTCGAGCCCATGCCTCCCCGAAGATGGTGGGGGAGTTCTTGAACCTTTGGGGAAGCCCGGTCCAAGTGTACTAAGTAGTGACACCTGACTCCGGATCTTCCCACTGAAAGGCAAACAGCTTCTGCCTCTCAGGGGCTAATCTGATAGGAAGGAAAGCGTCTTTTAGGTCCAAGCAGGTGAACCAGCTGTCCTCAGCTGGCGGCAACCCCAACAATGTGGACGGGTTAGGTACTGTTGGATGTAAAGTCAGTGTGGCTTGATGAAGCAAGCGCAAATCCTGTACCGGCCGGTAGTCCTTGGTCCGTGGCTTGGGAACAGGCAGGAGGGGAGTGTTCCATGGAGACTGACAAGGAACAATCATTCCAAACGTTCTTAGGTGCTTGAGATGGACCTGGATACCTTGAAGGGCTTCTCTGGGGACCGAGTCCGGTTTTTGCCTCACCGGCTGGGCCCCAGTCTTAACTGGCCAATCCTGGAGGGTTCTCTTCTGCCCGAACTCTTGGCCAGCGCTTAGCCAGAGCTGGTCTTTTCTCTTTGCCCGGGTCAGTTCAGAAAAGTCTCCATTCCTCCTCTCGGGGGACCATAAGCGTCATAATGACTCCCATTCCGGGTAACTTTAGCAGCAAAGAGCCATGCTCTGTGAAAGAGGCAGTGGCTCTCAGCTTGCTGAGCAAGTCCCTTCCTGAAAAGTTCAAGAGACTGTCAGGCATGTAACAAAACTGATGAATGACTTTATGTCCTCCTACAGGACAAGTCCAAGGCAAGCAGAAAGCTTGCTTTGCTGAAACCCCCGTGGCTCCGATGACGTCAGTAGTCTTTTTCGGTAAGGGGACGACCGGGGCGGTTACTAGCGAATGTTCAGCACCGCTATCTACAAGAAAGTTAATGTCTCCACCCCTGACTGTCATTCTGAACAGATGTCAGAATGGGGATGCTTGAGCCCGGTCTCCCTCAGTCCAAGAACCCTTCTGCCAGGTTGAGCAGGGCCCCTTCCTCCTTGTCCGGGGCCTCCGGCTCTGAGTCACCTTCTTTTCTTTTGAGCTGAGGGCATTTGTTCTTCCACTGTCCTATTTCTTTACAATCAGCACACTGGTTACGCTGCAAACTCTGACAGCCAAGCTGAGTTTCTTTCCCAGGGCCCCCTTTCCCTTGCCTCTTTGCGGGGGCCCCTCTGATTGCTGCAGCTGACAAACAGGTCGGCGTGTGGCCGGGACTGACCTCCATCCTCTTTGCCGTTTTCCTTACGGCTTACTGCATACCTGTTTACAAACACCTGGCTAGCTATTTCTAGTAATTGGGATGGATTCTTCCCTGCAAGCCCAGTCTGTTTCTGCAGTTTTCTTCTCATGTCTTCTGCACTTTGATGGACTAAAGCCATGTGAATCATGCGCTGATTTTCAGGGCTATCGGGATCAAAGGGAGTATACATATGATAGGCCTCATACAGTCTCTCGTAGAATTGTGCTGGACTTTCTTCTTTTCCCTGAATGACCTCAGAGAGCTTGTTAACGTTTGTGGCCTTCTGAGCTCCCCTCATTAATCCTTCCAAGAGAGCTTCCCTGTCTCGGTTTAGCCTTTGCATCTCCTCTCTTTCATGTGGGTCCAACTGGGGGTCGGTTCCTGGCAACTGGGTCCTTCCATACTATTGGGGGTTTTGATAATCAGCTGGTGCATGTTCCTCTAGCCACTTAGTTGCTGCTTGGAGGACTCTCTGCCTTTCTTCACTGTTAAAGAGGAAAATGAGCAACTGGTGCCAATCGGTCCAGGTGTGGTTGTGGGTCTGGATAACAGTTTGGAGCAAATCAATTAGGGCTTGTGGCTTTTCGGTATAGGGCGATGTATTGTTTTTCCAGTTGAGAAGGTCGACGCAGGTGAAGGGCTGGTACCCAAAAACACGTCTCTCCACTACATGAGCATTTTCATCTATCCCAGTATACCGCTGCTCTCTCAGGGGCATTTGTGTCCCCGTTTTGGGTCGTAAACGAGCTGCCGAGGAAGGGGTGGAATGGCGCAATGCGACTTACCGCAATTAATAATCTCAATTATTAACTGACACTAATAATTATCAATATTAATAACCCATAATATAATTTTTAAAATCAATACCGATACTAATGATAATTAATATTAAATAGTTATACTAACAATAACAATACATGATTAATATTAATGATTATGACGCCTGATATTAATAACTGATACGGATCTTATTCATTAGAAAATAGTAATATTAGCTCCTAATAATTAATATTAATATTAATAATCTGAGAACTTTTTATTAGCAATTACTTCTTAATATTAATATTAATATCGGCCATTCATATTCATGTTAATAAAAAACAAGGAATAATTCATACTAATAGTATGCCCTAATACCTCAGTGGGTGTACACCCACCTGTGATATTGTTCCTAATGTTCAGGGAGTGAGAGAGCATGATATTACGTACAATATCGCAGCAGGTGCACACCCAGCCGGTGATATTGATCCGAATATAATCTCCAGGGGGTGGAGTATAACATTACTCCCAATATAGCACTGGGTGTGCATCCACCCGGTGATTTTGTTCCTAACATTCATGGAAGAAGAGAATGCTATTACTCCCAACATCGTAGGAAGTGTACACCCCCGTGTGACATGGTTCTTAATAATATTCCAAGGCGGAGGGGGTGATATGACTACACATATGGCAGAAAGTGGACACCCCCAAGGATATTGTTCCCACGATCCTGGAGGGAAGAGGATGATATTACTTTCAGTATCACAGAAGGTGGACACGCCCCCACTGATATTGTTTCTAATTGCAACGTGGGAGAGGATGATATGACACGCGATATCCCAGGGAGTAGAAACACCCCTGTGATACTGTTCTTAATATTCAGAGAGGAAGAGGATGATATGACTCCCAATACAGACGGGTGTACAACCTCTGTACGCCGGGGTGAACACCGGTGGGTGAAACAGTTCACAATCTCCAGAGCGGGAGACGATATTACTCACAATATGATAAACAGGCTGTGAGTCCACCGCGGATCCTAAAAACCAGGGGGGCAAGAGGGGTTAGCTCTTACTCTCCGCATGGCGGGGCGTGCCTCACCCCCTGCGATGGGGGTCCTAAGAGCCAGGAGGTAAGATGGGAAGGCTCTTAATACCCGCATCAAGGGGCGTGCCTCACACCACTGCGATGGGGGTCCTGAGAGCCAGGGGGGCAAGAGGGGCTGGCTCTTACCCCAAGCATAGCAGGACGTGACTCACCCCGCTGCGATGGGGGAAACTAAGAGCCAGGGGGGCAAGAGGGTTTGGCTCTTACAACCCGAAATGGGGGGAGTGCCTCACACCCTGCGATGGGGGTCCTAAGAGCCAGGGAAGCAAGAGGGGCTGCGGGAGACAGCGGCTGTCCTCCATCTAAATTGCAAGAGGCTTTCCTCTTTGACTAATCCACCTCGGCACAGACCCTTTACGGGTCTCAGGCTGGGGGCCAGTCAGGTCTTTAACATCCCACGAGGCCATATTTCAGACTGTTACATGGGGAGAAACCTTGGACAATAACCTGCTTTCAAGGGCAGAGGTCGCTGCGGCTTTCGACGGTGCATAGTGCCCCTGGTTTATTGAAACTAGAGAATGGCAATGACTTTTACCAAGTATACTGCTCGCAAACATTTGGTTAACAAAGCACGTCCTGCACAGCCCTAGATCCCTTAAACCTCGATTTTATACAACACAGGTTTTCTGAGCTCCAAGTTGGGTCAAGGGGGCTGGGGCAAAGTGGATGAGGCAAGGCAACAAATGAACAACATCTCAGCAAAGCAATTGTTTAAAGTACAGGTCTTTTTCAAAATGGAGTCTCTTATGTCTTCCCCTTCTACATAGACACAGTGACAGTCTGATCTCTCTTTCTTTACCCTACATCCAAGGGCTTGAACATTTCTTGACTTGTTGGCAATCCAAATCGTTACGTCTCCGAAACAGAGTTGACTGAGGGGACCGCAGGGCTGGGCAGGACCTTTGACTTCCTATACATCCACAGGAGCAAGAAAACCTCAGCCCCACTCTACCAACACGCACCTAGTAAAATTCCGCCAACCGAATCTCACGCACGCTAACACGTGGGGAGCGTTGCTTGCACCACAAGTCCCCATTTGGCTCAACCGCCGATGCCAAGTGTGTGGTTCCAGTTGCGACGGCCCCCCGTGAAGTGGCTTCCGGATGTGCGAAGGAACCAGGCAGAGTTTCACTGGCCAAATAGACCCCAGCAAAGCTGAAGTTAACTCCCACATTTGGGATGTACTTCAGAGGTAAAACATTCATCCCGTCTTCTTTCCGGATGTCTGACACCATGGTTCTCCCCCTGATCCTAAGAGTAGCTGAGGCAGAGACTCACTGAAAGATCTAGGCGGGGATATCCCATCATGCACAGGCTCTCTCCATTCTCTGACCTGGGACCAACTCTCAGCAGGATTCCACATCTAGGAGGCCTCGGAACTCAGCGGGATTTTCTGAGACACACCAACTGGCTGCTCCCTTTCCGCCGCTGTTGAGGGTCGTTATCTTGATTATCCAGATCAACTAGAAAGTATCCGTATCCAGAATGAATAAGATCAACTCTCTGCTCCTCTGACAGCAGAAGGAGCAGGACCGTAAGGAACCAAAGAGCGTGGAAGGAAACGATGTGACAGGAAAGCTCAGAGAACGGCCACAGGGGGTCTTCAGCAGGCCTTCCAACCTGAATCATGAATAATTAATGGAGCGCAAATCAAAGGGGACTCGAGTTTCAGCAGGAGCAATTCATCCAACGGGAGATCGCCGGAGGGCCAACAAGATTGAGTGACTGGGAGCCGGGTGCAGTGTCAAAGGGGACGCGACTGGTTCCAAAGCTCGAGAAGACCATGGGGTCACTTGGGCTACATGAGAAAACGCCCCAGTGTGCTGGTTCATCATTCCGACTCCTGCCTGTCTCTTCCCGTCCAAGGAACATGGACCCTAAGTCGTGCAGGTGCGGATGACCATGGGCAGAATTAGGGGCCGTGGCACAAAAGTTCACCGACACGGGAGTTCCACAGAAGGTGCGGTGGATCTTCGCAAATCCAGAGACATGGCAATGGGACCCAGGGAATTAGAGCCTCACAGGCGTCCGGGAGACTTTTCAGGCATAATGCCTGGAGTCGCAAGACGAGCTGAAAAAGGAGCCAGGCACTGAAGGACAAAGCGTTGTTGACTTTCCTCATCTGTGTTTCCCAGTGCGGTCCAATTCACGGTTGTTTCCAAGCGCCTCCTGGGGGAGAAAACACAAGAGGGTGCGGTCAGGGTTCTCTGCTGACAGACTTAACTTGGGGAAGAAAGAGAAGCTCTGAAGATGGATCATGGCCGTGACTGCATGTCAAGGAGAGTCTCCTTGATGACACTGAGGCATACGTCGAGATAGACAAAATGTGGTCCAATTAAAAGGTGTCTATTTTACCACATTTTTTAAAACAAAACAAAACAAAACAACAAAAAAGATGGAAAAGAAGACAGGGGTACAGGCACCAGTGTTACATGTCTGACGGGGAACATCTATTGTTCAAAGCTTGCAGCTGTACAAGTAGGTTTTAGAATGTCTGTCAGCAGTGGACATGATCTTAGAGTGGGCTGTGCAGATAGACCTTTCCAGGTCATGTAATTGGATTAAGTTAATTGCAATTAAGGTACAGGTAACTGATTAGGTTAGGGTACGTTCCATGTCAGGTGACCAGAGGCAGTATAAAAGGCAGCCTGGAAAGCGGAGGTCCCTCTCTGCCCCTTCCTCCGTCGTCCTGGATGCTGCATCGCTTCCAGCCGGGCTGCTGCAGCACCTGCCCATCTCAGCGCCAGCCTGGGAAAGAAAGTAGACGTGTAATTTCAGGTTAGTTTCGCTGAACAATTGTTTGTTTCACGCAATCCCTGAGGGGTATTTGCGGGGGGTGTGGGGGAGGAAGAGACAAAGGAGGCCGAAAGAAACCGATCACACTGGGGCTTGCTGGTGGGGTAGGATGTGTTCTCGTTACTAGTAATTCTTGGAACAGAAAACGAGAAAACATATCCGTCTCCACGTGTGGGAGAAGACCAAGATGGGAATGCGAAAAGAAATGTACTGCAGCATGCTGAATTGGTGGGTAAATGGAAAAAGGACTTTGGAAAAAAGGGGGTTTTGCCCTTCAGCCGTGTAAGACGTCGATACGATACGGCACTTCTTCCCCGTTTGTTCAGATGAATTCGTGTGGTGTGCGTAAAATACCAGGAAAATAAATAAAGAGGGGCTGGAGCTAAAGCCAAAAGATAGAACAGGAAAGACCATCACCTGCTAGTGCGGTAGAGAGGAAGGTAACTTCTCTGTATGAATTTGTGTTTGGAAGTTGCCTAATGAAATGGCAAGAGTAGCGATTCAAGTTGTCACAGGAAGCATCCCTTATCCGTGACTTCAAGCAGACCTGCCAAAGGGTGGCACACGCCATGCCCTGTGTCTTCGATCATTCTGTCCGTCAAGGGAGATAGAATCACCGTGTCTTCTACCGGAGTGAATCGTGAGAGACCTAAGTCCAGTCTCCAGAATCAGTTGTTTGTTTGGGGTTGAAAGCTCAACCCCCCATACCTAGGCCACGGGCCCTGTGGCAGGTGGGGTTTACTCTTGGACTAGGTAGTCATGGCAGAGGAACACACAATATCCGAGGATGCGCACAGCACATTGTGTTCTACAGATTTGACCGACTGGTGGTGAGGTCTCCTCATGACCACACAGGCAGGGAGTTAGCAGGTGGCTTCCTGTGGGTGTGTGAATATCCAACGTGCTTAACCATCGACATGTGTGTGTTTGTGTGTGTTTCAGGTGGCCCAACAGTCCACCCCTGAAAAAGGCGGTCATAAAACCCCCAGGAGACGAAGATGATGGCACGTCGGGACCCCAAATCTTGGGCCAAGAGACTGGTGAGAGCCCAGACCCTCCAGAAGCAGCGGAGGGCCCCAGTTGGGCCAAGGTCTCCCCCGCCCGATGAAGAAGATCCCAGGGTAAGTCTAGCCCTGGATCTCTTGGGTATCGGGGTGGGGGTGGGGACGGGGGGAGGCGTGTCCCACGGTCCTCAGAGACTGGGTTGGATTCCAAAGAGTTCTGTCACCACCAGCCAGGTTGCTTTTCCCATCCAAGGTGGGCGTGGCTTGGGACCTTCTCCCCGGCCCGATAGGTCCCTTGAGAGACTCTTGGGGGCAACCTCCCTTTCTACTTAGGTTCCTGTGTAGCCACGTTTGGCTGCGTTGTTGACATCGGCTTCACCATCGTGCCCCTTGGAACCTTGAGTCCTTCCTTTCAGAGTTCCTCCGTCACATGGGCTTTGCGAGGGAACATCGTATCCGAAGTCTCCCAGCACTTAACGGCCCCCATGCCGGTGTCCCCTCTTTGGAATCCTTATTCAGCTCTGAATTCACAATCCGTCCCAATGTTGACGTGGGATCGCTGCCTGTGGCTTCAGCTCACTCACTGACATCACTTCCTTTCCACCCACAGCTCAAGTGCAAAAACTGCGGGGCCTTTGGCCACACGGCCAGAAGTACCAGGTGCCCCATGAAGTGCTGGAAGGCAGCCCTGGTTCCAGCGACCTTGGGGAAAAAGGAAGGGAAGGAAAACCTGAAACCATGGAAGCCCCGGGCTGAAGCCAACCCGGGGCCCTTGAACAAGGATAAGGGAGAGAAGGAAGAGAGACCAAGGTGAGCAGTGGGAGGGGTTTTCACCACTCTTAGGGTACGGCCTCCTAAGGACATGGTGTCTCTGCACCTGCACACCGTGTGCCTTTCCGTCTCCGGGCCAGGGAAGGAACGCTGCAGAGAAATAGGCCGGAGCTCCGTGTCCTCCGGGGTTCCATACCCAGGAGCTCCTTGGGCTCTGGGAGATTCAGGGACGGGGAGAGGCGGGGGCGCTTCGTGCAGGTTCCCCACGACAGCGGGAAAAGCGATGGAATCCAAATCACAGTCCTTAGTTGGGAAGCCTAGAGGGCCACCTGGAGGATGGGAAGGTTGGCACGTGAGGGAAGGTGCAGAGGCGGAAAGGGCACCAGATGTCCATTTCTGTATCACAAAACACGGAATGGGGCTGGGCCCCAGACGGGGTTCTCCCTGTCTCCTGGGGAAAACCAGGGGGCACGGCCTGACCTTCTTCTGTTCTGCAGGCAACAAGACCCGCAGAGGAAGGCTCTCCTCCACATGTTTTCCGGGAAACCTCCAGAGAAGCCGCTGCCGAATGGAAAAGGATCCACGGAATCTTCTGATTATCTGAGGGCGAGTGTCACCCCGGGCCCCTGGTCTTTTTCTCCTCTAGGTCACCCTGGTTGATTTCCTTTCAGCTTCCCGTCTGCGGGAGGAAATCGGGGAACCCCTCTTTCTTGCCTTCTTGGGGTCAGGGACTCCACGATCCTTCCAGGTCAATTGGATTCCAGGCGAAGGCATCTGAACATGCCGTATTTCCTGTTGCTTTCTTTCTGTCCAATTATGGCAAGCCTGCCAACAACACGTTCCTAGCGGCATGAGGAAATTAGTCCCTCAGAGGCCCCAAACGTGGAGAAGGCGAAACCCAGGAACATGCATGTGTTCAGAGAAGACGTCCCGAGTACCCTTGAGCCAGCAACCTGCCTTGGGAAGGGCATTAGTCCGTTCCACTTCATGGAAGGCTGAGTGGAGGCGCTTTGATCCAGTTAATGCCCAAGACGCGATCTTTTGAACAATGGTGTGCTTAGATCAGCTACACATAGCTCGAGAGCGCATCTTTCATGTGTCTTGTCCTGATCAGCACTCAGGTGGAGGGTCTGTCCCTACTTCCAAGGACCGCCTGTCGATACTGTACTAAGAATTTCATGGCGTGTGCACCTTGTCTTTGGATGTGCTTGATTTTCACGTTGGCTCCATGCTGAGGAACTTCTAACCTGTGTTGTTTCCTCTCTTTCAGGTTGCAAGCGGGCCAATGCCGGTCCACACAACCAGTAAGAGGCCGCGCTTGGACCCTGTCCTCGCTGATCGCTCCGCAACCGAAATGTCTGGCAGGGGCTCCGTCTTGGCTTCACTGTCTCCCCTCAGAAAAGCCAGCCTGAGCTCCTCCTCAAGTCTTGGACCAAAGGAAAGACAGACTGGGGCTGCGGCCGACATGCCTCAGCCTGCAGTCAGGCACCAGGGCCGCGAGCCTCTCCTCGTGGTGAAGCCGACACACAGCCGCCCCGAGGGTGGCTGCCGAGAAGTTCCCCAGGCTGCCTCCAAAACCCACGGCCTGCTCCAGGCCGCCAGACCCCAGGCACAAGACAAACGTCCTGCGGTGACCCCACAGCCCTGCCCGCCAGCCGCCACACACAGCTTGGGCCTAGGCTCCAATCTCAGCTTCGGGCCAGGAGCCAAGAGACCTGCCCAGGCTCCGATTCAGGCTTGCCTGAACTTCCCCAAGAAACCGAGACTGGGTCCCTTCCAGATCCCCGAAAGCGCCATCCAGGGAGGTGAGCTGGGGGCCCCGGAGAATCTCCAACCTCCGCCAGCCGCAACCGAACTTGGACCAAGTACGTCGCCCCAGATGGGCAGGAGGACACCGGCCCAGGTGCCCAGCGTCGACCGGCAGCCTCCGCACAGCAGACCTTGCCTGCCTACTGCCCAGGCCTGCACCATGTCCCATCACCCAGCGGCCAGCCATGATGGGGCCCAGCCTCTCAGAGTGCTCTTCCGGAGACTGGAAAACGGACGCTGGAGCTCCAGCCTCCTGGCGGCCCCCTCATTTCACTCTCCTGAGAAGCCGGGAGCCTTCCTCGCTCAGAGCCCTCATGTGTCAGAGAAGTCTGAGGCTCCCTGTGTTCGTGTCCCACCGAGCGTCCTCTATGAGGACCTTCAGGTTTCCTCCTCCTCAGAGGACAGCGATTCTGACCTGGAGTGAGACTGCAGGTGGCAGGGGCTCCTTGGCCTCCAGTTCCCGTGACTTGGAGGGGACTGTGGGACTGAGGAGCGCAGAGCAGAGAGCACACTCTGTGCGGTGACTCCGAAGCTCCCCGGCTGTGGCGCTTCTGTGGATGTGGGAGCCCAGGCCAGGCAGGGAGCAGATGCAGGGACTCTGCCTCATTGAATTCTGGTGAGGGACGTTGTAGTTGGCGTGGTTCTCCCGAAACGCGCCAGGAAAAGCTTCCGTGACAGAGATTCGTTGCCTCAGAAACTGCGTGACGCGCAGGAGTCAGACTTCCGCTGGGACGTCAATAGGAAACTGGGGAATTACTGTGTATTTGCTGTCTAGATGACTGAATAAGGGAAAAGTTAGGGAACCCTGAGAGGTGCAGCCCTTCCGCTGTGCCCCGCCCTGAGAGCAGTGTTTCGGACGCTGGTAAGCGTGCTGTGCGAAGCGCTCTCGGGGTCTTTCCTCAGCCTCGAAAACTGGGCTCTGGAATGCCTTTGTACATATGTGTGTTTAATGTGTTTTGAAGTGAATAAAATTCTCAAAAAGATGACATATTGTCTTTTGACTCTCATTCCGTGTTTGTGTGTAACTGATTTTCCAAGTGAAGGGGTGGCCTGCCCCTCCACACCTGTGGGTGTTTCTAGTCGGGTGGGATGAGAGACGGAGAAAAGAAATAAGACACAGAGACAAAGTATAGGGAGACAACAGTGGGTCCAGGGGACAGGCACTCAGCACACCTAGGACCTGCACCGGCACCGGCCTCTGAGTTCCCTCTGTTTTTATTGATTATGATTTTCATTATTTCAGCACAAAGGAATGCAGTAGGGGAGCAGGGTGATAATAAGGGGAAGGTCAACAACAACAACAAAAAACAAACACGTGAGCAAAAGAATCCATATCATTATTAAGTTCAAGGGAAGGTACTATGCCTGGACGTGCATGTAGGCCAGATTTATGTTTCTCTCCACACAAATATCTCAGCGGAGTAAAGAAAGCAAGGCAGCATTACTGCCAACATGTCTCACCTCCCGCCACAGGGCAGCTTTTCTCCGAGCTCAGAGTTGAACAAATGTACGATCGGGCTTTACACCGAGACATTCAGTTCCCAGGGGCAAGCAGGAGACAGTGGCCTTCCTCCATTTGAACTGCAAGAGGCGTTCCTCTTTGACTAATCCACCTCAGCACAGACCCATTGCGGGTGTCAGGCTGGGGGACATTCAGGACTTTCCCATCCCACGAGGTCATATTTCAGACTGTCACATGGGGAGAAACCTTGGACAATACCCTGCTTTCAAGGGCAGAGGTCCCTGTGGCTTTCCACGGTACATTGCGCCCCTGGTTTATTGAGACTAGAGAATGGCAATGACTTCTACCAAGTATACTGCTCGTAAACATTTGGTTAACAAGGCGCGTCCTGCACAGCCCTAGATCCCTTAAACCTCGATTTTATACAACACAGGTTTTTGTGAGCTCCAAGTTGGGTCAAAGGAAGGGGCTGCGGCAAAGCTACAAATGATCAACATCTCAGTAAAGCAATTGTTTAAAGTACAGGTCTTTTTCAAAATGGAGTCTCTTATGTCTTCCCCTTCTACATAGACACAGTGACAGTCTGATCTCTCTTTCTTTACCCTACATCCAAGGGCTTGAACATTTCTTGATTTGTTGGCAATCCAAATCGTTACGTCTCCAAAACAGAGTTGACTGAGGGGACCGCAGGGCTGGGCAGGACCTTTGACTTCCTATACATCCACAGGAGCAAGAAAACCTCAGCCCCACTCTACCAACACACACCTAGTAAAATTCCGCCAACCGAATCTCACGCACGCTAACACGTGGGGAGCGTTGCTTGCACCACGAGTCCCCATTTGGCTCAACCGCCGATGCCAAGTGTGTGGTTCCAGTTGCGACGGCCCCCCGTGAAGTGGCTTCCGGATGTGCGAAGGAACCAGGCAGAGTTTCACTGGCCAAATAGACCCCAGCAAAGCTGAAGTTAACTCCCACATTTGGGATGTACTTCAGAGGTAAAACATTCATCCCGTCTTCTTTCCGGATGTCTGACACCATGGTTCTCCCCCTGATCCTAAGAGTAGCTGAGGCAGAGACTCACTAAAAGATCTAGGCGGGGATATCCCATCATGCACAGGCTCTCTCCATTCTCTGACCTGGGAACAACTCTCAGTAAGATTCCACATCTAGGAGGCCTCGGAACTCAGCGGGATTTTCTGAGACACACCAACTGGCTGCTCCCTCTCCGCCGCTGTTGAGGGTCGTTATCTTGATTATCCAGATCAACTAGAAAGTATCCGTATCCAGAATGAATAAGATCAACTCTCTGCTCCTCTGACAGCAGAAGGAGCAGGACCGTAAGGAACCAAAGAGCGTGGAAGGAAACGATGTGACAGGAAAGCTCAGAGAACGGCCACAGGGGGTCGTCAGCAGGCCTTCCAACCTGAATCATGAATAATTAATGAAGGCAAATCAAAGGGGACTCGAGTTTCAGCAGGAGCATTTCATCCAACGGGAGATCGCCTGAGGGCCAACAAGATTGAGTGACTGGGAGCCGGGTGCAGTGTCAAAGGGGACGCGACTGGTTCCAAAGCTCGAGAAGACCATGGGGTCACTTGGGCTACATGAGAAAACGCCCCAGTGTGCTGGTTCATCATTCCGACTCCTGCCTGTCTCTTCCCGTCCAAGGAACATGGAACCTAAGTCGTGCAGGTGTGGATGACCATGGGCAGAATTAGGGGCCGTGGCACAAAAGTTCACCGACACGGGAGTTCCACAGAAGGTGCGGTGGATCTTCGCAAATCCAGAGACATGGCAATGGGACCCAGGGAATTAGAGCCTCACAGGCGTCCGGGAGACTTTTCAGGCATAATGCCTGGAGTCGCAAGACGAGCTGAAAAAGGAGCCAGGCACTGAAGGACAAAGCGTTGTTGACTTTCCTCATCTGTGTTTCCCAGTGTGGTCCAATTTACGGTGGTTTCCAAGCGCCTCCTGGGGGAGAAAACACATGAGGGTGCGGTCAGGGTTCTCTGCTGACAGACTTACCTTGGGGAAGAAAGAGAAGCTCTGAAGATGGATCATGGCCGTGACTGCATGTCAAGGAGAGTCTCCTTGATGACACTGAGGCCTACGTCGAGATAGACAAAATGTGGTCCAATTAAAAGGTGTCTATTTTACCACATTTTTTAAAACAAAACAAAACAAAACAACAAAAAAGATGGAAAAGAAGACAGGGGTACAGGCACCAGTGTTACATGTCTGACGGGGAACATCTATTGTTCAAAGCTTGCAGCTGTACAAGTAGGTTTTAGAATGTCTGTCAGCAGTGGACATGATCTTAGAGTGGGCTGTGCAGATAGACCTTTCCAGGTCATGTAATTGGATTAAGTTAATTGCAATTAAGGTACAGGTAACTGATTAGGTTAGGGTACGTTCCATGTCAGGTGACCAGAGGCAGTATAAAAGGCAGCCTGGAAAGCGGAGGTCCCTCTCTGCCCCTTCCTCCGTCGTCCTGGATGCTGCATCGCTTCCAGCCGGGCTGCTGCAGCACCTGCCCATCTCAGCGCCAGCCTGGGAAAGAAAGTAGACGTGTAATTTCAGGTTAGTTTCGCTGAACAATTGTTTGTTTCACGCAATCCCTGAGTGGTTTTGGCGGGGGGGGGGCGGGGGGAGGAAGAGACAAAGGAGGCCGAAAGAAACCGATCACACTGGGGCTTGCTGGTGGGGTAGGATGTGTTCTCGTTACTAGTAATTCTTGGAACAGAAAACGAGAAAACATATCCGTCTCCACGTGTGGGAGAAGACCAAGATGGGAATGCGAAAAGAAATGTACTGCAGCATGCTGAATTGGTGGGTAAATGGAAAAAGGACTTTGGAAAAAAGGGGGTTTTGCCCTTCAGCCGTGTAAGACGTCGATACGATACGGCACTTCTTCCCCGTTTGTTCAGATGAATTCGTGTGGTGTGCGTAAAATACCAGGAAAATAAATAAAGAGGGGCTGGAGCTAAAGCCAAAAGATAGAACAGGAAAGACCATCACCTGCTAGTGCGGTAGAGAGGAAGGTAACTTCTCTGTATGAATTTGTGTTTGGAAGTTGCCTAATGAAATGGCAAGAGTAGCGATTCAAGTTGTCACAGGAAGCATCCCTTATCCGTGACTTCAAGCAGACCTGCCAAAGGGTGGCACACGCCATGCCCTGTGTCTTCGATCATTCTGTCCGTCAAGGGAGATAGAATCACCGTGTCTTCTACCGGAGTGAATCGTGAGAGACCTAAGTCCAGTCTCCAGAATCAGTTGTTTGTTTGGGGTTGAAAGCTCAACCCCCCATACCTAGGCCACGGGCCCTGTGGCAGGTGGGGTTTACTCTTGGACTAGGTAGTCATGGCAGAGGAACACACAATATCCGAGGATGCGCACAGCACATTGTGTTCTACAGATTTGACCGACTGGTGGTGAGGTCTCCTCGTGACCACACAGGCAGGGAGTTAGCAGGTGGCTTCCTGTGGGTGTGTGAATATCCAACGTGCTTAACCATCGACATGTGTGTGTTTGTGTGTGTTTCAGGTGGCCCAACAGTCCACCCCTGAAAAAGGCGGTCATAAAACCCCCAGGAGACGAAGATGATGGCACGTCGGGACCCCAAATCTTGGGCCAAGAGACTGGTGAGAGCCCAGACCCTCCAGAAGCAGCGGAGGGCCCGAGTTGGGCCAAGGGCTCCCCCGCCCGATGAAGAAGATCCCAGGGTAAGTCTAGCCCTGGATCTCTTGGGTATCGGGGTGGGGGTGGGGACGGGGGGAAGGGGGTGTCCCACGGTCCTCAGAGACTGGGTTGGATTCCAAAGAGTTCTGTCACCACCAGCCAGGTTGCTTTTCCCATCCAAGGTGGGCGTGGCTTGGGACCTTCTCCCCGGCCCGATAGGTCCCTTGAGAGACTCTTGGGGGCAACCTCCCTTTCTACTTAGAGTCCTGTGTAGCCACGTTTGGCTGCGTTGTTGACATCGGCTTCACCATCGTGCCCCTTGGAACCTTGAGTCCTTCCTTTCAGAGTTCCTCCGTCACATGGGCTTTGCGAGGGAACATCGTATCCGAAGTCTCCCAGCACTTAACGGCCCCCATGCCGGTGTCCCCTCTTTGGAATCCTTATTCAGCTCTGAATTCACAATCCGTCCCAATGTTGACGTGGGATCGCTGCCTGTGGCTTCAGCTCACTCACTGACATCACTTCCTTTCCACCCACAGCTCAAGTGCAAAAACTGCGGGGCCTTTGGCCACACGGCCAGAAGTACCAGGTGCCCCATGAAGTGCTGGAAGGCAGCCCTGGTTCCAGCGACCTTGGGGAAAAAGGAAGGGAAGGAAAACCTGAAACCATGGAAGCCCCGGGCTGAAGCCAACCCGGGGCCCTTGAACAAGGATAAGGGAGAGAAGGAAGAGAGACCAAGGTGAGCAGTGGGAGGGGTTTTCACCACTCTTAGGGTACGGCCTCCTAAGGACATGGTGTCTCTGCACCTGCACACCGTGTGCCTTTCCGTCTCCGGGCCAGGGAAGGAACGCTGCAGAGAAATAGGCCGGAGCTCCGTGTCCTCCGGGGTTCCACACCCAGGAGCTCCTTGGGCTCTGGGAGATTCAGGGACGGGGAGAGGCGGGGGCGCTTCGTGCAGGTTCCCCACGACAGCGGGAAAAGCGATGGAATCCAAATCACAGTCCTTAGTTGGGAAGCCTAGAGGGCCACCTGGAGGATGGGAAGGTTGGCACGTGAGGGAAGGTGCAGAGGCGGAAAGGGCACCAGATGTCCATTTCTGTATCACAAAACACGGAATGGGGCTGGGCCCCAGACGGGGTTCTCCCTGTCTCCTGGGGAAAACCAGGGGGCACGGCCTGACCTTCTTCTGTTCTGCAGGCAACAAGACCCGCAGAGGAAGGCTCTCCTCCACATGTTTTCCGGGAAACCTCCAGAGAAGCCGCTGCCAAATGGAAAAGGATCCACGGAATCTTCTGATTATCTGAGGGCGAGTGTCACCCCGGGCCCCTGGTCTTTTTCTCCTCTAGGTCACCCTGGTTGATTTCCTTTCAGCTTCCCGTCTGCGGGAGGAAATCGGGGAACCCCTCTTTCTTGCCTTCTTGGGGTCAGGGACTCCACGATCCTTCCAGGTCAATTGGATTCCAGGCGAAGGCATCTGAACATGCCGTATTTCCTGTTGCTTTCTTTCTGTCCAATTATGGCAAGCCTGCCAACAACACGTTCCTAGCGGCATGAGGAAATTAGTCCCTCAGAGGCCCCAAACGTGGAGAAGGCGAAACCCAGGAACAGGCATGTGTTCAGAGAAGACGTCCCGAGTACCCTTGAGCCAGCAACCTGCCTTGGGAAGGGCATTAGTCCGTTCCACTTCATGGAAGGCTGAGTGGAGGCGCTTTGATCCAGTTAATGCCCAAGACGCGATCTTTTGAACAATGGTGTGCTTAGATCAGCTACACATAGCTCGAGAGCGCATCTTTCATGTGTCTTGTCCTGATCAGCACTCAGGTGGAGGGTCTGTCCCTACTTCCAAGGACCGCCTGTCGATACTGTACTAAGAATTTCATGGCGTGTGCACCTTGTCTTTGGATGTGCTTGATTTTCACGTTGGCTCCATGCTGAGGAACTTCTAACCTGTGTTGTTTCCTCTCTTTCAGGTTGCAAGCGGGCCAATGCCGGTCCACACAACCAGTAAGAGGCCGCGCTTGGACCCTGTCCTCGCTGATCGCTCCGCAACTGAAATGTCTGGCAGGGGCTCCGTCTTGGCTTCACTGTCTCCCCTCAGAAAAACCAGCCTGAGCTCCTCCTCAAGTCTTGGACCAAAGGAAAGACAGACTGGGGCTGCGGCCGACATGCCTCAGCCTGCAGTCAGGCACCAGGGCCCCGAGCCTCTTCTCGAGGTGAAGCCGACACACAGCCGCCCCGAGGGTGGCTGCCAAGAAGTTCCCCAGGCTGCCTCCAAAACCCACGGCCTGCTCCAGGCCTCCAGACCCCAGGCACAAGACAAACGTCCTGCGGTGACCCCACAGCCCTGCCCGCCAGCCGCCACACACAGC
The DNA here is from genome assembly GCF_000001405.40 of Homo sapiens. Classification (NCBI taxonomy): domain Eukaryota; kingdom Metazoa; phylum Chordata; class Mammalia; order Primates; family Hominidae; genus Homo; species Homo sapiens. The sequence goes on along the minus strand of NC_000008.11, from coordinate 7,572,558 downwards.
TTGGGCCTAGGCTCCAATCTCAGCTTCGGGCCAGGAGCCAAGAAACCTGCCCAGGCTCCGATTCAGGCTTGCCTGAACTTCCCCAAGAAACCGAGACTGGGTCCCTTCCAGATCCCCGAAAGCGCCATCCAGGGAGGTGAGCTGGGGGCCCCGGAGAATCTCCAACCTCCGCCAGCCGCAACCGAACTTGGACCAAGTACGTCGCCCCAGATGGGCAGGAGGACACCGGCCCAGGTGCCCAGCGTCGACAGGCAGCCTCCGCACAGCAGACCTTGCCTGCCCACTGCCCAGGCCTGCACCATGTCCCATCACTCAGCGGCCGGCCATGATGGGGCCCAGCCTCTCAGAGTGCTCTTCCGGAGACTGGAAAACGGACGCTGGAGCTCCAGCCTCCTGGCGGCCCCCTCATTTCACTCTCCTGAGAAGCCGGGAGCCTTCCTCGCTCAGAGCCCTCATGTGTCAGAGAAGTCTGAGGCTCCCTGTGTTCGTGTCCCACCGAGCGTCCTCTATGAGGACCTTCAGGTTTCCTCCTCCTCAGAGGACAGCGATTCTGACCTGGAGTGAGACTGCAGGTGGCAGGGGCTCCTTGGCCTCCAGTTCCCGTGACTTGGAGGGGACTGTGGGACTGAGGAGCGCAGAGCAGAGAGCACACTCTGTGCGGTGACTCCGAAGCTCCCCGGCTGTGGCGCTTCTGTGGATGTGGGAGCCCAGGCCAGGCAGGGAGCAGATGCAGGGACTCTGCCTCATTGAATTCTGGTGAGGGACGTTGTAGTTGGCGTGGTTCTCCCGAAACGCGCCAGGAAAAGCTTCCGTGACAGAGATTCGTTGCCTCAGAAACTGCGTGACGCGCAGGAGTCAGACTTCCGCTGGGACGTCAATAGGAAACTGGGGAATTACTGTGTATTTGCTGTCTAGATGACTGAATAAGGGAAAAGTTAGGGAACCCTGAGAGGTGCAGCCCTTCCGCTGTGCCCCGCCCTGAGAGCAGTGTTTCGGACGCTGGGAAGCGTGCTGTGCGAAGCGCTCTCGGGGTCTTTCCTCAGCCTCGGAAACTGGGCTCTGGAATGCCTTTGTACATATGTGTGTTTAATGTGTTTTGAAGTGAATAAAATTCTCAAAAAGATGACATATTGTCTTTTGACTCTCATTCCGTGTTTGTGTGTAACTGATTTTCCAAGTGAAGGGGTGGCCTGCCCCTCCACACCTGTGGGTGTTTCTAGTCGGGTGGGATGAGAGACGGAGAAAAGAAATAAGACACAGAGACAAAGTATAGGGAGACAACAGTGGGTCCAGGGGACAGGCACTCAGCACACCTAGGACCTGCACCGGCACCGGCCTCTGAGTTCCCTCTGTTTTTATTGATTATGATTTTCATTATTTCAGCACAAAGGAATGCAGTAGGGGAGCAGGGTGATAATAAGGGGAAGGTCAACAACAACAACAAAAAACAAACACGTGAGCAAAAGAATCCATATCATTATTAAGTTCAAGGGAAGGTACTATGCCTGGACGTGCACGTAGGCCAGATTTATGTTTCTCTCCACACAAATATCTCAGCGGAGTAAAGAAAGCAAGGCAGCATTACTGCCAACATGTCTCACCTCCCGCCACAGGGCAGCTTTTCTCCGAGCTCAGAGTTGAACAAATGTACGATCGGGCTTTACACCGAGACATTCAGTTCCCAGGGGCAAGCAGGAGACAGTGGCCTTCCTCCATTTGAACTGCAAGAGGCGTTCCTCTTTGACTAATCCACCTCAGCACAGACCCATTGCGGGTGTCAGGCTGGGGGACATTCAGGACTTTCCCATCCCACGAGGCCATATTTCAGACTGTCACATGGGGAGAAACCTTGGACAATACCCTGCTTTCAAGGGCAGAGGTCCCTGTGGCTTTCCACGGTACATTGCGCCCCTGGTTTATTGAGACTAGAGAATGGCAATGACTTCTACCAAGTATACTGCTCGTAAACATTTGGTTAACAAGGCGCGTCCTGCACAGCCCTAGATCCCTTAAACCTCGATTTTATACAACACAGGTTTTTGTGAGCTCCAAGTTGGGTCAAAGGAAGGGGCTGCGGCAAAGCTACAAATGATCAACATCTCAGTGAAGCAATTGTTTAAAGTACAGGTCTTTTTCAAAATGGAGTCTCTTATGTCTTCCCCTTCTACATAGACACAGTGACAGTCCGATCTCTCTTTCTTTACCCTACATCCAAGGGCTTGAACATTTCTTGATTTGTTGGCAATCCAAATCGTTACCTCTCCGAAACAGAGTTGACTGAGGGGACCGCAGGGCTGGGCAGGACCTTTGACTTCCTATACATCCACAGGAGCAAGAAAACCTCAGCCCCACTCTACCAACACGCACCTAGTAAAATTCCGCCAACCGAATCTCACGCACGCTAACACGTGGGGAGCGTTGCTTGCACCACGAGTCCCCATTTGGCTCAACCGCCGATGCCAAGTGTGTGGTTCCAGTTGCGACGGCCCCCCGTGAAGTGGCTTCCGGATGTGCGAAGGAACCAGGCAGAGTTTCACTGGCCAAATAGACCCCAGCAAAGCTGAAGTTAACTCCCACATTTGGGATGTACTTCAGAGGTAAAACATTCATCCCGTCTTCTTTCCGGATGTCTGACACCATGGTTCTCCCCCTGATCCTAAGAGTAGCTGAGGCAGAGACTCACTAAAAGATCTAGGCGGGGATATCCCATCATGCACAGGCTCTCTCCATTCTCTGACCTGGGACCAACTCTCAGCAGGATTCCACATCTAGGAGGCCTCGGAACTCAGCGGGATTTTCTGAGACACACCAACTGGCTGCTCCCTTTCCGCCGCTGTTGAGGGTCGTTATCTTGATTATCCAGATCACCTAGAAAGTATCCGTATCCAGAATGAATAAGATCAACTCTCTGCTCCTCTGACAGCAGAAGGAGCAGGACCATAAGGAACCAAAGAGCGTGGAAGGAAACGATGTGACAGGAAAGCTCAGAGAACGGCCACAGGGGGTCGTCAGCAGGCCTTCCAACCTGAATCATGAATAATTAATGAAGCGCAAATCAAAGGGGACTCGAGTTTCAGCAGGAGCAATTCATCCAACGGGAGATCGCCGGAGGGCCAACAAGATTGAGAGACTGGGAGCCGGGTGCAGTGTCAAAGGGGACGCGACTGGTTCCAAAGCTCGAGAAGACCATGGGGTCACTTGGGCTACATGAGAAAACGCCCCAGTGTGCTGGTTCATCATTCCGACTCCTGCCTGTCTCTTCCCGTCCAAGGAACATGGACCCTAAGTCGTGCAGGTGCGGATGACCATGGGCAGAATTAGGGGCCGTGGCACTAAAGTTCACCGACACGGGAGTTCCACAGAAGGTGCGGTGGATCTTCGCAAATCCAGAGACATGGCAATGGGACCCAGGGAATTAGAGCCTCACAGGCGTCCGGGAGACTTTTCAGGCATAATGCCTGGAGTCGCAAGAGGAGCTGAAAAAGGAGCCAGGCACTGAAGGACAAAGCGTTGTTGACTTTCCTCATCTGTGTTTCCCAGTGCGGTCCAATTCACGGTGGTTTCCAAGCGCCTCCTGGGGGAGAAAACACATGAGGGTGCGGTCAGGGTTCTCTGCTGACAGACTTACCTTGGGGAAGAAAGAGAAGCTCTGAAGATGGATCATGGCCGTGACTGCATGTCAAGGAGAGTCTCCTTGATGACACTGAGGCCTACGTCGAGATAGACAAAATGTGGTCCAATTAAAAGGTGTCTATTTTACCACATTTTTTAAAACAAAACAAAACTAAACGACAAAAAAGATGGAAAAGAAGACGGGTACAGGCACCAGTGTTACATGTCTGACGGGGAACATCTATTGTTCAAAGCTTGCAGCTGTACAAGTAGGTTTTAGAATGTCTGTCAGCAGTGGACATGATCTTAGAGTGGGCTGTGCAGATAGACCTTTCCAGGTCATGTAATTGGATTAAGTTAATTGCAATTAAGGTACAGGTAACTGATTAGGTTAGGGTACGTTCCATGTCAGGTGACCAGAGGCAGTATAAAAGGCAGCCTGGAAAGCGGAGGTCCCTCTCTGCCCCTTCCTCCGTCGTCCTGGATGCTGCATCGCTTCCAGCCGGGCTGCTGCAGCACCTGCCCATCTCAGCGCCAGCCTGGGAAAGAAAGTAGACGTGTAATTTCAGGTTAGTTTCGCTGAACAATTGTTTGTTTCACGCAATCCCTGAGTGGTTTTGGCGGGGGGGGGGCGGGGGGAGGAAGAGACAAAGGAGGAAAGAAACCGATCACACTGGGGCTTGGTGGTGGGGTAGGATGTGTTCTCGTTACTAGTAATTCTTGGAACAGAAAACGAGAAAACATATCCGTCTCCACGTGTGGGAGAAGACCAAGATGGGAATGCGAAAAGAAATGTACTGCAGCATGCTGAATTGGTGGGTAAATGGAAAAAGGACTTTGGAAAAAAGGGGGTTTTGCCCTTCAGCCGTGTAAGACGTCGATACGATACGGCACTTCTTCCCCCGTTTGTTCAGATGAATTCGTGTGGTGTGCGTAAAATACCAGGAAAATAAATAAAGAGGGGCTGGAGCTAAAGCCAAAAGATAGAACAGGAAAGACCATCACCTGCTAGTGCGGTAGAGAGGAAGGTAACTTCTCTGTATGAATTTGTGTTTGGAAGTTGCCTAATGAAATGGCAAGAGTAGCGATTCAAGTTGTCACAGGAAGCATCCCTTATCCGTGACTTCAAGCAGACCTGCCAAAGGGTGGCACACGCCATGCCCTGTGTCTTCGATCATTCTGTCCGTCAAGGGAGATAGAATCACCGTGTCTTCTACCGGAGTGAATCGTGAGAGACCTAAGTCCAGTCTCCAGAATCAGTTGTTTGTTTGGGGTTGAAAGCTCAACCCCCCATACCTAGGCCACGGGCCCTGTGGCAGGTGGGGTTTACTCTTGGACTAGGTAGTCATGGCAGAGGAACACACAATATCCGAGGATGCGCACAGCACATTGTGTTCTACAGATTTGACCGACTGGTGGTGAGGTCTCCTCATGACCACACAGGCAGGGAGTTAGCAGGTGGCTTCCTGTGGGTGTGTGAATATCCAACGTGCTTAACCATCGACATGTGTGTGTTTGTGTGTGTTTCAGGTGGCCCAACAGTCCACCCCTGAAAAAGGCGGTCATAAAACCCCCAGGAGACGAAGATGATGGCACGTCGGGACCCCAAATCTTGGGCCAAGAGACTGGTGAGAGCCCAGACCCTCCAGAAGCAGCGGAGGGCCCCAGTTGGGCCAAGGTCTCCCCCGCCCGATGAAGAAGATCCCAGGGTAAGTCTAGCCCTGGATCTCTTGGGTATCGGGGTGGGGGTGGGGACGGGGGGAGGCGGTGTCCCACGGTCCTCAGAGACTGGGTTGGATTCCAAAGAGTTCTGTCACCACCAGCCAGGTTGCTTTTCCCATCCAAGGTGGGCGTGGCTTGGGACCTTCTCCCCGGCCCGATAGGTCCCTTGAGAGACTCTTGGGGGCAACCTCCCTTTCTACTTCGAGTCCTGTGTAGCCACGTTTGGCTGCGTTGTTGACATCGGCTTCACCATCGTGCCCCTTGGAACCTTGAGTCCTTCCTTTCAGAGTTACTCCGTCACAAGGGCTTTGCGAGGGAACATCGTATCCGAACTCTCCCAGCACTTAACGGCCCCCATGCCGGTGTCCCCTCTTCGGAATCCTTATTCAGCTCTGAATTCACAATCCGTCCCAATGTTGACGTGGGATCGCTGCCTGTGGCTTCAGCTCACTCACTGACATCACTTCCTTTCCACCCACAGCTCAAGTGCAAAAACTGCGGGGCCTTTGGCCACACGGCCAGAAGTACCAGGTGCCCCATGAAGTGCTGGAAGGCAGCCCTGGTTCCAGCGACCTGGGGAAAAAAGGAAGGGAAGGAAAACCTGAAACCATGGAAGCCCCGGGCTGAAGCCAACCCGGGGGCCCTGAAACAAGGATAAGGGAGAGAAGGAAGAGAGACCAAGGTGAGCAGTGGGAGGGTTTCACCACTCTTAGGGTGCTGCCTCCTAAGGAGATGGTGTCTCTGCACCTGCACACCGTGTGCCTTTCCGTCTCCGGGCCAGGGAAGGAGCGCTGCAGAGAAATAGGCCGGAGCTCCGTGTCCTCCGGGGTTCCACACCCAGGAGCTCCTTGGGCTCTGGGAGATTCAGGGACGGGGAGAGGCGGGGGCGCTTCGTGCAGGTTCCCCACGACAGCGGGAAAAGCGATGGAATCCAAATCACAGTCCTTAGTCGGGAAGCCTAGAGGGCCACCTGGAGGATGGGAAGGTTGGCACGTGAGGGAAGGTGCAGAGGCGGAAAGGGCACCAGATGTCCATTTCTGTATCACAAAACACGGAATGGGGCTGGGCCCCAGACGGGGTTCTCCCTGTCTCCTGGGGAAAACCAGGGGGCACCGCCTGACCTTTTTCTGTTCTGCAGGCAACAAGACCCGCAGAGGAAGGCTCTCCTCCACATGTTTTCCGGGAAACCTCCAGAGAAGCCGCTGCCGAATGGAAAAGGATCCACGGAATCTTCTGAGCATCTGAGGGTGAGTGTCACCCCGGGCCCCTGGTCCTTTTCTCCTCTAGGTCACCCTGGTTGATTTCCTTTCAGCTTCCCGTCTGTGGGAGGAAATCGGGGAACCCCTCTTTCTTGCCTTCTTGGGGTCAGGGACTCCACAATCCTTCCAGGTCAATTGGATTCCAGGCGAAGGCATCTGAAGATGCCGTATTTCCTGTGGCTTTCTTTCTGTCCAATTATGGCAAGCCTGCCAACAACACGTTCCTAGCGGCATGAGGAAATTAGTCCCTCAGAGGCCCCAAACGTGGAGAAGGCTAAACCCAGGAACATGCATGTGTTCAGAGAAGACGTCCCGAGTACCCTTGAGCCACCAACCTGCCTCGGGAAGGGCATTAGTCCGTTCCACTTCATGGAAGGCTGAGTGGAGGCGCTTTGATCCAGTTAATGCCCAAGACGCGATCTTTTGAACAATGGTGTGCTTAGATCAGCTACACATAGCTCGAGAGCGCACCTTTCATGTGTCTTGTCCTGATCAGCACTCAGGTGGAGGGATCTGTCCCTACTTCCAAGGACCGCCTGTCGATACTGTACTAAGAATTTCATGGCGTGTGCACCTTGTCTTTGGATATGTTTGATTTTCACGTTGGCTCCATGCCGTGGAACTTCTAACCTGTGTTGTTTCCTCTCTTTCAGGTTGCAAGCGGGCCAATGCCGGTCCACACAACCAGTAAGAGGCCGCGCGTGGACCCTGTCCTCGCTGATCGCTCAGCTACCGAAATGTCTGGCAGGGGCTCCGTCTTGGCTTCACTGTCTCCCCTCAGAAAAGCCAGCCTGAGCTCCTCCTCAAGTCTTGGACCAAAGGAAAGACAGACAGGGGCTGCGGCCGACATCCCTCAGCCTGCATTCAGGCACCAGGGCCCCGAGCCTCTCCTCGTGGTGAAGCCGACACACAGCAGCCCTGAGGGTGGCTGCCGAGAAGTTCCCCAGGCTGCCTCCAAAACCCACGGCCTGCTCCAGGCCGTCAGACCCCAGGCACAAGACAAACGTCCTGCGGTGACCTCACAGCCCTGCCCGCCAGCCGCCACACACAGCTTGGGCCTAGGCTCCAATCTCAGCTTCGGGCCAGGAGCCAAGAGACCTGCCCAGGCTCCGATTCAGGCTTGCCTGAACTTCCCCAAGAAACCGAGACTGGGTCCCTTCCAGATCCCCGAAAGCGCCATCCAGGGAGGTGAGCTGCGGGCCCCGGAGAATCTCCAACCTCCGCCAGCCGCAACCGAACTTGGACCAAGTACGTCGCCCCAGATGGGCAGGAGGACACCGGCCCAGGTGCCCAGCGTCGACCGGCAGCCTCCGCACAGCACACCTTGCCTGCCTACTGCCCAGGCCTGCACCATGTCCCATCACCCAGCGGCCGGCCATGATGGGGCCCAGCCTCTCAGAGTGCTCTTCCGGAGACTGGAAAACGGACGCTGGAGCTCCAGCCTCCTGGCCGCCCCCTCATTTCACTCTCCTGAGAAGCCGGGAGCCTTCCTCGCTCAGAGCCCTCATGTGTCAGAGAAGTCTGAGGCTCCCTGTGTTCGTGTCCCACCGAGCGTCCTCTATGAGGACCTTCAGGTTTCCTCCTCCTCAGAGGACAGCGATTCTGACCTGGAGTGAGACTGCAGGTGGCAGGGGCTCCTTGGCCTCCAGCTCCCGTGACTTGGAGGGGACTGTGGGACTGAGGAGCGCAGAGCAGAGAGCACACTCTGTGCGGTGACTCCGAAGCTCCCCGGCTGTGGCGCTTCTGTGGATGTGGGAGCCCAGGCCAGGCAGGGAGCAGATGCAGGGACTCTGCCTCATTGAATTCTGGTGAGGGACGTTGTAGTTGGCGTGGTTCTCCCGAAACGCGCCAGGAAAAGCTTCCGTGCCAGAGATTCGTTGCCTCAGAAACTGCGTGACGCGCAGGAGTCAGACTTCCGCTGGGACGTCAATAGGAAACTGGGGAATTACTGTGTATTTGCTGTCTAGATGACTGAATAAGGGAAAAGTTAGGGAACCCTGAGAGGTGCAGCCCTTCCGCTGTGCCCCGCCCTGAGAGCAGTGTTTCGGACGCTGGGAAGCGTGCTGTGCGAAGCGCTCTCGGGGTCTTTCCTCAGCCTCGAAAACTGGGCTCTGGAATGCCTTTGTACATATGTGTGTTTAATGTGTTTTGAAGTGAATAAAATTCTCAAAAAGATGACATATTGTCTTTTGACTCTCATTCCGTGTTTGTGTGTAACTGATTTTCCAAGTGAAGGGGTGGCCCGCCCCTCCACACCTGTGGGTGTTTCTAGTCGGGTGGGATGAGAGACGGAGAAAAGAAATCAGACACAGAGACAAAGTATAGGGAGACAACAGTGGGTCCAGGGGACAGGCACTCAGCACACCTAGGACCTGCACCGGCACCGGCCTCTGAGTTCCCTCAGTTTTTATTGATTATGATTTTCATTATTTCAGCACAAAGGAATGCAGTAGGGGAGCAGGGTGATAATAAGGGGAAGGTCAACAACAACAACAAAAAACAAACACGTGAGCAAAAGAATCCATATCATTATTAAGTTCAAGGGAAGGTACTATGCCTGGACGTGCACGTAGGCCAGATTTATGTTTCTCTCCACACAAATATCTCAGCGGAGTAAAGAATAACAAGGCAGCATTACTGCCAGCATGTCTCGCCTCCCGCCACAGGGCAGCTTTTCGCCGAGCTCAGAGTTGAACAAATGTACGATCGGGCTTTACACCGAGACATTCAGTTCCCAGGGGCAAGCAGGAGACAGTGGCCTTCCTCCATCTGAATTGCAAGAGGCGTTCCTCTTTGACTAATCCACCTCAGCACAGACCCATTGCGGGTGTCAGGCTGGGGGACATTCAGGACTTTCCCATCCCACGAGGCCATATTTCAGACTGTCACATGGGGAGAAACCTTGGACAATACCCTGCTTTCAAGGGCAGAGGTCCCTGTGGCTTTCCACGGTGCATTGCGCCCCTGGTTTATTGAGACTAGGGAATGGCAATGACTCCTACCAAGGATACTGCTCGTAAACATTTGGTTAACAAGGCGCGTCCTGCACAGCCCTAGATCCCTTAAACCTCGATTTTATACAACACAGGTTTTTGTGAGCTCCAAGTTGGGTCAAAGGAAGGGGCTGCGGCAAAGCTACAAATGATCAACATCTCAGCAAAGCAATTGTTTAAACTACAGGTCTTTTTCAAAATGGAGTCTCTTATGTCTTCCCCTTCTACATAGACACAGTGACAGTCTGATCTCTCTTTCTTTACCCTACATCCAAGGGCTTGAACATTTCTTGACTTGTTGGCAATCCAAATCGTTACGTCTCCGAAACAGAGTTGACTGAGGGGACCGCAGGGCTGGGCAGGACCTTTGACTTCCTATACATCCACAGGAGCAAGAAAACCTCAGCCCCACTCTACCAACACGCACCTAGTAAAATTCCGCCAACCGCATCTCACGCACGCTAACACGTGGGGAGCGTTGCTTGCACCACGAGTCCCCATTTGGCTCAACCGCCGATGCCAAGTGTGTGGTTCCAGTTGCGACGGCCCCCCGTGAAGTGGCTTCCGGATGTGCGAATGAACCAGGCAGCGTTTCACTGGCCAAATAGACCCCAGCAAAGCTGAAGTTAACTCCCACATTTGGGATGTACCTCAGAGGTAAAACATTCATCCCGTCTTCTTTCTGGATGTCTGACACCATGGTTCTCCCCCTGATCCTAAGAGTAGCTGAGGCAGAGACTCACTGAAAGATCTAGGCGGGGATATCCCATCATGCACAGGCTCTCTCCATTCTCTGACCTGGGAACAACTCTCAGCAGGATTCCACATCTAGGAGGCCTCGGAACTCAGTGGGATTTTCTGAGACACACCAACTGGCTGCTCCCTCTCCGCCGCTGTTGTGGGTCGTTATCTTGATTATCCAGATCAACTAGAAAGTATCCGTATCCAGAATGAATAAGATCAACTCTCTGCTCCTCTGACAGCAGAAGGAGCAGGACCATAAGGAACCAAAGAGCGTGGAAGGAAACGATGTGACAGGAAAGCTCAGAGAACGGCCACAGGGGGTCGTCAGCAGGCCTTCCAACCTGAATCATGAATAATTAATGAAGCGCAAATCAAAGGGGACTCGAGTTTCAGCAGGAGCAATTCATCCAACGGGAGATCGCCGGAGGGCCAACAAGATTGAGAGACTGGGAGCCGGGTGCAGTGTCAAAGGGGACGCGACTGGTTCCAAAGCTCGAGAAGACCATGGGGTCACTTGGGCTACATGAGAAAATGCCCCAGTGTGCTGGTTCATCATTCCGACTCCTGCCTGTCTCTTCCCGTCCAAGGAACATGGACCCTAAGTCGTGCAGGTGCGGATGACCATGGGCAGAATTAGGGGCCGTGGCACTAAAGTTCACCGACACGGGAGTTCCACAGAAGGTGCGGTGGATCTTCGCAAATCCAGAGACATGGCAATGGGACCCAGGGAATTAGAGCCTCACAGGCGTCCGGGAGACTTTTCAGGCATAATGCCTGGAGTCGCAAGAGGAGCTGAAAAAGGAGCCAGGCACTGAAGGACAAAGCGTTGTTGACTTTCCTCATCTGTGTTTCCCAGTGCGGTCCAATTCACGGTGGTTTCCAAGCGCCTCCTGGGGGAGAAAACACATGAGGGTGCGGTCAGGGTTCTCTGCTGACAGACTTACCTTGGGGAAGAAAGAGAAGCTCTGAAGATGGATCATGGCCGTGACTGCACGTCAAGGAGAGTCTCCTTGATGACACTGAGGCCTACGTCGAGATAGACAAAATGTGGTCCAATTAAAAGGTGTCTATTTTACCACATTTTTTAAAACAAAACAAAACTAAACGACAAAAAAGATGGAAAAGAAGACGGGTACAGGCACCAGTGTTACATGTCTGACGGGGAACATCTATTGTTCAAAGCTTGCAGCTGTACAAGTAGGTTTTAGAATGTCTGTCAGCAGTGGACAGGATCTTAGAGTGGGCTGTGCAGATAGACCTTTCCAGGTCATGTAATTGGATTAAGTTAATTGCAATTAAGGTACAGGTAACTGATTAGGTTAGGGTACGTTCCATGTCAGGTGACCAGAGGCAGTATAAAAGGCAGCCTGGAAAGCGGAGGTCCCTCTCTGCCCCTTCCTCCGTCGTCCTGGATGCTGCATCGCTTCCAGCCGGGCTGCTGCAGCACCTGCCCATCTCAGCGCCAGCCTGGGAAAGAAAGTAGACGTGTAATTTCAGGTTAGTTTCGCTGAACAATTGTTTGTTTCACGCAATCCCTGAGTGGTTTTGGCGGGGGGGGGGCGGGGGGAGGAAGAGACAAAGGAGGCCGAAAGAAACCGATCACACTGGGGCTTGCTGGTGGGGTAGGATGTGTTCTCGTTACTAGTAATTCTTGGAACAGAAAACGAGACAACATATCCGTCTCCACGTGTGGGAGAAGACCAAGATGGGAATGCGAAAAGAAATGTACTGCAGCATGCTGAATTGGTGGGTAAATGGAAAAAGGACTTTGGAAAAAAGGGGGGTTTGCCCTTCAGCCGTGTAAGACGTCGATACGATACGGCACTTCTTCCCCGTTTGTTCAGATGAATTCGTGTGGTGTGCGTAAAATACCAGGAAAATAAATAAAGAGGGGCTGGAGCTAAAGCCAAAAGATAGAACAGGAAAGACCATCACCTGCTAGTGCGGTAGAGAGGAAGGTAACTTCTCTGTATGAATTTGTGTTTGGAAGTTGCCTAATGAAATGGCAAGAGTAGCGATTCAAGTTATCACAGGAAGCATCCCTTATCCGTGACTTCAAGCAGACCTGCCAAAGGGTGGCACACGCCATGCCCTGTGTCTTCGATCATTCTGTCCGTCAAGGGAGATAGAATCACCGTGTCTTCTACCGGAGTGAATCGTGAGAGACCTAAGTCCAGTCTCCAGAATCAGTTGTTTGTTTGGGGTTGAAAGCTCAACCCCCCATACCTAGGCCACGGGCCCTGTGGCAGGTGGGGTTTACTCTTGGACTAGGTAGTCATGGCAGAGGAACACACAATATCCGAGGATGCGCACAGCACATTGTGTTCTACAGATTTGACCGACTGGTGGTGAGGTCTCCTCATGACCACACAGGCAGGGAGTTAGCAGGTGGCTTCCTGTGGGTGTGTGAATATCCAACGTGCTTAACCATCGACATGTGTGTGTTTGTGTGTGTTTCAGGTGGCCCAACAGTCCACCCCTGAAAAAGGCGGTCATAAAACCCCCAGGAGACGAAGATGATGGCACGTCGGGACCCCAAATCTTGGGCCAAGAGACTGGTGAGAGCCCAGACCCTCCAGAAGCAGCGGAGGGCCCCAGTTGGGCCAAGGTCTCCCCCGCCCGATGAAGAAGATCCCAGGGTAAGTCTAGCCCTGGATCTCTTGGGTATCGGGGTGGGGGTGGGGAACGGGGGGAGGCGGTGTCCCACGGTCCTCAGAGACTGGGTTGGATTCCAAAGAGTTCTGTCACCACCAGCCAGGTTGCTTTTCCCATCCAAGGTGGGCGTGGCTTGGGACCTTCTCCCCGGCCCGATAGGTCCCTTGAGAGACTCTTGGGGGCAACCTCCCTTTCTACTTCGAGTCCTGTGTAGCCACGTTTGGCTGCGTTGTTGACATCGGCTTCACCATCGTGCCCCTTGGAACCTTGAGTCCTTCCTTTCAGAGTTACTCCGTCACAAGGGCTTTGCGAGGGAACATCGTATCCGAACTCTCCCAGCACTTAACGGCCCCCATGCCGGTGTCCCCTCTTCGGAATCCTTATTCAGCTCTGAATTCACAATCCGTCCCAATGTTGACGTGGGATCGCTGCCTGTGGCTTCAGCTCACTCACTGACATCACTTCCTTTCCACCCACAGCTCAAGTGCAAAAACTGCGGGGCCTTTGGCCACACGGCCAGAAGTACCAGGTGCCCCATGAAGTGCTGGAAGGCAGCCCTGGTTCCAGCGACCTTGGGGAAAAAGGAAGGGAAGGAAAACCTGAAACCATGGAAGCCCCGGGCTGAAGCCAACCCGGGGCCCTTGAACAAGGATAAGGGAGAGAAGGAAGAGAGACCAAGGTGAGCAGTGGGAGGGGTTTTCACCACTCTTAGGGTGCTGCCTCCTAAGGAGATGGTGTCTCTGCACCTGCACACCGTGTGCCTTTCCGTCTCCGGGCCAGGGAAGGAGCGCTGCAGAGAAATAGGCCGGAGCTCCGTGTCCTCCGGGGTTCCACACCCAGGAGCTCCTTGGGCTCTGGGAGATTCAGGGACGGGGAGAGGCGGGGGCGCTTCGTGCAGGTTCCCCACGACAGCGGGAAAAGCGATGGAATCCAAATCACAGTCCTTAGTCGGGAAGCCTAGAGGGCCACCTGGAGGATGGGAAGGTTGGCACGTGAGGGAAGGTGCAGAGGCGGAAAGGGCACCAGATGTCCATTTCTGTATCACAAAACACGGAATGGGGCTGGGCCCCAGACGGGGTTCTCCCTGTCTCCTGGGGAAAACCAGGGGGCACCGCCTGACCTTTTTCTGTTCTGCAGGCAACAAGACCCGCAGAGGAACGCTCTCCTCCACATGTTTTCCGGGAAACCTCCAGAGAAGCCGCTGCCGAATGGAAAAGGATCCACGGAATCTTCCGAGCATCTGAGGGTGAGTGTCACCCCGGGCCCCTGGTCCTTTTCTCCTCTAGGTCACCCTGGTTGATTTCCTTTCAGCTTCCCGTCTGCGGGAGGAAATCGGGGAACCCCTCTTTCTTGCCTTCTTGGGGTCAGGGACTCCACAATCCTTCCAGGTCAATTGGATTCCAGGCGAAGGCATCTGAAGATGCCGTATTTCCTGTGGCTTTCTTTCTGTCCAATTATGGCAAGCCTGCCAACAACACGTTCCTAGCGGCATGAGGAAATTAGTCCCTCAGAGGCCCCAAACGTGGAGAAGGCTAAACCCAGGAACATGCATGTGTTCAGAGAAGACGTCCCGAGTACCCTTGAGCCACCAACCTGCCTCGGGAAGGGCATTAGTCCGTTCCACTTCATGGAAGGCTGAGTGGAGGCGCTTTGATCCAGTTAATGCCCAAGACGCGATCTTTTGAACAATGGTGTGCTTAGATCAGCTACACATAGCTCGAGAGCGCACCTTTCATGTGTCTTGTCCTGATCAGCACTCAGGTGGAGGGATCTGTCCCTACTTCCAAGGACCGCCTGTCGATACTGTACTAAGAATTTCATGGCGTGTGCACCTTGTCTTTGGATATGTTTGATTTTCACGTTGGCTCCATGCCGTGGAACTTCTAACCTGTGTTGTTTCCTCTCTTTCAGGTTGCAAGCGGGCCAATGCCGGTCCACACAACCAGTAAGAGGCCGCGCGTGGACCCTGTCCTCGCTGATCGCTCAGCTACCGAAATGTCTGGCAGGGGCTCCGTCTTGGCTTCACTGTCTCCCCTCAGAAAAGCCAGCCTGAGCTCCTCCTCAAGTCTTGGACCAAAGGAAAGACAGACAGGGGCTGCGGCCGACATCCCTCAGCCTGCATTCAGGCACCAGGGCCCCGAGCCTCTCCTCGTGGTGAAGCCGACACACAGCAGCCCTGAGGGTGGCTGCCGAGAAGTTCCCCAGGCTGCCTCCAAAACCCACGGCCTGCTCCAGGCCGTCAGACCCCAGGCACAAGACAAACGTCCTGCGGTGACCTCACAGCCCTGCCCGCCAGCCGCCACACACAGCTTGGGCCTAGGCTCCAATCTCAGCTTCGGGCCAGGAGCCAAGAGACCTGCCCAGGCTCCGATTCAGGCTTGCCTGAACTTCCCCAAGAAACCGAGACTGGGTCCCTTCCAGATCCCCGAAAGCGCCATCCAGGGAGGTGAGCTGCGGGCCCCGGAGAATCTCCAACCTCCGCCAGCCGCAACCGAACTTGGACCAAGTACGTCGCCCCAGATGGGCAGGAGGACACCGGCCCAGGTGCCCAGCGTCGACCGGCAGCCTCCGCACAGCACACCTTGCCTGCCTACTGCCCAGGCCTGCACCATGTCCCATCACCCAGCGGCCGGCCATGATGGGGCCCAGCCTCTCAGAGTGCTCTTCCGGAGACTGGAAAACGGACGCTGGAGCTCCAGCCTCCTGGCCGCCCCCTCATTTCACTCTCCTGAGAAGCCGGGAGCCTTCCTCGCTCAGAGCCCTCATGTGTCAGAGAAGTCTGAGGCTCCCTGTGTTCGTGTCCCACCGAGCGTCCTCTATGAGGACCTTCAGGTTTCCTCCTCCTCAGAGGACAGCGATTCTGACCTGGAGTGAGACTGCAGGTGGCAGGGGCTCCTTGGCCTCCAGCTCCCGTGACTTGGAGGGGACTGTGGGACTGAGGAGCGCAGAGCAGAGAGCACACTCTGTGCGGTGACTCCGAAGCTCCCCGGCTGTGGCGCTTCTGTGGATGTGGGAGCCCAGGCCAGGCAGGGAGCAGATGCAGGGACTCTGCCTCATTGAATTCTGGTGAGGGACGTTGTAGTTGGCGTGGTTCTCCCGAAACGCGCCAGGAAAAGCTTCCGTGCCAGAGATTCGTTGCCTCAGAAACTGCGTGACGCGCAGGAGTCAGACTTCCGCTGGGACGTCAATAGGAAACTGGGGAATTACTGTGTATTTGCTGTCTAGATGACTGAATAAGGGAAAAGTTAGGGAACCCTGAGAGGTGCAGCCCTTCCGCTGTGCCCCGCCCTGAGAGCAGTGTTTCGGACGCTGGGAAGCGTGCTGTGCGAAGCGCTCTCGGGGTCTTTCCTCAGCCTCGAAAACTGGGCTCTGGAATGCCTTTGTACATATGTGTGTTTAATGTGTTTTGAAGTGAATAAAATTCTCAAAAAGATGACATATTGTCTTTTGACTCTCATTCCGTGTTTGTGTGTAACTGATTTTCCAAGTGAAGGGGTGGCCCGCCCCTCCACACCTGTGGGTGTTTCTAGTCGGGTGGGATGAGAGACGGAGAAAAGAAATCAGACACAGAGACAAAGTATAGGGAGACAACAGTGGGTCCAGGGGACAGGCACTCAGCACACCTAGGACCTGCACCGGCACCGGCCTCTGAGTTCCCTCAGTTTTTATTGATTATGATTTTCATTATTTCAGCACAAAGGAATGCAGTAGGGGAGCAGGGTGATAATAAGGGGAAGGTCAACAACAACAACAAAAAACAAACACGTGAGCAAAAGAATCCATATCATTATTAAGTTCAAGGGAAGGTACTATGCCTGGACGTGCACGTAGGCCAGATTTATGTTTCTCTCCACACAAATATCTCAGCGGAGTAAAGAATAACAAGGCAGCATTACTGCCAGCATGTCTCGCCTCCCGCCACAGGGCAGCTTTTCGCCGAGCTCAGAGTTGAACAAATGTACGATCGGGCTTTACACCGAGACATTCAGTTCCCAGGGGCAAGCAGGAGACAGTGGCCTTCCTCCATCTGAATTGCAAGAGGCGTTCCTCTTTGACTAATCCACCTCAGCACAGACCCATTGCGGGTGTCAGGCTGGGGGACATTCAGGACTTTCCCATCCCACGAGGCCATATTTCAGACTGTCACATGGGGAGAAACCTTGGACAATACCCTGCTTTCAAGGGCAGAGGTCCCTGTGGCTTTCCACGGTGCATTGCGCCCCTGGTTTATTGAGACTAGGGAATGGCAATGACTCCTACCAAGGATACTGCTCGTAAACATTTGGTTAACAAGGCGCGTCCTGCACAGCCCTAGATCCCTTAAACCTCGATTTTATACAACACAGGTTTTTGTGAGCTCCAAGTTGGGTCAAAGGAAGGGGCTGCGGCAAAGCTACAAATGATCAACATCTCAGCAAAGCAATTGTTTAAACTACAGGTCTTTTTCAAAATGGAGTCTCTTATGTCTTCCCCTTCTACATAGACACAGTGACAGTCTGATCTCTCTTTCTTTACCCTACATCCAAGGGCTTGAACATTTCTTGACTTGTTGGCAATCCAAATCGTTACGTCTCCGAAACAGAGTTGACTGAGGGGACCGCAGGGCTGGGCAGGACCTTTGACTTCCTATACATCCACAGGAGCAAGAAAACCTCAGCCCCACTCTACCAACACGCACCTAGTAAAATTCCGCCAACCGCATCTCACGCACGCTAACACGTGGGGAGCGTTGCTTGCACCACGAGTCCCCATTTGGCTCAACCGCCGATGCCAAGTGTGTGGTTCCAGTTGCGACGGCCCCCCGTGAAGTGGCTTCCGGATGTGCGAATGAACCAGGCAGCGTTTCACTGGCCAAATAGACCCCAGCAAAGCTGAAGTTAACTCCCACATTTGGGATGTACCTCAGAGGTAAAACATTCATCCCGTCTTCTTTCTGGATGTCTGACACCATGGTTCTCCCCCTGATCCTAAGAGTAGCTGAGGCAGAGACTCACTGAAAGATCTAGGCGGGGATATCCCATCATGCACAGGCTCTCTCCATTCTCTGACCTGGGAACAACTCTCAGCAGGATTCCACATCTAGGAGGCCTCGGAACTCAGTGGGATTTTCTGAGACACACCAACTGGCTGCTCCCTCTCCGCCGCTGTTGTGGGTCGTTATCTTGATTATCCAGATCAACTAGAAAGTATCCGTATCCAGAATGAATAAGATCAACTCTCTGCTCCTCTGACAGCAGAAGGAGCAGGACCATAAGGAACCAAAGAGCGTGGAAGGAAACGATGTGACAGGAAAGCTCAGAGAACGGCCACAGGGGGTCGTCAGCAGGCCTTCCAACCTGAATCATGAATAATTAATGAAGCGCAAATCAAAGGGGACTCGAGTTTCAGCAGGAGCAATTCATCCAACGGGAGATCGCCGGAGGGCCAACAAGATTGAGAGACTGGGAGCCGGGTGCAGTGTCAAAGGGGACGCGACTGGTTCCAAAGCTCGAGAAGACCATGGGGTCACTTGGGCTACATGAGAAAATGCCCCAGTGTGCTGGTTCATCATTCCGACTCCTGCCTGTCTCTTCCCGTCCAAGGAACATGGACCCTAAGTCGTGCAGGTGCGGATGACCATGGGCAGAATTAGGGGCCGTGGCACTAAAGTTCACCGACACGGGAGTTCCACAGAAGGTGCGGTGGATCTTCGCAAATCCAGAGACATGGCAATGGGACCCAGGGAATTAGAGCCTCACAGGCGTCCGGGAGACTTTTCAGGCATAATGCCTGGAGTCGCAAGAGGAGCTGAAAAAGGAGCCAGGCACTGAAGGACAAAGCGTTGTTGACTTTCCTCATCTGTGTTTCCCAGTGCGGTCCAATTCACGGTGGTTTCCAAGCGCCTCCTGGGGGAGAAAACACATGAGGGTGCGGTCAGGGTTCTCTGCTGACAGACTTACCTTGGGGAAGAAAGAGAAGCTCTGAAGATGGATCATGGCCGTGACTGCACGTCAAGGAGAGTCTCCTTGATGACACTGAGGCCTACGTCGAGATAGACAAAATGTGGTCCAATTAAAAGGTGTCTATTTTACCACATTTTTTAAAACAAAACAAAACTAAACGACAAAAAAGATGGAAAAGAAGACGGGTACAGGCACCAGTGTTACATGTCTGACGGGGAACATCTATTGTTCAAAGCTTGCAGCTGTACAAGTAGGTTTTAGAATGTCTGTCAGCAGTGGACAGGATCTTAGAGTGGGCTGTGCAGATAGACCTTTCCAGGTCATGTAATTGGATTAAGTTAATTGCAATTAAGGTACAGGTAACTGATTAGGTTAGGGTACGTTCCATGTCAGGTGACCAGAGGCAGTATAAAAGGCAGCCTGGAAAGCGGAGGTCCCTCTCTGCCCCTTCCTCCGTCGTCCTGGATGCTGCATCGCTTCCAGCCGGGCTGCTGCAGCACCTGCCCATCTCAGCGCCAGCCTGGGAAAGAAAGTAGACGTGTAATTTCAGGTTAGTTTCGCTGAACAATTGTTTGTTTCACGCAATCCCTGAGTGGTTTTGGCGGGGGGGGGGCGGGGGGAGGAAGAGACAAAGGAGGCCGAAAGAAACCGATCACACTGGGGCTTGCTGGTGGGGTAGGATGTGTTCTCGTTACTAGTAATTCTTGGAACAGAAAACGAGACAACATATCCGTCTCCACGTGTGGGAGAAGACCAAGATGGGAATGCGAAAAGAAATGTACTGCAGCATGCTGAATTGGTGGGTAAATGGAAAAAGGACTTTGGAAAAAAGGGGGGTTTGCCCTTCAGCCGTGTAAGACGTCGATACGATACGGCACTTCTTCCCCGTTTGTTCAGATGAATTCGTGTGGTGTGCGTAAAATACCAGGAAAATAAATAAAGAGGGGCTGGAGCTAAAGCCAAAAGATAGAACAGGAAAGACCATCACCTGCTAGTGCGGTAGAGAGGAAGGTAACTTCTCTGTATGAATTTGTGTTTGGAAGTTGCCTAATGAAATGGCAAGAGTAGCGATTCAAGTTATCACAGGAAGCATCCCTTATCCGTGACTTCAAGCAGACCTGCCAAAGGGTGGCACACGCCATGCCCTGTGTCTTCGATCATTCTGTCCGTCAAGGGAGATAGAATCACCGTGTCTTCTACCGGAGTGAATCGTGAGAGACCTAAGTCCAGTCTCCAGAATCAGTTGTTTGTTTGGGGTTGAAAGCTCAACCCCCCATACCTAGGCCACGGGCCCTGTGGCAGGTGGGGTTTACTCTTGGACTAGGTAGTCATGGCAGAGGAACACACAATATCCGAGGATGCGCACAGCACATTGTGTTCTACAGATTTGACCGACTGGTGGTGAGGTCTCCTCATGACCACACAGGCAGGGAGTTAGCAGGTGGCTTCCTGTGGGTGTGTGAATATCCAACGTGCTTAACCATCGACATGTGTGTGTTTGTGTGTGTTTCAGGTGGCCCAACAGTCCACCCCTGAAAAAGGCGGTCATAAAACCCCCAGGAGACGAAGATGATGGCACGTCGGGACCCCAAATCTTGGGCCAAGAGACTGGTGAGAGCCCAGACCCTCCAGAAGCAGCGGAGGGCCCCAGTTGGGCCAAGGTCTCCCCCGCCCGATGAAGAAGATCCCAGGGTAAGTCTAGCCCTGGATCTCTTGGGTATCGGGGTGGGGGTGGGGACGGGGGGAGGCGGTGTCCCACGGTCCTCAGAGACTGGGTTGGATTCCAAAGAGTTCTGTCACCACCAGCCAGGTTGCTTTTCCCATCCAAGGTGGGCGTGGCTTGGGACCTTCTCCCCGGCCCGATAGGTCCCTTGAGAGACTCTTGGGGGCAACCTCCCTTTCTACTTCGAGTCCTGTGTAGCCACGTTTGGCTGCGTTGTTGACATCGGCTTCACCATCGTGCCCCTTGGAACCTTGAGTCCTTCCTTTCAGAGTTACTCCGTCACAAGGGCTTTGCGAGGGAACATCGTATCCGAACTCTCCCAGCACTTAACGGCCCCCATGCCGGTGTCCCCTCTTCGGAATCCTTATTCAGCTCTGAATTCACAATCCGTCCCAATGTTGACGTGGGATCGCTGCCTGTGGCTTCAGCTCACTCACTGACATCACTTCCTTTCCACCCACAGCTCAAGTGCAAAAACTGCGGGGCCTTTGGCCACACGGCCAGAAGTACCAGGTGCCCCATGAAGTGCTGGAAGGCAGCCCTGGTTCCAGCGACCTTGGGGAAAAAGGAAGGGAAGGAAAACCTGAAACCATGGAAGCCCCGGGCTGAAGCCAACCCGGGGCCCTTGAACAAGGATAAGGGAGAGAAGGAAGAGAGACCAAGGTGAGCAGTGGGAGGGGTTTTCACCACTCTTAGGGTGCTGCCTCTAAGGAGATGGTGTCTCTGCACCTGCACACCGTGTGCCTTTCCGTCTCCGGGCCAGGGAAGGAGCGCTGCAGAGAAATAGGCCGGAGCTCCGTGTCCTCCGGGGTTCCACACCCAGGAGCTCCTTGGGCTCTGGGAGATTCAGGGACGGGGAGAGGCGGGGGCGCTTCGTGCAGGTTCCCCACGACAGCGGGAAAAGCGATGGAATCCAAATCACAGTCCTTAGTCGGGAAGCCTAGAGGGCCACCTGGAGGATGGGAAGGTTGGCACGTGAGGGAAGGTGCAGAGGCGGAAAGGGCACCAGATGTCCATTTCTGTATCACAAAACACGGAATGGGGCTGGGCCCCAGACGGGGTTCTCCCTGTCTCCTGGGGAAAACCAGGGGGCACCGCCTGACCTTTTTCTGTTCTGCAGGCAACAAGACCCGCAGAGGAACGCTCTCCTCCACATGTTTTCCGGGAAACCTCCAGAGAAGCCGCTGCCGAATGGAAAAGGATCCACGGAATCTTCCGAGCATCTGAGGGTGAGTGTCACCCCGGGCCCCTGGTCCTTTTCTCCTCTAGGTCACCCTGGTTGATTTCCTTTCAGCTTCCCGTCTGCGGGAGGAAATCGGGGAACCCCTCTTTCTTGCCTTCTTGGGGTCAGGGACTCCACAATCCTTCCAGGTCAATTGGATTCCAGGCGAAGGCATCTGAAGATGCCGTATTTCCTGTGGCTTTCTTTCTGTCCAATTATGGCAAGCCTGCCAACAACACGTTCCTAGCGGCATGAGGAAATTAGTCCCTCAGAGGCCCCAAACGTGGAGAAGGCTAAACCCAGGAACATGCATGTGTTCAGAGAAGACGTCCCGAGTACCCTTGAGCCACCAACCTGCCTCGGGAAGGGCATTAGTCCGTTCCACTTCATGGAAGGCTGAGTGGAGGCGCTTTGATCCAGTTAATGCCCAAGACGCGATCTTTTGAACAATGGTGTGCTTAGATCAGCTACACATAGCTCGAGAGCGCACCTTTCATGTGTCTTGTCCTGATCAGCACTCAGGTGGAGGGATCTGTCCCTACTTCCAAGGACCGCCTGTCGATACTGTACTAAGAATTTCATGGCGTGTGCACCTTGTCTTTGGATATGTTTGATTTTCACGTTGGCTCCATGCCGTGGAACTTCTAACCTGTGTTGTTTCCTCTCTTTCAGGTTGCAAGCGGGCCAATGCCGGTCCACACAACCAGTAAGAGGCCGCGCGTGGACCCTGTCCTCGCTGATCGCTCAGCTACCGAAATGTCTGGCAGGGGCTCCGTCTTGGCTTCACTGTCTCCCCTCAGAAAAGCCAGCCTGAGCTCCTCCTCAAGTCTTGGACCAAAGGAAAGACAGACAGGGGCTGCGGCCGACATCCCTCAGCCTGCATTCAGGCACCAGGGCCCCGAGCCTCTCCTCGTGGTGAAGCCGACACACAGCAGCCCCTGAGGGTGGCTGCCGAGAAGTTCCCCAGGCTGCCTCCAAAACCCACGGCCTGCTCCAGGCCGTCAGACCCCAGGCACAAGACAAACGTCCTGCGGTGACCTCACAGCCCTGCCCGCCAGCCGCCACACACAGCTTGGGCCTAGGCTCCAATCTCAGCTTCGGGCCAGGAGCCAAGAGACCTGCCCAGGCTCCGATTCAGGCTTGCCTGAACTTCCCAAGAACCGAGACTGGGTCCCTTCCAGATCCCCGAAAGCGCCATCCAGGGAGGTGAGCTGCGGGCCCCGGAGAATCTCCAACCTCCGCCAGCCGCAACCGAACTTGGACCAAGTACGTCGCCCCAGATGGGCAGGAGGACACCGGCCCAGGTGCCCAGCGTCGACCGGCAGCCTCCGCACAGCACACCTTGCCTGCCTACTGCCCAGGCCTGCACCATGTCCCATCACCCAGCGGCCGGCCATGATGGGGCCCAGCCTCTCAGAGTGCTCTTCCGGAGACTGGAAAACGGACGCTGGAGCTCCAGCCTCCTGGCCGCCCCCTCATTTCACTCTCCTGAGAAGCCGGGAGCCTTCCTCGCTCAGAGCCCTCATGTGTCAGAGAAGTCTGAGGCTCCCTGTGTTCGTGTCCCACCGAGCGTCCTCTATGAGGACCTTCAGGTTTCCTCCTCCTCAGAGGACAGCGATTCTGACCTGGAGTGAGACTGCAGGTGGCAGGGGCTCCTTGGCCTCCAGCTCCCGTGACTTGGAGGGGACTGTGGGACTGAGGAGCGCAGAGCAGAGAGCACACTCTGTGCGGTGACTCCGAAGCTCCCCGGCTGTGGCGCTTCTGTGGATGTGGGAGCCCAGGCCAGGCAGGGAGCAGATGCAGGGACTCTGCCTCATTGAATTCTGGTGAGGGACGTTGTAGTTGGCGTGGTTCTCCCGAAACGCGCCAGGAAAAGCTTCCGCCAGAGATTCGTTGCCTCAGAAACTGCGTGACGCGCAGGAGTCAGACTTCCGCTGGGACGTCAATAAGAAACTGGGGAATTACTGTGTATTTGCTCTCTAGATGACTGAATAAGGGAAAAGTTAGGGAACGCTGAGAGGTGCAGCCCTTCCGCTGTGCCCCGCCCTGAGAACAGTGTTTCGGACGCTGGGAAGCGTGCTGTGCAAAGCGCTCTCGGGGTCTTTCCTCAGCCTCGAAAACTGGGCTCTGGAATGCCTTTGTACATATGTGTGTTTAATTGGTTTTGAAGTGAATAAAATTCTCAAAAAGATGACATATTGTCTTTTGACTCTCATTCCGTGTTTGTGTGTAACTGATTTTCCAAGTGAAGGGGTGGCCTGCCCCTCCACACCTGTGGGTGTTTCTAGTCGGGTGGGATGAGAGACGGAGAAAAGAAATCAGACACAGAGACAAAGTATAGGGAGACAACAGTGGGTCCAGGGGACCGGCACTCAGCACACCAAGGACCTGCACCGGCACCGGCCTCTGAGTTCCCTCAGTTTTTATTGATTATGATTTTCATTATTTCAGCACAAAGGAATGTAGTAGGGGAGCAGGGTGATAATAAGGGGAAGGTCAACAAAAAAAAAAAAACAAAAAAAAAAAAAACCACGTGAGCAAAAGAATCCATATCATTATTAAGTTCAAGGGAAGGTACTATGCCTGGACGTGCACGTAGGCCAGATTTATGTTTCTCTCCACACAAATATCTCAGCGGAGTAAAGAATAACAAGGCAGCATTACTGCCAGCATGTCTCGCCTCCCGCCACAGGGCAGCTTTTCGCCGAGCTCAGAGTTGAACAAATGTACGATCGGGCTTTACACGGAGACATTCAGTTCCCAGGGGCAAGCAGGAGACAGTGGCCTTCCTCCATCTGAACTGCAAGAGGCTTTCCTCTTTGACTAATCCACCTCAGCACAGACCCATTGCGGGTGTCAGGCTGGGGGACAGTCAGGTCTTTCCCATCCCACGAGGCCATATTTCAGACTGACACATGGGGAGAAACCTTGGACAATACCCTGCTTTCAAGGGCAGAGGTCCCTGTGGCTTTCCACGGTGCATTGCACCCCTGGTTTATTGAGACTAGAGAATGGCAATGACTTCTACCAAGTATACTGCTCGTAAACATTTGGTTAACAAGGCGCGTCCTGCACAGCCCTAGATCCCTTAAACCTCGATTTTATACAGCACAGGTTTTGGTGAGCTCCAAGTTGGGTCAAAGGAAGGGGCTGCGGCAAAGCTACAAATGATCAACATCTCAGCAAAGCAATTGTTTAAACTACAGGTCTTTTCCAAAATGGAGTCTCTTGTGTCTTCCCCTTCTACATAGACACAGTGGCAGTCTGATCTCTCTTTCTTTACCCTACATCCAAGGGCTTGAACATATCTTGACTTGTTGGCAATCCAAATCGTTACGTCTCCGAAACAGAGTTGACTGAGGGGACCGCAGGGCTGGGCAGGACCTTTGACTTCCTATACATCCACAGGAGCAAGAAAACCTCAGCCCCACTCTACCAACACGCACCTAGTAAAATTCCGCCAACCGAATCTCACGCACGCTAACACGTGGGGAGCGTTGCTTGCACCACGAGTCCCCATTTGGCTCAACCGCCGATGCCAAGTGTGTGGTTCCAGTTGCGACGGCCCCCCGTGAAGTGGCTTCCGGATGTGCGAAGGAACCAGGCAGCGTTTCACTGGCCAAATAGACCCCAGCAAAGCTGAAGTTAACTCCCACATTTGGGATGTACTTCAGAGGTAAAACATTCATCCCGTCTTCTTTCCGGATGTCTGACACCATGGTTCTCCCCCTGATCCTAAGAGTTGCTGAGGTAGAGACTCACTGAAAGATCTAGGCGGGGATATCCCATCATGCACAGGCTCTCTCCATTCTCTGACCTGGGAACAACTCTCAGCAGGATTCCACATCTAGGAGGCCTCGGAACTCAGTGGGATTTTCTGAGACACACCAACTGGCTGCTCCCTTTCCGCCGCTGTTGAGGGTCGTTATCTTGATTATCCAGATCACCTAGAAAGTATCCGTATCCAGAATGAATAAGATCAACTCTCTGCTCCTCTGACAGCAGAAGGAGCAGGACCATAAGGAACCAAAGAGTGTGGAAGGAAACGATGTGACAGGAAAGCTCAGAGAACGGCCACAGGGGGTCGTCAGCAGGCCTTCGAACCTGAATCATGAATAATTAATGAAGCGCAAATCAAAGGGGACTCGAGTTTCAGCAGGAGCAATTCATCCAACGGGAGATCGCCGGAGGGCCAACAAGATTGAGAGACTGGGAGCCGGGTGCAGTGTCAAAGGGGACGCGACTGGTTCCAAAGCTCGAGAAGACCATGGGGTCACTTGGGCTACATGAGAAAACGCCCCAGTGTGCTGGTTCATCATTCCGACTCCTGCCTGTCTCTTCCGGTTCAGGGAACATAGACCCTCACTTGTGTTATCCAGTTGTCGTTCTTTTTTTAGATACTTATGCAGTGATACACTACTGTAACTATTTTTTAAATTTATATTTAGGCCTCTCCTCATAAGATACATTAATCAAGAGCCTTTCCATTGTGTTTCAAAACACAGTAGCATCTCACTCTACACACCGGACATGCCTGGTTACTGTTTTATCCAAAATGTTTGAAATCAGCATTGTGATTGCCTTTTTTTTTCTACACGAAGGAGATAGAAACTTGTCTGTCCTCCTCAAAGTTATGGCCCTGCCTTTATAAAAAAAATGCTGCCCAAATCATGAAATTTAGTGTACAGGTATATGAAATACAAACCAAAAATTGAAAACAAAACTTAGGAATGGCAAGTGGTAATGTAAACTTGATGAGCCAGAGCAGAAGCGTGTCTCACTTGGAAGCAATCACAGCAGTCACCACTATTTCATCCTATAATTTCAGTATTTATTGAAAAGCATTGGCCTGGGGAGTGTGGGGAACCTGAACAAAGACAAGGACTGGGTCACAGCACGGAGAAAATGGTGAAAATCTCAGGGCATACATACAGTGTCAAGCTTAGGAATTATTATCTATACATCAGACCAATGACTACATGGACACCAGCAATCAAGGGGCTGTGTTAGCCCTGGGAGTGAGCAGAGTTCTTCAGGTGAATTTTCACGCCACTGAAAGCATGCTGAAAGCAGAACCCTCACGTTGAGGAGTAAGGGATTTGATTGAGTGTGGTTGCATTTAAGAGGTTGAATATGGAAGAGAAATTCTAAGGGACACTGTGTGCCAAGTGAAATGGGAGCACTTTATTTACACACCTTGCAGTTCTTCGTCTCCCTGCAGCATCTGGGATCCTCTGCTAGTGAGCACAATGGATCATGATGGGAAACAGAGAAGGGGAAGCAAGAGGTTCCTGGAACTACTCTCCCTCCACATTTTAGGGCATGCACTGACTAAGGATTTGGCCAATCTCTGATCTATCAATGTAAGTGGTGGATCTTGGCTACATCCCTTCTTGAAAACACATCTTCGTGCTCTGGTTGGAGAACTATGGTGAACCCTGTGGCAGACCTGAGTGCTGGACTTGGTGAAGGGTGCATAGGTCTGAGGGAGGAGTTGGGCAAAGTCTCCATCCTATACAGGCTGAAGCTGAGATTGGCTGGTCTAGGGAATCCCACTGGACTAGGTGTGGTTGGTAAAGGGTAGGGCACAGAGGAGAAAGTATGCAATGCGCAGTAGGATTATTGAAAGAGAAGCGCTGAGCCAAGCAACATGGTTTTCTTCGGATCTCATCAAGGGCTGGTGACATACGGGTTCTGCCTCCCCCTCTTCTGTAGGTGAGCGCGGCACATTGTCTCTTTCATGTCTGAGGTGTCTCTGTCTTGAACATGGAACTCCAAGGTGAAGTCATCCACAGAGTGCTAGATGTAATCGATCTGCAGAGGGAACTGCAGGCCATCCAGTGACCTCAGGACATGCTCAGGCACAACCACAAATACGCTGTTACCCAGGGTCAGGGCAGGGCTGTCTGTGGGGACAGGATGAGGACATACTCTTCCAGTCTCAGTGTGAGTTCTGTCCCTTGTTCCGGGACCACGATGATGAACGTCTCTGTGCTGGAATTCTGCTGCTGCTGTGGAACGACAGCCCTCAGTCCACTGCCTTCAAAAAAGACTGCAAATGATGCTCCTGGGGAGGGAGCTGGAGCAGCTTCACCCTCTACAACTTTAAAATACAAATTTCCTCCTAGAAGTGGCAGTCATGCTGACCCTGCTGAATGCACCACCACTGGATGTGTCTTGTGGCCTGGAGATTATGCAACATAGTCCAATCTTTGCTATCCATGAACATAGGGAGTTACCTGGGGTGATTCCAGGCCTGGAATGAATTCATGTGAGGAATTCTTTGAAGTAAGGGTGTTTCTGCATCTGTGGTGAGACCACAGTGAGGGAGGTTAAGGCTCCCCACCTTTTTTTCTTCTTTCTTTCTTTCCAGACACAGGAGATAATCAACAAAGACCAGGCTCCCTTTTAAATCCAATAAGAAACATTTTACAACCTACTCCCTCTCAAGTCTACTATCTGAAGGTTCCTCTGCACAGTAAAACTTGGCCTCCCCACCTCTTTATCTTAACCTAAACATTTCCTTTCAATAGATCCCTGGTCTTAGATAAACTCATCCAATTATCAACCAGATAATTTTTAAATCTATCTATAAGCTGGAAGCCCCCCTCCTTCAAGTTGTCCCACTTTTCTGGATCAAATCAACGTATTTCTTAAATGCACTTAGTTGAAGTCATGTCTCCCTAAAATGCATAAAACCAAGCTGCACCCTGATCACCTTGGACACACGTTCTCAGAACCTCCTGAGGGCTGGGTCACACGACATGGTCAATCATATTTGGCTCAGAATAAATATCTCCAAATATTTTGCAGAGTATGACTCTTTTCCTCAACAAGGTCATGATGATTAGGGTCAAAATTCACCGATATGAAGGACAGCCCCAATTTCTTGACTCAGAGAAATAAAGCAAGAGAAAACACATGGAGGAGGAGGAGGAGGAGGAGGAGAAGAACCTGGAGCTCCCGCCTGCCCCTGGGTGAGTCCTGGAGGTGGAAGGAGAGGTACTTGATCCTGAGTTGGCCCCTGCTCCACCTGAAACAGAACCCTGGAGTGCCACTCCCTGAATGCGGCCCAGCTCTACCCAGGTTAGACACTCCCTTGCCCTAGAGCCTGGGTCCTCCCTGGCCCCCGCTACCACTGCTTCCTCAGAGCCCAGGCCCAGTGCACCACATCTGCCTCTGCACGGCTCTGGGAGGGCTGCACCAAGGACAATCTAGTCTCAGAGGGGACTTCCTGGACACAGGCGGGTCCTGACACCCTGAGGGAACAGAGGAGAATGGCCTTCACAGGGGCTGCTGTCTTGGGGCTCACAGAAGCGGCCTCTCCAGCGACCAGACTCAGAACCTACCCAGAGGCCCAGGCTGGTGAGGATGCCCTGGCTGGGCCTTTCATGTGGATGAAGGCAGTTCCCACCTCAGCCAACGTCTAAAACCCCGAGGAGAATCAAACCTGAAAGAGTCCCTGTCCTCCTTCCCAGAGGGGAAAGGCAGTTCCTGAAACCTCAGTAGAAGAGAAAATGCTGTGAGGGTTCAAGGGACCAAGGACGCCCTTCCCAGGCCAGCAAGGCCAGAGTAGGAGGAAGCTGCACCCACCTCCAGGGGACATGTGAGGTTTTAGAGGCTCAGGCAAGTCAAGGGCAAACGCCCTGTACTCCCCGCAGGGTCATGAGCACTCCCCACCTACTGGAGTTGGGCTCCAGAAGGCCAGGACATTATCCCTGCATCTCCCCTGCCTCCAGGACTCAGGCCTGAGCTCCCAGGTTGGCCAGGAAAAGCTAGTGGTAGCTCTAGCTGGCCATGGACATACAGGCTGGGACATGCAGGCCAACAAAGAGGTGCTGGGCCCTCAAGAGAACTTCTAGACTTCCTAGACACTCCAGAGACACAGAGACGTCCAGGCAGGACAGGGAGAGCCTGGAAGCAGCTGTGAGCAAGTGCAGGTGCCCGTCCCAACACACAGAGCTAAGCTCTGTTCAACCATTTGCTAAGCCAGACCCATCCCAGGGCCCAGAGGTGCAAACAGTGACCCCACTCAGGACTTGGAAGGAGGAGCACAGGAAAAGCCCCAAATTGGCCAAAAAAACTGTCAGAAATGTGGCAGTTATTTCATAAGTACATGAATAATAAACCCAAACAATGGAAAACAAAACTAAACAAAGGCAAATGTGAATGGAAACGTGATGAGTGAGAGCAGGAGAGTGTCTCAGTTGGAAGCAAGCACAGCAGTCACCACTACTTCATTCAATGACGTCAAGATTTATTCAAAAGCATTGGCCTGGGGAGTGTAGGGAACCTGGACTAAGACAAGGAATGGGGCACAGCTTGGAGAAAAAGGGGAGAGTCTCAGGGCAGAAATAGAGCATCAGCCTTAGGAATTATTTATTGTGGCATCAGACCAATGACTACAAGGACATCAGCATGCAAGGGGCGGTGTTAGCCCCCGGGAGTGAGCAGCTGTCTTCAGATGAACTTTCAGACCACGTCATGCTGGAAGCAGAACTCTCACATGGAGCAGTCAGGGATTTGATTGAGTGTGGTTGGATGTATGTGCTTAAATAGGAAGAGAAAGTCTAAGGGACAGTGTGTGTGAAGTGAAATGTGAATGTTTTATTTGAACTCCCTGCAGTTCTCCCCCTCCCTGCAGCATCTGGGACCCTCCGCTGTTGAAGACAGTGGTTGATGATGGGGAACAGCAAAGGGCAAGCAAGTGGTCAAATTACTTTCTCTCCACATTTCAGAGAATGCACTGACTAAGGATCTGGACAATCTCTGACCTATCAATGCAGGGGGTGGCTCTTGGGTTAAATCACTTCCTAAAGAGACATCTCCGTGCCCTGCTGGGAGGCCTATGGTGAACCCTGTGATAGACCTGGGGACCAGGACTTGGTGAAGGGGGCATAGGTCTGAGGGAGGAGGTGCACAAGAGCTCCATACCATGCAGGCTGAAACTGGAGTCGGCTGGTCTAGGGCGTCCCACAGGACTAGGTGTGGGTGGTAGAGGGTAGCATTGGGGGAAGGCTGCCCGACAGCGTGGAATGCACAATGGGGTTACTAGGAAAGAAGGGCTGATCCCAGCCATGTGGTTTGCTTGGGGTATCATCAAGGGCTGCTGATACAGGGGTGCTGCCTTCCCTTCTTCTGCAGGTGAAAAAGGCACATTCTCTCTTCTCATGTCTGAGATGTCTCCATCTTGAGCATGGAACTCCAAGCTGAAGTCATCAACGGAAGGTATGATGTACTGGATCTGCACAGGGGACTGCAGGCCATCTTCTGACCTCAGGACATGCTCAGGGACAATCACAAGGACTGTGTTCTCCAGGGTCAGCTGCAGCACTGTCTCTGGGGCCAAGATGAGGATGACCTCTTCCAGGCTCAACCTCACTTCTGTCCCTTGTTCCAGGACTATCATGAGCTCCTCAGTGCCAGAATCCTGCTGATTCTGTGGAAAGACAGTCCTCAGTATTCTGCCCTCCAAAAAGGCTGCAAATGATGCTCATGGGGAGGGAGATGCCAGGAGCTTCACCCTTTACAACTTTAAAATACAAACTCCCTCCCAGAATTGGTGCTCATGCCAATCCACCTAAATATACATCCACTGGATGTCCCTTGAACCTGAAGATTGTGCAGCACTATCCAATCTTTGCTATGCAAGGACACAGGAACTTACCTGGGGAAGTTCCAGGGACTGGTATGAATTCAGGTGTGGAGCTCCTGAAATTGAGGGTTTTTTTGCACCTGCAGAGAGACCACAGTGAGGGAGGTTAAGGCTCTCTTCCAGCAAGAGTCTCTTGCATTTCAGAATGTGACCTTCAGAAATCCACCACCCAGCACTGGCCAGCCTCAGGACACCAGCCCCCAACAGTCAAGCACGACTTTCCACTCACCCTGCAGAAAGCACCCTCTCCATTTATGGTATCATGAGACATGACACTGACTTCCAGGCATGGGAATCTTAAAAAATATTAGGGAAAGTGCCTTACCTGTACTGGGACCCTGCTCCACTTGGCGACGTTTGGGTGGATTCATTTGTGTGGTAGCCAAACTGCAGGACAGAAAGGGACCCATCAATCTTCCACATAGTGACACAAAGTCCAATTCTCACAAGCCCCAAACTTCATTAGTCATCCGGCACACATTGCTGCTGTGGCCCAAAATCACATGCACTTGTGTTCAGCTCCAAATCCTACCTGCATCCAGAAAGTCCTAACACTCATATCCCACCCTCTCCTTTTCTAGAGGCTTTTCCTATCGGTGCATGTGTGTGATAAGACATGGCGATCACAGGAAACAGTTTGCTTTTTCAGGAGCTCATCCACATGAGAAGGAGGGACATCAAATTTGGCCCGAGGACTTTAGGAGAAGATGCTGATTTTCCGGGTATCTAACCCCTGTGTCTATGCAGTTACAGTGTGAATGGAGTGATAAATGACATGAAATGTTCCATTTTCTAGTGAGCACAAGGAAAAAATTTAGATCATGCCCACAGTTTACCTGTCTCCACACAAGAGGCAACTTCTGTTTACCCAGAGGACAGAGATTAACAATGGGAAGAAACATGAGATGAGCCCCCTGACAGGCTGCAGAAACCCCCCATGCTGGCTGCATCCTGTGGCCTCCACTGTGGGTCTCATGTCTCCCCAATGTGTTCTAAATTTATAACATTCAATGTCATGGCAGGCCAGGGTGTCTTCTCTGCCCTAGTTTGGCCCTTTAGCATACATTCACACACACACACACACATACAGTCACACACAGTCACATGTCAACCTCCTGGCAACCCAAAGTAGCCACATACTCCAACATACCTGGTCTCTCCTTCATTGTCATTCTGCGGTTCTGTCTGGGAATCTCTGGGGCTTCTTAAGCGCCGGTAACCATACATGGTAAAAGTTCTCTGGACTTGCTTGTGTCAAAAAAATCTCAATCTTTGGCCTATTTTCTGTAAATCTATATAGTTCGTGCCTTGATCTTTTACTCTACCTGGAGAAAAATTATCAGCCTCTAGCACAGCACAGCCAGAGCATGGAAGAGTGTGTCCTGGCCTGGGACCGGTCAAATGGTGCTTTGGTAGAGTGAGCTCTTGGGGAAATCCTCCAAGGGTCTTATAAGAGGTGGAGCCATGGGATTTGTCAAAATGGATGAATGTGATTGGCTAGTGGTGCTGATTAAACAACATGAAGGGCCAGCATGGGAGTGGTTTTATCAAAACTCAGTCAATATGAGTGTGACCCAGTCAGAATTAGCCTAATTCAATCAAAATTAATTCAAGATCTCTACTCTGATTCACCATATAATTGTGACATAAAATAACAGTATTTTAAACTAGCAATATTTACTTTCTATTGTAGTCTGTTCATTAATTTGGTAGGACAGTTATTTTCTGTAAAGTTCATGTGTACGTCGTTTCTTAGTAAACATAAAGGATTGGGTCTAGGAAACTTTAAATATGCCACAATTTGTATATACTCAAGTCCCTTGTATAAAACGGCGTAGAATTTGAATATAACATAATCACATTAATTTATATAATTTAAATGATCTCTAGATTACTTACAATACTTAATGCAATGCCCAGACGTCACGTCATTTATGTGAACTCAAAAAGAATGTGATGCATGGAAAATTTAAAGTTTCTTTGAAGAAACTTGTGCAAATCTTTTGTGAATATTTTCTATTCAAGATTAGTTGGATCCATGAATATGGAACCTATGGATGTGGAGGGCTGACAGTATTTTTAAATAAAAAAAAATACGTTATTTTAAGTGAATTAAGTTTTAAAATGAATCTCCTGGGGAAAGTTATCCAAACAGAAGAAGCGAATACTATAAGACAAGCTGGGGAAAATACAAAAAGAACCTTTACTTAATTTCTAATATATCATTGTGTATTAATCTGTCTGTTAATTTATTTCTTGCCTGTATCCCCGCTGGACTAATTTCAGAATTGTAATGCAAGTTTTGCTTTCAACATTACTTATTAATTACAAATCCATCATTCTTATTGGCAAAGTCACCTAAACTTCTTGCAGGTGGCCAGACACCATATGCCTGAACTCAGAATTAGTCATTTTAAGATTAAAAATTATTTGACAGTATAAAGAATAATAGATGGTATTGGGGGAAAACAGTAATCCAGTAATCACTAGAACTGAACTAGAAGGAAAATCTGTGAGGGTGCACCATTACTGAGCGTGCCATCTCTAACAGGCCCCTGAGCTCAGGGCTTCATCCTCTCTCTAGAACTTGTATAAATTTGTTTGTGGATTCTCTTTGCATTTAGCTGATAATTTCATCAGTTTTATTAGGTGAAGTATAGACCCTGTTTCCCTTAAATGTTAAAAAAAAATTGAATCTAATTAGCAGATGCCTTTTGCACTGAAGCTTTCTTCTCCAGTTAGATAAATCATTTAGATGAATAAAAGGAAAACAGGAAGATTCCTTTAATTTTGCCAATGTCTTAAAAGCCTCCAAGGGGAACATTAGTGCCTTTATCCAGAGAACTCTCTGCTTTGGGGATTTTGATAATTTCTGAGGAGAACAGCAGGTAATTAGCTGAATATCAGCTGCAGTTATAAAATTGGATTAATTGCCTACATTCTTTCTGGCTGCGGGGTTCAGGTTGAGATATTCAAGAAATAGCCTCTATTGATGATTCTGGAGTATGTATATTTTACAGTCAAGAAAGAGAAAGGCTCCTCATGGTGAGTTTCTGTGTGTCACGTCTAGCTGAAAACCTATGGACTGCAAACCAGTACAAGAATAAAAATATGAGGGACGTGCCAAATACATATTCTACCTTTATAATCGCTTTGATTATAAACCAAATGTTTTAATAGATAAATTAATAAATTTGCAGCATAAATGTCTCAGGATATATCCTGCAGCACAGAATAATAACTTATTTTTGAAGAAATATTTAAGCAATATGTTTTCATTTGGGGTAGAAACTATTTTTCACAAAAGTGTAGCTTTCCCCTTGCATGTGTAATGAAAATCACTTTTAAATCTGCAGTGCTAGGGTAAAATTAAAGACGTGGCTCTTGCCGTTTTAATAGCAACAATTAAAGGATGCATTAGTGCCCCTCCCTTTCATTGTCTCACTATTTTTCAGTGAATTTGGCACTGTAGGAAAGATGAGCCCCTCACAATGTGGAAATGCAGGGATGCAGAGTGCGGGGTTTCCCTGCAGGGGCCCCTTTCTCGCGAGCTGCGCGACAGTGCGCCGCCGTGCCCCGGCCACATACTCCTTCCTCTGCAGGGTCCCCGTATTCTGTAGATTTTCCTCACAATTCTTCTTGTGTTTCTCCTCATAATGAATCCTGACAGAGGTTGCGAGGAAGGCACATTACGGCCTGCTATGGTTATCAATGAAAATCCCTAAGGAATACGTAGATTTGTAAAATAATTCTTGCTAATATATCCCAACAGACAGTGCAGAAGAAAACACGTAGGAACAGCCCAGAACATTAAGTCTTTAGTGCTGTTTCAGAAAAATATCCGGGAGACGCGCAGGGAATCTCACTCCTCATCAGGTAGGGCTGTGAACAGCAGCGTTTTCCTTAAGATGGATGCAGCCCCATTTGCCCCAAAGCCAGGGCGGCGCCTCCTCCTCCCTGGCCTGAGGAAGGGAAGTTCCCTTCTTCCTTGGCGATCTGGCCCCGCTTCCGCAAGCAGAATGCGCATGCGCCCCGCACGACCAGAAAGCGAGTTCCATTGCCCTCTGCCGGCTATGGGCTTGCAGCGCGGGACTCTTGGCCTTCACTGTTTAGCGGTTGACCTGCGTCTGTATCGCTGAAATTCCGGTTTTATCAGTACCTTCCTTTTGGAAGATCAAATGCAAATGGAGCACGGTATCTTTTTTCTTTTTCTTTTTTTTTTATGAAAGAGGGTGGAAATAAAGAAGCAAAGTCCAAAGACCGTATAAAATAGTCTGTTGATTCCCTGTATGTGGAGGAAAGAGGAGCTCGAATAAGAGAAACATTCTGTGTGATGCTTTAATGCCAGAGATCTGCCACTATGCATTTGTCAAATACAATACAATTTTACAGCACAAATAGTACATCTTAGTGGGTCAGGATTACAGCAAATGACATCTAAAATTTGGAGAACATTACATATTTAATTAAATAGGTCAAAGTATAAACAATGTGAGGCCTGCCTGGACACAGTCTCTGCCTGTCCTTCCAGATTGTCATGGGCTTGAATTGATGTCTCCTCATCCTCACACAGGAATTGACATAAACCCTGGCTTTAACGTAAAAACAGTTGGGCAGATTTGTAAACATTATGATGTTTCACTTTCACCCATGAATTAGCCAATTTAATTGGCCTCAGTAAAGTCTATGATTTTGGGATTGTGCAGTTTGGTAAAAGCTCAAAGTCCTCTCAGTATATTTCCTGGGACCACTTCTCCTTGATATTTAGATTCAGTACTGAGATTTGTTGAAGCACAATATGTATCCAAGCCCGAGTCAAAGCAGAGGATGCCTGCTGGTCAGAAGATTCATTTTGCTTGTGGAAAAGTCCATTGCATTTGATATAAAAGGGCTTGCATGGTGACTGAGAAGTTAGGGTGTTTTAGTTTGCTGGTGCTTTATCTGCTAGGCTATAGTAAGGGGAGCAATGCTGTGTCCTTCTCTGTGTCATAACGCAATTACTCACTTGAATGAAAAGTGGGATGTCATGAGATGAATTCCTTTTCCCTCTTTGGGAGGCTTTAGGAACAAAATCTCAAGAGTTTTCTGAGGGATACAAGAGCAGGGCTGCCTGACTCTCTGCCCCGGGAGCTGTTCATGGGCAGAGACGAGGGCTGGGGTCATCCAATGGTTTATACAAGGTGTCTTTGATATTACTCCCATTTCCCTGCTAAATCTGTGTAATGGCTCATTGAGAAACCCGGCATGAAGATCCCTGTTTTGACAACTCCAGGGATGGATGGAGACAAATATTTTTGTTGGAAGTTAGAATTAGGGGACATGGGCTGTGCGGCAAAAATAAAAAACTCTTGAAGAAGGCAGGGACTCGAAGAAAGGGGTGGAATTTCTGCCCACATGCCAAAGAGTGCAGAAGGAATTCTAAGTGTTAGAGCAGCATCAGTAAAACTAGATCTTGTACAACATATTACATTTTTCAGGAACAGGCTATATTGTTTCAATATTTGCAAGTATTGTTCTCTTAAAAAACTTGAGGAGCTGCTTAGACCTCTGGAGAGAAAAATTGAGACATGTAAGAGGGCAGGAGTGACACAGTGGTGACACACTCTGGAGTCCTGCCTACAAGCAGCACCCTTTGACCCACTCCACAAAAGCTCTATTCCACAGCTCAATTCCTCCTTAAAAAAAAGGTGAGAAAAAAATCTAAAACTTAGGAGAAAACAAGGAGAATGACCCACTTTCAAGCACTTCTTAGATTTTACGACAACTCTACTAGCCAGACTTTATGTAAAATGGAAGTAACGTGGTCTTTGTGCACATTTAAAAAAAAAAAAAAAAAAAAAAAAAGCCCTAAGGTCGACCTGCAAGTTATAGATTTCCTAAGGTCTCTTTTTCTCTCTTTTCTTTTCTGCCTGCTTTATATCAGCTGTTACATTATGACTGAGATAAAAGCCACTGTTTGGATATAACAGGGTTTTGTTTGTCTGTTTGTTCGTTTTTCAAGCCAGTTTCATATCATTCCTAAAGTTCTCAACCAAAAGCTACAGGATTTTCTTTTCTGTGCAAATATGTGCATGTATATATTTAAAAGGCTTTTATGATTTCTATAATTTTATGTTATGTAGCAGTTACATCCATTTTAATTTCTGTCTAGCACAACAGACTATTTCGCTGTGTTCCTCAGATGTAAGTTTCCTATCTGATTTTCACCTATGAATTGTTTCCTTTGATATGCAGAGTAAGGCTATTTAGCTGACAGCTACCTAAGGTAGTCAAACAGGTTATCAAGAATTTGAAAACCTAAGACAGGAAAAAATAGGATCTTATGAATCTATAAGATGTACATCTATTGGCATGCCTAATACATCTATGTATTTATGTGTTGTGTACACAATGTTTCACTATTAAAAATATATACAAGAGCTCTAATTGGCTTTAAAAATAAAAGCACATAAATCAGATACTTAATCAAATAAAAGACTACACAAATGCTTTTTAAGGTCACTTGACTTAAAATATTTAATAAATGAGCTGGCTTTAAAATTATGGGTAAAGTAAAATTAGAAATGTCGTAAAAATTGTTAGCATTTTTGTTTTGTGTTTATTGATCAAGTAATTCCATGCTTAATCCTGCAGAATAATATAAGATTAACCATAAGGGTTATAAAATTATGAAAGCCAGACCAAGACAAAATGATCTTTGCTTGTGTAATTTTAGACAAGAAAGACATGGAATATTCTTTTAATGAAATCCTAAATTATTTGTAAAAATACTCTTATATTTAACTTTAGGTTTCCTATGTAAGTAAACACCTAAAATGCACAGCTATAAAAAAGGGTAACAGGGAAATAACTTACAGAAGGACTGTTACAGTTTTGGTCAATAATCTAGGTAAACTATTGAATAATGTAATCAGGAAAATGTGATGGAATAAATGCTCGTAAACAAACTTGTCATATAATTTAGGATCTAAGGTTATTCATAAATATTGAGTATACAGGTAATTCAAAACTTAAAAATTATAAAAAATTTTTAAGTGTTCTTATTAAAATGTAAATATCTTTGTGTAACTGACAGCCTACTTAAATGTTATGTATAAAAAGAACCAGAAAAAAAGAAATGTAAAAAAATTTAAAGTGGTACCTTTTTATAGAGAAGGGATAAAGGAAAATAATTTTATATCAGAAAGAATCTTGTGTAGTAAATTTTTGCCCTAGAATAAAATGACTGGGTCATTCAAGAAAGAGGAATATTTAGGAAAAAACAGAAAGTCTAAACATGTTTTGAGTGGTCTATGTAAGTCATAACAGGATTAGTAAAAATATATTTTTTTAAAGGGGTTGTATAATTCAGTTGGCTACCATTAAAAAGGAATTATAATAGTCTTTCTAGGGATGGATCTTCGATATTTAAAAATATACACTAATGTAAAACTGAAATAATTGGTTAAAACAAGATTTTTATTAAAAATATTAACTTATTACTAATGCAAAAAGTTATTAAATTTTAAATTCTAGAATCTGTCTCTTTGAAATTCTTCAGATAAAATAGGTCAAAACTTCAGCTCTTCCTCTTTGAAAGGGCCATGGATGATAGCTCTCTCCTTCACCTTTTGTTGGCTCCTGTAACTTTTATTAATTATCTAAAGTAAGAAAGGGAATTTTTTTAAAAAAACAGTCAAATGAAATATCCTTTGGACCTGCCTTTTTATTCCGCATGAGTGTTATATCTCTATCTTTATATGTGTCATGTGGAAGTGGTATTTAACTCCCAAACTACATGAAAGAGCTCTAGACAAGTAACTTTTCTTAAAGAAATGTAGCTGCTTGTTAGACTGGTACAAGCTATCTCAAATGCCCTTTTAATTTTCATAACCTTAAGAATCTTTGGTAAAATTAATGTGGTAAATTCCATCTCAAAACTCTCCAGTAATTTAAAAGCTTCAAGTCATGTTAAAATCTCAGGTTAGGTTATTTTTCACTGGAAATTTGGATTGCTGAAAGTTAAAATAGCAAGAGCATAAAATTTGTTTTTGGTGAATTTTATAAAGCATAAAAATGTTGACTTTGCTTAAAAAAGAAAATATATTTTTCCTCTAGCTAGAAAACTATTTAAGAGTTGCTTTAAAATGAAAGGAAAAATTATACGGATATAACTAAATAAAAAGAGTAATTAAGCTAGGGCAACAAAAGTTAACTCTGAGACCCGTGGCTACCAAAATGATAGTCAATCAATGTGGGGGAAGAGCAAAACTAACTATTTAGAACCAGAGGGTATACTGTAAAGAATTGTTCCATTTTGTAGTTTAGTATCATCAGCTTCTTTAAAAAATCCTTACTATGATGGATTGAGAAAAAACACTTTAAGGACAAGATTCTTAATTTTAAATGTTACACGATTTAAGAGCTTGTTTGGGTTAATGCAGGACCCACAGTTCACTATTGAACAACCACTAACATGTGATCCAAATACCCAGGAGGTTATTCCTAAGAGAATAATCAGCATAATATACCCAGAAAATGCCACCATAAAGTCTGTTTTCTCTGAGTAGGGGACTACCTAACTCTCCCAATAAAATACCAAGTGAAACACC
Source organism: Homo sapiens (assembly GCF_000001405.40). Lineage (NCBI taxonomy): Eukaryota > Metazoa > Chordata > Mammalia > Primates > Hominidae > Homo > Homo sapiens. Next base: position 7,532,440 of record NC_000008.11, on the reverse strand, counting down.
CCAGATGGAGCAGTTAATATGCTTCTTATGTGAACCATGTTGGACTGGCTTAATAATGACTGGGATATGCTCCCACCAAACTGTCTGTTACCCAGGTTATGTTAAATTTGGGTGCTAAGAGGGCCCCTTTTACATGGATGCTCCTCCCACAAAATCATGAGAGTGTTTGAGGAGTCGTATCAAATTTGCTGCCCCTTAGAGGTCTTATAGATGCAACTCCCTGCTGAGAAACCAAACCCTTTTTCAATAGAAAAGGTAAAATGATTTGGGGGTATTAAAAAAAAATTCTGGGACCAGAACATATAAACATACAGGTTAATAGAGTTATGAAATTTAAAATGTTTAAACAGGTTTTATGTAAGGTAGTTGTAACCTCCTTTACTACCTGGGAGAGGTTTCCCCTTTCTAGTAGTATAAAACTGAAGGCATATAAATCTGCTCTTTTGAGAAATGTTAATTGGACATGCCAAATGGGAACTAGTAAGACTGCCTAAGCCCACAAAGTATAGGGTAGAAGCTGGAGTGCTAGTCGGGACAAATCCTGCACTTCATAGCCCTTTGTGTAACATTTATTGGGGCTGATGGCAAAAAAAAAAAAAAACTGTGAGTTCTTCCTGATGACAAAGATAGAACAAGGGAATTTCTAGCTCAGGGACATTTAGTACCTTACTATGGAATGCTAACTGAACCAACTTCTATGATAGTGGAAATAATGTTGCCCCAAAAGAGTTTCGTGATAAAATAAAAATGGTTTACATAGAATCTTGCTACATGGGGATATAAGGAGGAGATACTAATAAGCAGGCAGCCTCATTCCTAGGACTAATTCTAACTCTGTGAGGAGCTGCTAGATTGCATAGTGCCTGATAGACAGCTCTCAGGAGCGGTTTGGCTTGTGCATGACATTTCCAAGATGATAAACAAACATCTTGTGTGAAAGCCACTGCTCTTGTTAAAGGAGGGTCCAGACAATCTTTTTCTTTAATTCATTTTGATGAAGTTTGTTTTTGTAAGCAAATTATCTTTCTGAGTTCTCCAAAATTCAGATCCTAATTTTATGACAATATGGTTGTTTGCATAAGTTTCAATAAGAGTCTTTAAAACAATTAGAGACTTGAACTAAAGTGGTATATTTTTAGGTAAGGTGCCAGCAAAGCCAACTTAAAATGAGTCTATGTGGCCAATCAATTCTTGCTGCATTTTAAGCAAATAATCCGGCCAACCATGATAAGACTAAAACTTACTTGGCACACAAACTGGTCTTACTATAATCTCTAAAAAAAATGCAGATAGAACAATTGTTTAAAAGGAAAAGCTTAAGGATTAGTACTAGATTTCAGTCCTAACTCTTTTTAAGTGCAGATTAAATCATTATTTCTTTGCTATAATAATCCTCTAGAGAGTACCAGATCATAATTTATCTCCATATTTTTAGCTGGTTCCCTAATGAAGTAGGTTCCTTTTTCCATTCTGACACACAAATAATCTTTTGATTGTGAAACTATAAATGTTATTTACCTCTCCTTGTTTTACTTCCAAGGAAACCAAAATTACGGTATTCTGAAGACTAGAGATATGAATCCCCCTCAGCTGACATCCCACTGGGTTCAGATCTGTATTTCACCGCGAATCTTCTGCTGCTAAAACTATACAAGCACCCTCTCTCTAGGCTCAGGGACTGTCTTGGAAGAGGCAGGCACATGAGATTGTAAGAGCTAGTTTTGAGGCATGAACTTAGGTCCATGTCAAACTCTCCAAATCAAGGAGGGGTACAAAGATGGTACAGCCGGCAAAACAAGGGACATTTCCTTCTAGACTATAGTGTGTCACTTTTGCATCCACCCCAACCATAAACAATTTTCTGCTTCTCATAGATTTAAAAGAAAATATTTACTGATAGGATAAAGATGCCTTATGACAAAGCCTCTTGGTACAATACTCCCAAGTATAAATTGCACATATAGTTTCAAATTGTGCTAATGCCATTAGTATACAATGGCAACAGCAATCCTGATGAATCCAGCAAAATTCGCCACCCAGAAATTAAAACTTGACCTCACTGGAAAAGTTGGAGCTGGCCTAGGTATATTGGTGTAAGCTGAGTTCATAGCTAACGAGGAGAGGCATCTCTTAGAGAAAAGTTTTCTGTCAAAAATAGCCCACATAGAAGGAATGTTATTCCAGGAAGATGGAAAAGGATGGGAAGCTCCTTTAAAAAATAATGCAACACTCATCAAATGGATAGGAGAAACCAAACAAAACATAAAAACATACTCTCAAACCCGAAGGTGGCAATGAGCATGTTCTGTAACCCAACAGGGGCTCATGTCTATTTCATTACAAACACAATCTAAGGTGGCTATGAAGCAATGGCCTATACTCATCTGTGCCGAGGCACAATCCAAACACCTGTGGAAAATACACGGCCCCCCAAACATATGGAAAATTTCGGATGGTAAATGTGACCTCAAACATGGTATTCTCAGAGCATAGGCACCAAAGTTAAATGAGGCTCAAAGGTATTCTGTGGTTCAACTGGCAGGCATTGTAAACAATACAGAAATACTCCCCTGGGGAAATAGGTGGACTATTTCAGCTCATGATAACACATGGCGTCCCATCTCCTTTTCAGATTGTGAAAACAGAAAAGGGGAATGGTTATGCCCTCAGTCCACTTAGAACCCTAATTTTCCCCAACTTAGCCCCTAATATCCACTCCCATAGCACATAACATTTGTTATATGGGAAAGGGCCATTTCTGTGGGAAAGGACAACAAAATGAAAGTATAGAATCATATGACTTCTCCTTTAAAGAACATTGTTTTCTCTCCCAAACACATACCAGTATATAGTGCAATACAAGTGGTGTGAAAAATAGGTGTGTCTACTGTTAACAAATCCTGTAACAATTTAGATATAGAACACCAGGCATTTGTTGCACTTGATTTATACCCTCGTCAGGATGTTATACCTATGGAGACCAATTGGCCCGAAGTAAACGAAGCTGCACCCTTACTACCTTGGGCACATGTTCTGAGGACCTCCTGAGGGCTCTTCAATATATTGCAGAGTTTGACTGCTTTACTCAACAAGGTACTGGGGATTAGGGTAGAAATACACCGATGTGAAGGACGGCGCCATTTCTCAACTCACAGAAATAAAAGAAGAGAAAACACCTGGAGAAGGAGGAGGAGAAGGGGGAGGGGAAAGGCGAGAGGAGGGGGAAGGGAAGGGGAGGGGAGGAGTGGAGGAGGAGGAGGAGGAGAAGGAGGAGGAGGAGGAGGAGGAGGAGGAGCAGCTGCTGAGCCTGGAGCTCCCGCCAGCCCCTGGGTGAGTCCTTGAGGTGGAAGAAGAGGGACTTGGTCCTGAGCCTGCCCCGGATCCACCCGCACCAGAACCCTAGAATCCCAGTTTCTGGATGGGACCCAGTCCCACCCAGGCCAGACACTCCCTTGACCCGGAGCCCGGGCCCTGCCTGGCCTCTGCTGCCACCTCTCATGACAGAGTCCAGGGCCCCCGCGCCACCTCCGCATCAGCAGGGCTCTGGGAGGGCGGGGCCAAAGACGCCCAATGGGACTTCCCGTCCGTAGGGGGATCCTGACGCCCTAAGGGCGCAGAAAGGCGCCCCCTGCACTGGGGCGGCCATCTTCGCTCTCGCAGAGGAAGGGGCCTCTCCAGCGCCCAGACTCAAAACCTCCCCGGAGGCCCGGGCTGGTGAGGACGCCCTGGCTGGGCCTCTCATGTGGACGAAGGCTGCTTCCGCCCCAGCCGAGATACAAAACTCTGAGGAGAATCAAACCTGAAAAGGTGCCTGTCCTCCTTCCCAGAGGGGAAAGGCAGTTCCTGAAACCTCAGTAGAAGAGAAAACGCTGTGAGGGCTCGGGGGACCAAGGACACTCTTCCCAGGCCAGCAAGGCCAGAGTAGGAGAAAGCTGCACCCACCTCCAGGGAACATGTGAGGTTTTAGAGGGTCAGGCAAGTCAAGGGCAAACGCCCTGTACTCCCCCCGGGGTCATGAGCACTCCCCACCTACTGGGGTTGGGCTCAGGGAGGCCAGGACATTATCCCCGCATCTCCCCTGCCTCCAGGACCCAGGTTGACTAGGAAAAGGTGGTGGTGGCTCTAGCTGGCCATGGATGCACAGGCTGGGACATGCAGGCCAACAAAGAGGTGCTGGGCCCTCAAGGGGACTGCTAGATTTCCTAGACACTCCAGAGACACAGGGACACCCAGGCAGGACAGGGAGAGCCTGGGAGCAGCTGTGAACAAGCGCAGGTGCCCATCCGAACACACAGAGCCAAGCTCTGTTCAATCACTTGCTAAGCCAGACCCATCCCAGGGCCCAGAGGTGCAAACAGTGACCCCACTCAGGACTTGGAAGGAGGAGCACAGGAAAAGCCCCAAATTGGCCAAAAAAACTGTCAGAAATGTGGCAGTTATTTCATAAGCACGTGAATAATAAACCCAAACAATGGAAAACAAAACTAAACAAAGGCAAGTGTGAATGGAAACGTGATGAGTGAGAGCAGGAGACTGTCTCAGTTGGAAGCAAGCACAGCAGTCACCACTACTTCATTCAATGACGTCAAGATTTATTCAAAAGCATTGGCCTGGGGAGTGTAGGGAACCTGGACTAAAACAAGGAATGGGGCACAGCTTGGAGAAAAAGGGGAGAGTCTCAGGGCAGAAATAGAGCACCAGCCTTAGGAATTATTTATTGTGGCATCAGACCAATGACTACAAGGACATCAGCATGCAAGGGGCGGTGTTAGCCCTGGGAGTGAGCAGCTGTCTTCAGATGAATTTTCAGGCCACATCATGCTGGAAGCAGAACTCTCACATGGAGCAGTCAGGGATTCGATTGAGTGTGGTTGGATGTATGTGGTTAAATAGGAAGAGAAAGTCTAAGGGACATTGTGTGTGAAGTGAAATGTGAATGTTTTATTTGAACTCCCTGCGGTTCTCCCCCTCCCTGCAGCATCTGGAGCCCTCTGCTGTTGAAGACAGTGGGTGTTGATGGGAAACAGCAAAGGGGAAGCAAGCGGTCCTTGGAATTACTTTCTCTCCACATTTCAGGGAATGCACTGACTAAGGACTTGGACAATCTCTGACCTATCAATGCAGGGGGTGACTCTTGGTTAAATCACTTCCTAAAGAGACATCTCTGTGCCCTGCTGGGAGGCCTATGGTGAACCCTGTGATAGATCTGGGGACCAGGAGTTGGTGAAGGGGGCATACGGCTGAGGGAGGAGGTGCACAGTAGCTCCATACCATGCAGGCTGAAACTGGAGTTGGCTGGTCTAGGGCGTCCCATGGGACTAGATGTGGGTGGTAGAGGGTAGCGTTGGGGGAAGGCTGCCAGACAGCATGGAATGCACAATGGGGTTACTAGAAGAAAAGGGCTGATCCCAGCTTTGTGGTTTGCTGGGGATATCATCAAGGGCTGGTGATATAGGGGTGCTGCCTCCCCTTCTTCTGCAGGTGAAAGAGGCACATTCTCTCCTTTCATGTCTGAGATGTCTCCATCTTGAGCATGGCACTCCAAGCTGAAGTCATCAATGGAAGGCATGATGTACTGGATCTGCACAGGGGACTGCAGGCCATCTTGTGACCTCAGGATATGCCAGGAACAATCACAAGGACTGTGTTCTCCACGGTCAGCTGCAGCGCTGTCTCTGGGGCCAAGATGAGGATGACCTCTTCCAGGCTCAACCTCACTTCTGTCCCTTGTTCTAGGACTATGATGAGCTCCTCATTGCTGGAATCCTGCTGCTCCCGTGAAAAGATGGCCGTCAGTATTCTCCAAAAAGGCTGCAAATGATGCTGATGCGGAGGGAGTTGCCAGGAGCTTCACCCTCTACAAGTTTAAAATACACTCCCTCCCAGAATTGACTCTCGTGCTGACCCACCTAAATGTACATCCACTGGATGTCTCTTGAGCCTGAAGAGTGTGCAGCACTGTCCAATCTTTGCCATACAAGGACATACGAACTTACCTGGGGAGGTTTCTGGGACGGGCATGAATTCTGGTGTGGAGCTCCTGGAATTGAGGGTGTTTTGCAATCTTTGCCATGCAATGACATAATAACTTACCTGGGGAGGTTCCAGGGACTGGCCTGAATTCAGTGTGGAGCTCCTGGAATTGAGGGTGTTTTTGCACCTGCAGAGAGATCACAGTGAGGGAGGTTAAGGCTCTTCCAGCAAGAGTCTCTTGGATTTCAGAATATGACCTTCAGAAATCCACAACCCAGCACAGGCCAGCCTCAGGACACCAGCCCCCATCAATCAAGCATGACTTTCCACTCATCCTGCAGAAAGCACCCTCTCCTTTTATAAGATTGTGAGACATGACACTGACCTCCAGGCAGGGAGATCTTAAGAAATATCAGGGAAATTGCCTTACCTATACTGGTACCCTGCTCCACTTGGTGACGTTTGGGTGGATTCATTTGCGTGGTAGCCAAGCTGCAGGACAGAAAGGGATCCGTTAGTCTTCCACACAGAGTCTAATTCTCACAAGCCCAAAACTCCATTTATCATCCAGCACACATTCTTTCTGTGTCCCTCAGTCAAGTGCACTTGTGTTGGGCTCCAAATCCTACCTGCATCCAGTAAGTCCTAATGCTCATCTCCCCTCCTCAACTTTTCTAATGGCTTTTCCTATCGGTGAATGTGTGTGATAAGGGATGGTGACCACAGGAAACAGTTTGCTTTCTCAGGAGCTCATCCATCTGAGAAGGGACATCTAATTTGGTCTGAGGATTTTCAGGGAAGACGTTGTTATTTCAGGTATCTGAGCACCGTGTCTGTGCAGTTACAGTGTGAATGGAGTGAGAGATGATGGGAAATGTTTCATTTTCTAATGAGCACAGGGAAGAAATTTAGATCATGCCCACAGTTTACCTGTCTCCGCACAAGAGGTGACTTTCATTTAGAGAGGGAACATAGATCGACAGTGGGAGGAAACCTGAGATGAGCCCCCTGACAGGTCCAGAAACCCCCCATGCTGGCAGGATCCTATGGCCTCCACTGTGGGTCTCATGTCTCCGGCAGGTGTTCTAAATTTATAACGTTCAATGTCATGGCAGGCCAGGGTGCTTTCTCTGCCCTAGTTTGACCCTTTATCACACATTCACACCACACACACACACAAATGCACACAGTCACACATAGTCACATGGCAACCTCCTGGCAACCCAAGGTAAACACACACTAACATACCTGCTCTCTCCTTCATTGTCATTCTGCGATTCTGTCCAGGAATCACTAAGGCTTCTTTGGCGCCAGTAACCATACATGGTAAAGGTTCTCTAGACTCACTTGTATCAGAAAATTTCAATCTTCATCTTATTTTCTTATAAATCTATACAGTCTATGACTTGATCTTTTACTTTTCCTGAAGAAGATGATCAGCTCGGCACATCCAGAACATGGAATAGTGTGCCCTGGCCTGGGACAGGTTGAATGACGCTATGGTAGAATGAAATCTTGGGCAAATCCCAAAAGTTTTATAATAGAGAGAGCTGTGGGATTTATCAAAATGGATGAACACGATTGGCTAGTGCTGCTGATTAAGTAGTAGGACCTGCATGGGAGTGCTTTTATCAAAACTCAAGTGATATGGGTGTGCCCCTGTTAGAATTAGCCTAATCTAATCAAAATCAGTCTAATGTAACCTCTACTCTGATTCACCATAGAAATGTGATATAAAATATCAGCATTTTAAAATAGTGCTATTTACATTCTATTGTATACTATTCATTAATTAGGAAAGACAATTATTTTCTGTAAGTTTCATGTGCATAATCATTTCTGGGTAAACATAAAGGATTGGTTCTAGGAAACTTTGAAGGTAACAATATTTGTGGATGCTCCACTTCCTTGTATAAAGTGGTAGAGAATTTAGATGTAACTTACTCATATTAATTCATATAGCTTAAATTATCTCTAGATTACTTATAATACCTAATACAATGCCCAGACCTTACATTACTTACGTGTTCTCAACAAAGAATTTGGTGAAGGGAAAATTCAAATTTTTTTTTGTCGGGGGGTGGAAATTGTGTAAATATTTTCTGAATATTTTCTATTCAAGTTTAGTTGAATCCATGGAGCTGGAACCCATGGATGTGGAGGGCTGACAGTATTTTTTTTTTTTTGAGATGGAGTCTCACTCTGTCTCCCAGGCAGGAATGCAGTAGTACGATCTCGGCTCACTGCAAGCTCCACCCGCTGGGTTCAAGTGATTTTCCTGCCTCAGAGTACCGAGTAGCTGTGATTACAGGCATGTGCCACCACGCTTGTCTAATTTTTGTATTTTTAGTAGAGACGGGGTTTCACCGTGCTGGCCAGGCTGGTCTCAAACTCCTGACCTCAAGTGATCCATCTACCTCGGCCTCCCAAAGTGCTGGGATTACAGACGTGAGCCACCGCTTCTGGTGACAGTATTTTTAAATAATAAAATAATATGTATTTTAAGTGAAAGAACTTTTAAAATGAATCTCCTGGGGAAAGTTATCCAAACATAATAGGCTCATATCATAAGATGAGCTGGGAAAAATACCAAAAGGACCTTTACTTAATTTCTAATATATCACTATGTGCTAATCTGTCTGTTGGCTTATTTCTTGCCTGTATCCCCCACTGGAATGGTTTCAGAATTATAATGCAAGTTTCCCTTTCAACATTACTTATTAATTAAAAATCCATGATTTCCATGGACAAAGTCACCTAAACTTCCATCAGGAGGCCAGACACCAAATGCCCAAACTCAGAGTTAATCATTTTATGATTAAAAATTATTTGACAACATAAAAAAGGTTGGATGGTAATGGGGAGAAAAGATGACCAGTAAATACCAAAATTGAACTAAATGGAAATTCTGTGAGGCTGCACCATTACTGAATGTGCCGTCACTAACAGGCCCTTGAGCTCAGGATGTCATTCTCTCCCTAGAAATTGTATAAATTTGTTTGTAGATTCTTTCCATTTAGCTGATATCCTCCTCAGTCTTATTAGGTGAAGTACAGGCCCTGCTAACTTCTTAAAAGCGCCCACGGCGGACCTTAGTGTCTTTATTCAGAGGTCTGTCTGCTTTGTGGATTTCGGTCTTTTCTGAGCAGAACAGCAGATACTTTGCTGAAGATCAGATGTAGTTTGTTTGTTTGTTTTTCAGACGGAGTTGTGTTCTGTTGCCCAGGCTGGAGTGAGGTGGTGCAGTCTGGCTCACTACAACCTCTGCCTCCCAGGTTCAAGCGATTCTCCTGTCTCAGCCTCTCGAGTAGCTGGGATTAGAGGTGTGCACCACCATGCCCGGCTACTTTTTGTATTTTGGTTAGAGACGGGGTTCCACCATGTTGGCCAGGCTGGTCTCAAACTCCTGACCTCAAGTGATCTGCCCATGTCCGCCTCACAAAATGTTGGGATTACCGGCATGAGTCATGGTGCCCAACCAGATGTAGTTTTAAAGTTGGGTTACTTGGCCGGGCACGGTGGCTCATGCCTATAATCCCAGCACTTTGGGAGGCCGAGGCAGGCGGATCAGGAGGTCAGAAATTTGAGACCAGCCTGGCCAACATAGTGAAACCCCATCTCAACTAAAAATACAAAAAATTAGCTGGGTGTGGTGGCGGGCACCTGTAATCCCAGCTACTCGGGAGGCTGAGACAGGAGAATAGCTTGAACCCGGGAGGCGGAGGTTGCAGTGAGCGAAGATCACGACATTGCACTCCAGCCTGGTGACAGTGCGAGACTGTGTTTAAAAAAAAAAAAACGGGTTACTTCTCTACATTCTCTCTGGTTGTGGGGATCAGGTTAAGATATTCAAGAAACAGCTTACACTGAGGGTTCTGGAGTATGCATATTTTATGGTCAAGAAAGAGGCCCCTCATTGTGAGTTTGTGTGTGTCAATTCTAGCTGAAAACCTAGTAGAAGAAGAAAAATATGAGGGACTTGCCAAATATTCTACCTTTATAATCGCTTTGGCTATAAACAAAATGTGTTTTAACCAATAAATTAATAAAGTTATAGCTTAAAAATCTCAGGATATATCCTGCAACACAGAATAATGACTTATTTTTGAAGAAATATTTAAGCAATATATTTTCATTTGGGGTCCAAACTTGTTCACAAGTGTACCTCTTCCCCTTGCCTTTGAAATTAAAACCATTTTTTACATCTGCAGTGCTGTGATGAAGAGAAAGATGTGGTTCTGAATGCTTTATCGTCAACAACTGAATGTTGAATTAATGTCCCTCTCTTTCATTGTCTATTTTTCAGTGACTTTAGCACTGTAGGAAAGATGAGCCCCTCACAATGTGGAAATGCACGGAGGCAGAGCGCGGGTTTCCCTGCAAGGGCCCCTTTCCCACGGGCTGCACTGAAATTGTGTGGCCCTGCCCTGACCCGACCCCTTCCTCTGCAGGGTCCCCGTATTCTGTAGATTTTCCTCACAATTCTTCTTGTTTCTCCTCACAATCAATCCTCAATGAGGTCACAGGGAGGACATGTTACAGCCTGCTTCTATTATCTATCAGAAAGCCCTCCCTAACCCCAAATTTATACATTTGTAAAATAATGCTAAAGTATCCCAACAGAAAATACAGAATAAAACACGTGGCAACAGCCCTGAAAATGAAGTCTTTATGGCTGTTTCAGAAAAATATCCGGGATACTCTGCAGCGAATCTCCCTTCTCAGCAGTTAGGGCTGCGGACAGGAAGTTTTCCTCCTGATGGACATCGCCTTAGTTGCCCCAAAGCCAGGGCGGCGCCTCCTCCCTGACCAGAGGAAAGGAAACTCACGTACTTCCTGGAGACCCAGCCCCGCCTCCGCAGGCAGAAAGCGCATGCGCCCCGGAGGGCGGGACGGCGTGTTCCCTCGCCCTCTGCCGGCCATGGGGTTGCAGCGCAAGAGGCTTGGCTTCTACCGCTTAGCGATGGACCTAAGTCTCTGAATGGCTGAAATTCTGGTTTAGATTATTCAGTACCTTTCTTTTGGAGGATCAAATGAAAATAGAGCACGGTATCATTTGCTTTGATGGAAGATAACTGAAATAAAGAAGCAACGTCCAAGGACCATATACAAAAGGCGATTGATTCCCTGTATGTGGACGGAAGAGGAGCTTGAATAAGAGAAGGGTTCTGTGATACTTTAATGCTGGAAAACTGCTGCTATGCATTTGTCAAATCCCATACAATTTTACTGCATAAATAGTACATCTTAATGTGGCTCAGGACTACAGCTTATGTCATATAAGATTTGGGGGAAAATTACTATTTAATTAAATAGGTTAAACTGTGAACAATAATGTGAGCCCTGCCTGGACCAGATGGCTTGCCAAGCAGATGGCCATCCTCATCCTCACACAGTACTTGACAAAAACCCTGGCTTCAGTGTAGAATCACTTGTGGAGAATTTTTAGGATGTACCACTTCCACCCATGAATTAGCCCATTTAATTGGCCTCAGTAAGTCCATGGTTTCAGGATTTTGCAGTTTGCTAAAAGTTCAATGTCATCCCAATTTATTTCCTGGAACCATTTCTCCTTGAAGTTTACATTCAGTACTGAGATTTGCTAAAAGCCAATGCATTTCCAAGTTCTAGAGTCAAATCAGACGACGCCTCCTTGGTCAGAACTTTTATTTTGCTTGCGGAAAAGTATATTGAATCAAATATAAGAAGGGTTTGCATGGTGGCTGAGTGGTTAAGGTGCTTTATCTGCTAGTCCATAGTAAGGGGAGCACAACTGTGTCCTCTGTGTCATAACTCAGGACTCATGAATAAAACGTGGAGTGTCAGGAGATGAACTTCTACTCCCACCTAGGGGAGCTTCAAGGAGAACGTCTCAAGGGCTTTCTGAGGGAAAGAAGAGCAGGGATGCCTAATTCTCTGGCCCCAGGCAGTTGTTCATGGGCAGAGACAAGGGCTGGGGTAATTCAATGGTTTATACTGGGTGTTTTTGATACTGCCCCCATTTCCCTGTTAAATCTGTGTAATGGATCACTGAGAAACCTGGCACCTGGGGCTGAAGATCCCTGTTGTGTCAACTCCAGGGATGGATCCAGAGAAGTGGTTTTGGTGGAAGTTGGAATGAAGGGAGTTTGGCTGTGGGAAGAAAAAAAAGCTGTTGATGATGGGGAAACGGGAAGAGAAGGATGAAATCTCTACTCACATGCTAAGGATAGCTTATGCAAATCTATGTGTCAGACCTGCATAAATAAAACTAGAACTTTAACAACATATTAGATTTTTCAGCAACAGGTTTTATTGTTTCAATATTTGCAAGTATTTTTCTATTAAAAAATAATAAAGTTGCTTACATAATTTTGTATTCAAAATTCCCAGGTCACATAACTGTTATACATTTACACTTCACATTTTTAATGAGTAGATACATTCTCTAAATTATGAATTATTTGCTCAATTGTGTGTTAGTTTTTTCTTTTTATTCTCCATGACTCCGTTTTCTGACCTGAAATCTGCAGTATTTGGTAATCCACAAGATGATCAGTTGCCCTTGTAAAGACTTTCCTTTCCTATTTCCTTCTTAAGAAAGCATTTTTTACTGAGTTTTTTTGGTAACATACCAACGGTGGTACCTGGCTGAATGTTGGTTCACAGTGAGTAGAGACCAAGGCTTCTCTCAAATGGAGTCCCAAATTCTTTACAGAGCTAGGAATTCTCTACTCTGAAAGTCCTGTGTGTTTTAAGTTAGAGCTTTTGCAAACTATTTATTATATTGACAGTTTTCATTCTCATGTCATTCTCATGTCATTTATATTCATTTATAGCACCAAGTGTCCCCTCCTACTTGGAGAGATAATTTTGTTCTGTAGTTAGTTTAAAAAGTCTTGACTCTCCCCTCATCAAGCTGCCTTGTCATTCTGTACTTGGGTCTTGGGGCAGGCAAGGTCAGTAGGAGATGCCAGTAGAGAGTAACCACCACTAGCTTCACAAGAATGATGTGCTGTGACGAATTGTGATAGGGTTTTTCCTTCTCTTTGCCCTAAAGATTCTATACCATATTTCATGCTCTGGAGCAAGAGCAACTTCTTTCTCATGGTTTTAATCACAATAATCTGATTTCAAGCATTTAATTCCTTTTTTTCCAGAACAACTCATTGAATTATCAAAAATATGAAATTAAGGATACCTACTTATTGGCTTGAACTAGCTCTGAGCAATTTAGTAATCATGAACAGAATGGCTCTGCTAGAACAAAATTCCTGATCACTTCAGCCCATCCTTGAAAATTTGCAGAGAGAGGTCAAGGGAACATACACTTCCCTGAAAATTGTATTTTACAGACCCAGTTAAAAGGCCATGTAAGGAAATAATGGAGACAGTAGAAGAATAGACTTACTGATTAAACTAGGTTTTGACTGTTAATATAAAAAAACCAATACCCTTTCCAAGAGCACATTGAAATAGTGTAAAATACTAAGTACTAAAAGATATTTCCAAAATATAATAAAGACTAAAAATCTAAAGAGGCCTCATCATCTGAATCTGAAACAAAAGAGAATATTATTAAGACTTTTTAAAAAAAACCCTAATGAATTGGGGATCTCTTTCCTTTACTCCTCTGCTGTGGTTGGTCAGAATCCCCTTTCTATTCTGTCCTCCACCTCTCTCCTGATTCTCTTTGTCTGTGTCATCTATCCCACTATTTCTTGCCCACGTAACTTTCACTATTTTTTTCAACACCTTCTACAAAGCTTCTAGAACTCTTTCACTATCACTGCTTTTCAAAATCCATCAGAGACAGCTTCCCAATACTCAACGTTACCTTCTTTTTCAACCTCACTCTCCCTAGCTCCCTGGCTCTCTGGTTCTCTTTTGGCCTCTCTTTTTCTCCTTATGCCCTGGCTTCACATCTACATTCACAAGAAGAGAATGAAGAAGCCCCCTTCCCAATAAGAGCACGCCTTACACTGGGACTCCAAAATCTAAGCACACCCTGACAGGCACAGCCAGTGGAATGAGATCTGGGACAGAAGATCACAGGGCGTCACAGGACTGTGGCCGGTGATGTCCAAGCCGAGGGGGTTCAGGGGCCTCCCCGAGTCTGTGACTAAGGAAAGGCCTGAGGGCAGCAGGGCAGTGTCCCAAGAGACGCGAGGATGAAGGAGGGGTGCGGGCAGGGTGGAGGGCCTTAGAAGACTACTGATGTCTAAGAAATCCCAAAGCCAGCGGGAGGTTGTGGCCTTCCTCCTCCTGGCTTTGCCCACAAAGGGCCGCGAGGGGTGAGAATCCACTTCCGAGTGGGGACTTAGACGGGGCACTGGGTGGGGAGGGGAGAGGGTGAAAAGACAAAAGACACAAAAGCATGGCGGGGCACCAACCTCCCAGTGTCTGACAGCGACGTAGGGCTACTGCGGCTGAGACACGTAGGTGCGGGGATTGTGACGTCGGCAGTGACACCAGACGCCAGATCCTAGGTGTGGAGGATGGTGACACGGAGTTGTGAACAGAAAATATCAAAGTCCACTCCAGGAAAGGGGCCTTTCATCCGGAAAACCTGCATCCGGGTCCGCCGGAACCTGCGGTCTCAGGATGGGGTAGTGGGCCAGAAAGAGGGCAGAGCCAGTGTGGACCAGGCCTCAGCATCCCTGCTCTGTCCCCAGGGCGTATCGGGATCTGTCCCCACTTCCGGCCAGTGCAGCCTTGGTCTCCGCGTTTGCCACAACGCGAGTGTTTTACGTGCAGTGGGGCTAGGCTGCTTCCACCAGTTGCAAGTTGAGTGTTTCCGACATTTTATGGTCAGGGTAGTCAGACCACTTACAGTGGTTGATGACCCGGTTCATTCTGCACAAATTAAAAACAGTTTAGGAGGCTGGGTGCGGTGGCTCGCACCTGGAATCCCAGCACTTTGGGAGGCTGAGGTGGGCGGAGTTTGAGACGAGCCTGGGCAACAGAGCGAGACCTTGTTTCTACAAAAATACAAAAACTTAGCCAGGTGTGGTGGTGGGTGCCTGTGGCCCCAGCTCCTCCAGAGGCTGAAGCATGAGAATCACTCGAGCCCAGGAGGTCGAGGCTGCAGTGAGCCGTGATGGGGCCACTGCACTCCAGGCGGAGCAACAGAACGAGACCCCGTCTCAAACCAAACCAAACAAAACAATAACAACAAAAGTTTATGGCAGAAGTTCTTCTTCCTCTCTAGCGTGAGTGGGTGGAGCTGCACATCTTGAGTGGAGCAGGTCGTGGCGCCTTCACGACCCAGGGACCCCTGGCTGGAGGTGGCTGGACCAGGACCCCCACCAGCCCAGTCAGAACGGGCCATTTATTGTCAGAACTACAATGTGAATTGCCACAGTTGGCCGGTGGGGAGCGTGGAAATTCACACCAAGGATGAGGAATGTAGGTTCCTTTTCTACTCCTCAATCACCCGGGAGGCAGGGACAAAAGCAAGGGCTCTGTTCCAGGGACTTTTTGGGCCAGGACCTGAGCTGGGCCCAGGAGGCCCGAATCATTGCTTTAAAAGAACAAAAGTTACTGTGTATATTAATAAATTCCTTTATCCATCTTTATATTTAATGTGTTCTTTTCACATTTCTTAAGATGAATCATAAATCTGAATTCCTTTGAGACAAACGTGGATGACATCCCCTAATTTTCTTAGGTAATCGTTTTAGAATATATTGTAATTTCACATATTTCAGTGTTCTCAGCGCTGTTTGAAAAAATATTTTTAATTTAAAATATGGGATAGTTTAATGTTTTGTTTTCTGTTTCAGAGTATTTTGTGTCAACTATGGGTATTGAGGCATGTAAAATGCGTACCTTTTAGGAAATACATGATTTTGTTTAGAACTAATGAAAAATTAAATGTTCAATATTTCCATGGACATTTACCAAGGGATGTCTACTCTCACACAAGAACATTTTTTAAAATAGCAAAACTGCATTTTCAATTTTCAATAGGCCCATTAATATCCTTAATAAATGTTAAAGTGAAATATGTAAGTTAGCATTTCATTTTCTACATTTCCTGATTTTCCTTTTTCTTAAGTGCATGCTAGCTGGATTTTGGAAAGACCAAATCCCAACTGTTCACACTGCAAAGATTTCTCAAAGATTATTTCCAAATGAGGGTACCCTTCTGGTTTTCCCATAACTAATACCAGTTTCTTTAAATTTTAAGTTTTTTTTTAAAAAAAATCAATATTTTGATTCAAAACGGACTTAAAACTTGAATAGCTTCCCTTAGGTAATTGAACAGAAAGAACACTGGGATTCATCAGGGTACTTGGGGGATCAGCCCTGCTCACTGCTTCTCCAGATTTCCAGAGCTAAGTTTGTTAAGTTTGTTTCCCCTGAGCTGAGCTCATACCTCCCATAACTGCTGGGAAGTGGACACAGATTAAGGAGCCAGGATTGTATGCAATTTCAGTTGAAGAAATTCATACATCTGAGCCTTCCCATTTAGTTTTTCTGCAGCTCCCTCTCTCTTCACATAGGAGCCAAGTAATGTAGCTCTGCCTGTATGTACCGTTCAGACACTTCGACCTTCTCTACCAAATATTTTGTTTTTTGGTTTCTACAAAATATGAGTTTGGGGAGTCTTCAAATAGACTGAATTGATTCCTCTTGAGTCTGCACGGGACACACATTGTCTACATTTGGAAGCCCCTTACGAGAAACTAACCCACTAAATGAATGTCTGGGTAAATTAAGGTCTGCTCACTGTGTCTCTGAGTCTCTGATTCCATGCCTAGAAAATGGATCTGATAAAAGACGAGGAGTGGGCTGGGCGCGTTGGCTCAGTCCTGTAATCCCAGCACTTTGGGAGGCCGAGGCGGGTGGATCACGAGGTCAGGAGATCGAGATCATCCTGGCTAACGCGGTGAAACCCCGTCTGTACTAAAAGTACAAAAAAATTAGCCGGGCGTAGTGGCGGGTGCCTGTAGTCCCAGCTACTCAGGAGGCTGAGGCAGGAGAATGGCGTGAGCCAGAAGGCGGAGCTTGCATGAGCCAAGATTGTGCCACTGCACTCCAGCCTGGGTGACAGAGCAAGACTCCGTCTCAAGAAAAAAAAAAAAAAAAAAAAAAAAAAAAAGCTGAGAAGTGAAGTGAAAAAAATGACAATACATTGAAGCATAATTTTTAAAATTATGATTTATGATTACTATCTAAAACAAGATTTTCCTGTCCTACCTTAGAAAATTTCCTTAGCTTTTCCAGAAGAAACTACAACTCTACCAAAGCACAATGGTTGTAGGAAGGCTGTTTGATTGGGTCACTAAGAAGTCCTGATGAGAAGATGGTCCATCTAAAATGCAATGCAGTGTATATAAGGCAACATGTGTCCACATCACTTCCTGGGCATAACCAGCCCTACCTCCTCAGAGGGGATCTGATCCTAATGCACATGCATTTCCTTGGACAAAGGTAGGGAGTCTGATTCAGAGCTGCTCCAAAGCCTGTCCATGCAGAAGACTTTATACCTGTAGTTCTTGTTCCTACCTTGAATGTGAAGGAGTACACTCAGTTTCAGAGTGAGAGTTTTGATCTCTGTAAGTTCTATTTGAAAAGACCAGCGGTTGACCAAAAAAAAAAAAGAAAAAAAAAAAGAGGTACAGCCAAGGATTGGAATAAAGTCATAGGAACAGAGTCAAGCCCAGAAGAGCAGCAGTATTGAAGGACAATGGGTTAGGTTGCTAAGATTGATGGTGATCCTTATAAGTCAGCCTGTTACACTGTTTGCCTTGGGTCAACAGAGCTTTGTCATAGCTCTCTCTTGTAAGTTTCTTAAAATCACTAAAGAGGCTTGCTTGAACTCAGGTGTCTGAGATCAGCCTGAGCAGTATAGTAACACCTCATCTCTACTAAAATAAAAAAATTTAGCCAGACATGGGGGCATGTGCCTGTAATCCCAGCTATGATGGTGCCACTGCACTCCAGACTGGGAAACAGAATGAGACCCTGTCTCAAAAAAAAAAAAAAAAAAAAAAATCAGGAAAGTGCCCCATTTTCTACTACTCAGATCCTGTTGAGTTTCAGTGATGAAGGAGAGGTGGATCCAGACACCTGGAGCACCTCTTACTGCAGTTCATCTAAGTCAGCCTTTACCTGGCCCGCTCTGCTGTTCACACAGCCGGAAGGGCTTGTGCACGGGTTAGAAGACTACAGTTCTCTCTGTCATCAGTTTTCCTGGTTTCTCATACAGCCCCTTCTCCACATATAGATAGTGGAGATTTTGCCCAGGGGATTCCCTCAAGGTCTCAGTTTCATTAAACTTGTCAAGGCTTCCACAGATTGTTTTGCCACCTAGTGAGACTTGTTTCGAAAAAAAAAAAAAAAAAAGTGAAATGGGAAAAAAATTAAGTGGCAAATGAGAATGATAATAGTCCTCACAGGTGAAGGTGTCCACAGAGACAGAAGATAGGTGGCTTCATTTTGGTCAGCAGCTCACCTGGGCCAGTGGAATGTCTTTGTTTGGATGAAAAGGACCTTTCTATACCTCGACATAGACAATCAGGGACAGAAGTGCACCATATGAGCAGAATGGCTTTCATAAGAGAACAGAGAGTCCTTAACATTTTCGGTTCAGTTCCCCAGAAGAATGAAAGTGAGCAGTTTTGAATGGAAATAATTGTCAAATGGGAACATAAACTACAAATATATTGGCAACAAAGGAAGTTTAGCAGCAATACTCCTTCAGTTTCAGTTAAAGTGATTTACGCTAAGTTGATAAACCAGTTGGTTTAAATGGTCACAGGACATTTTGTCTGTGAAACCTCTCTGGACCCCAGTGACTCCAGTCGTAATTAGTCTAAATGCACATGTTCTAAACTCCCACAGGTCTCGGATCAGGATGTAGAACTTAACACATGGAATGTTCATTTGCTGTACATGTGTCTGTCTACCCAATAAAGTTTGAGCTTCTGTTCCTGGGGTTGAGCAAGGTGAACCACTTGGTCATGCCCTCTCCATACCTCCTTTACAAATGGAAAAGTGCAACACAGTGATATGCCACTGGACATGAAGGCAGCAATCCTGGATTTGAGCCTGAATCTATTTCTGCAACTAACTGGAGGTGTGTGACAGAGATCAATGGATCTCAGATGCTTCTGTGTTCAGTGATCAACAGGTCTCAAATGTCACTGTGCAGGAGACTTAATTGGAAAAGTCATTTTACAAATTTAGATTCTGAAGAGATCCCCATTTGAAAGTGTTAGAGTGGGGCATAGAGCTCTAATTATAAGTATTCTAGGCTAGTTACACTGACTATAATTAACCAATATAGTTCTGGAAGCAGGGACTTAAGTGATCTCTAAGGCTACTTCTAGTTCTAATATTTGAGTGTTCTAAGGATTCGTAGACATCTGAATATAAATCTTAGACTAATTTTTATGGTTTTTCAATTCACATGGGTGTGTGTATGCTCGTGTGTGTGCTCATACATCATGAAAAAGTAGAACTATTCCTTTACTTCATGCAAAGTTCAATCCACAAATTATAAGTAAATTTTAGATAATTGGCAGTGAGGATGAATTTGTTAACACCAAGTTTGACAGAGTAAGAGCAGAGGCTGAAGATAATAAGACACTGATCTAGAACAACATCAGTGAGGAGAAAGAGGGAAGGAGATAATTGCATTAAGATTTACAGGGATTAATAAGCAATTTATGCAGATTAATGTCATGAGTAAATTGTGTGACTTATTCAGAAAAGTAAGCATTCCTGAGTAAACCTCTACTTTTAACCTGAATGTCAAGTAAACGATAGTAATATTTTCTAAGATTTAGAATATTAAATGAAGGCCAGATTTGGAAGCAAACCAATAAATTGCAATAAAGACATTACCTTTGAAGTGCCTATCAGAAATCCACTTAGAGTAGCTCAGTAAACTTAAATTGGATACACAAGTAATGGAAGGTTGAAAAGGCACAGAGATAACCATACAAAAGGGATATCGCCTTTTAACATATAGGAACAAAGGAGTAAAGTTACTCTCATGGGCTAGCGCCCAAAATTATCTTACTTGTACGCAGCTAGAGCTTGAACCTATGAGGAGGAGACACAGTACCAGGTGCCCATGTCTCCTAGTGGGTTACACCACATCAGTCACGCTTAAAATTTGAAGGGAGCAATGCTCAATGACTGATGTGCAGGCAAATGAGGCAGAGGCACTTGATAGCCAGTGTTCAGACTTCTGAGGAGGAGACATGGTCCAACAGGTGCTTGGATAGACAAGGTGCATAGAAAAGCAGATTGTAGCTCAGCCGGTCCTCTTAGAACCAAGGAGGTAGAGCTAGGATGCTGCTGGTCCTTTTCTGGCATATTTGTGGGGCTGCTGAGAAAGTGGAAAGAATATAAAGCCTGAAGCCTGGAGCCAACCATCTGCTGCTATTGGAATGGGGCTGACAAAAACGGCATAGAACAGATGCCTTCACTCTTGGTCTTGTTTTCCACTCTCCTGCTAATACCTTTCATTAAAGGTGCTAACAAGAAGCTAACTGGCCAAGCAGTATAACAAATGCTGTTTTCAGAGTCCCAGCACAGCACCACAGAGCAGAGTAAAGAAATCATAAAAGTAAAGAAGTAACACCATGTCATTAGTCCATAAAGAGTGGGAACCATGAGAATGGAGGAGATTGTTTGGAGATAACACGTATAATAAGAAGAGAATGAAACATAGGTGAAAGCAATCCTAGCCAAGAGAATATGAGGAACAGTCAGCAAAGAAGACTGAGAATGTGTGGAGAAGACAAAGAGAAATGTCCAGCAGACAAACATTCTCACGGCCAGAAGAGAGAGAAATTAAGGTGCAGGAGATAGATCACCTTGTAAAATGTTTCAGAAAGGGCCTGAAGGATGAATACTGGCCATAGGTCACTGGAGTTGGCCCTGGTAATTTATTAAGAGAAAAACTACTATTAACTGACTAAGGAGGTACCTGGTACCTTTATAAAGAGAAATTCCAATAGTATGATGAGAGCTAAAATAATCTTCTTCTTCTTCTTCTTCTTTTTTCTTCTTCTCCTTCTTCTTCTTTTGAAACAGGGTCTCTTTTTTTTTTTTTTTTTTTTGAGACAGAGTCTCCCTCTGTCACTCAGGCTGGAGTGCAATGGCATGATCAGGCTCACTGCAGCCTCAACTTCCAGGGCTCAGCCCCCAAGCAATTGGGGCTATGGGTGTGAGCCACTATACCGGGCTTTTCTTTTCTTTTTTTTTTTTTTTGAGACGTAGACTTGCTCTTGTCACCCAGGCTGGAGTGCAATGGCATGATCTTGGCTCACTGCAACCTCTGCCTCCCGGGTTCAAGCGATTCCCCTGTCTCAGACTCCCAAGGAGCTGGGATTACAGATGCATGCCACCACGCCTGGCTGCTTTTTGTATTTTTAGTAGAGACGGGGTTTCACCAGGTTGGTCAAGCTGGTCTCAAACTCCCGACCTTGTGATTTGCCCACCTCGGCCCCCCAAAGTGCTGGGATTACAGGCGTGAGCCACTGTGCCCAGCCTAAATTTTTAAATTTTTGTAGAGATGGGGTCTCCCTATGTTGCCCAGGCTGGTCTCGAACTCCTGGGCTCAAAGGATCCTCCTGTCTTGGCCTCCCAAAGTGCTGAAATTGCAGGCATGAGCCTCCATGCCTGGCTTTAAGAGATTTCTATAGGTTGAGAAGGAAACAGGGTATAAAAACACTGGAGACAGGAAATGTATGCTATATTTCAAGTCATTTGACTGACAGAGAAAGAAGAGGAAAAATAAAAAATGAAGAAACGAGAAAGTCTAAACACACTTAGATTCTCAAAGGCAGTTAGTTTTATCTGAGACAATGTTTAAGGAATTTCTAGGGAAAATGCAGAACAGAAAAATCCTCTGATTGAAACAGATAACTTTACATATTTTCCTCCAGCATAGTTTTCAGAATAAGAAAATTAGCACCATGAAGACAAGTGGCAATACCAGAAGATCTTTCAAAACACATTTTATTTTTTATTTTAAAACATTTTACACGTTGTCTTGTTCCAGATTTTTTTTCCTCTTTTATTTACATCTCTACAGGAAGCCAGCTTAACTGAATAGAGAAGGACATTTTCTAGAGCAGCGCAGAGGGATTTTACTTCTTCTGTTCTGGGATGGTGTACTATAAATCTTCTACGATGAAATGGTCTGTGATATATGCTTTCTTCTGCTGGAAAGCTGGGACTCCAAATTTTGGCAAATTAGGGAAAAGGTAAGCCTCAGTTTGCCATTGTTATGCTCTGAAAGGGCAGGGTTTGCAGGATTACAAAAGAGATTCTTAGAAAGTGTCTTTTTTTCTTTCTATGGTTTTTTTTTTTTCAGTTTGTTTCAATTTCTTCCTCCATTTAACTGTTCACCTGAACCCGCTGAGAAACGTTCCATCTTTAGGACTGCCTTTTGTTGTTCTATTATCTTCCAGCCTGCTATTTTGTGGACATGCTAAGCAGACAAGTCCAGAAAGCCCGAAGTTGGAATATAAATGTGACTAAGTCAGTAACTGTATAATCTTCTTCAGTCTCACTCTCCTCATTTGTAATAAGGGCACTGAATTCGATGACCTTTGGGGAACTTACTGCTTCAGAAACCCATGATTTGATCAATTCTCACTGCAAATGGCCAGAATGAAGATGTTGCTCAAGCTACAGCCAACTTGAATTTTGATATGGGTGCATTTCATTCTAAAACTTGATGTTTTAGATCGAACAGGTAAATGAACAAGAATCTAAAGAGTTCCTACCTATAAAAGAGAGAAAGGAGTACATGACAGTGATACTGCTGAAGCAGCCACAATGAGCATCTAGCAGGTATTCCGTTTACTGAGAGGTTCAATCTGCTCACATTATAGATACCAGAATCCTGGCACAGAGGGCCCAATGTCCTACATCTGTTTAAAGCCAGAGCTATGACTTTAGAACTCAATTCACCTGAGTGCCAGTCCAACCATTCCATTCCATCTGTTTTATCTGTGTATTCAATGGCTCACATTTATATAAAGTAAAAGAAATCATTAATAGGCCCTGTGTCAGGAACTGAGAGTGCAAAGGTCAACAAGATATAGTGTCTGCCTGGAAGAAGTTCACAGCCTAGGAAGGGTATCTCCTTGTAGCACTGGGAACTGGACAGACATGGCTTCAGATAATCCAACCTTTGCAGATCAAAGAGAGATGGTCCAGAGAGATTTATCCCACTGATATCGCAGCCAGAGAATCTTCACCTCTTTGTTTCTTGCAGCTGGTGCTTAGTTTTTAATGTTTCTTTCTGTTTTTGCAGCAAAATGGTGCTAATTCAGCTCTACAGCCCCCAATCTTTACTTCAAAGGTAAGACATTCGGCTTCACAGTGACCTTCCATTCTCTTACTAATTAGTGCTCTATGAATTGCTGTCCTGGCTAAGTAAAGAAAGCAATTTGTCTTCAGTTATCTAGTAATTAGTAACTGTAAGATAAAATTACATCGCCCAGGCCAAATTCAGACTTCCTCATTACCATAACTCCTAGAGACACAGACTATAAACCTAGAAATTAGAAAAATCAGATGTTATCTGAACAGTCATGTCTGAGCTCAGACCCCTGGTACAATATAATCAATGTCCTTATTAAATAGCCAATTGGAAAAAAACAGAAAAGATTTTCATATGTCAAAATCATATCTAGCTTGTACAGAAACAGAATGTTTCTTCCAAGGAAGATGACAAAATACTTTCTAATTCCAATGAACGATCCTTACCAACAGATTTTTTTTCCCCTGTATCCAAATAGTCTCTGATTTATAGCAAAAGTTAAAGATTGTTCTGTTACATTATAGGCAGGCCAATAGTAGATCATATGCCCTGGCATATGATTTCGGAGTCTCACAGTTTTAGGTAGAAAGATAAACAACATGATGCTAGTCCTTCTCAATTTACTGTGCAAAGAACACCAATGGAATCGTGTATTTAGCTCTGGCAAGCAAATTTAGAGAGACATAGGCAATGTGTGTTCATTCATAACAGAGATTAGGTTGAAGAGGAAAAAATATGTCAAAACAGGAATCTTTTTTAATTGGTAAGATACATTCTTAGGAAACAATAGTGGAAGAAGTAGCAGTTCTTCTCAAAAGGAGTAATGTTTATTCCTGGAAATAACAACTTTGGGGGAGAAACAGTACATATTAGCTGCCATATATCTGAAATATTATCATGTGGAATATATTTTGTTAGTGCCAAGTTAAGGCAAAGACTAATGGAAAGAAATTGCAGGGGCTTAGATTTCTGCTCAAATTAAGGAGAAATTTTTGAATAGTCCAAAGTTGAACTTGGGATACTGTGAACTACAGATCACTTAAATTTATCAGGCAACTGGACAATCAGTTGAGACACACACGCACACACATACACACACACACACATATATATATATATATACATGTATAGGGTGTTCAATACTGAATCAGGACAGAGAACAAAAAAATAAGTAGAAGAACAAATGACCAACAATGGTAAACTCTAACATAGCATAGAGTATGTGCCTGCCACTGCTCAAGCAGTTATACAGAGAGATTGTTAAACTGTCCCAAAGCAGTCAGTTTTACCTTCAGACTTTTAGTCATAGAACCTCTGGGTTTAGCTGGACACATGAATACTTAGCTAATCACATCAGCTCCTAGCTTCCTATTTCTATATGTCCACATGAACAAATTTGGAAAAATGAAAAAGGAGTGGAATGATGTGAGCTGCTTCTATGTAATCTTAATCAGGTTCTATACTTTCTAACCCTGCCTGTTAGAATATCCTTGGAACCAAATAAAATGGTCAACTGTTTAGGATGGCAGGGTTGACCTTCAGCCCAAATCACAACATAACTTGGTGAAAAAGAACCCTCTACCCGCACCTAGTCAACTTAGCTATTTTTGGACTTTTACATGAAAGAGAAATAAGGTTTTGTCTTTCTTCAGTCATTCTATCATTAAGATTCTTTATTATAACAAGTTAGTTTCTAATTAATATAACAAGTTTATTCATCTTCAAAACAATGCTATTATTATTATCATTTATAGAATGGCAAGTAAAACACAGGGTGCATACAGCTTATAAAGATTAGCACTGAGATCCAAACTCATATAGTTTGGCCTAATAACCTATGTTTATTACCTTTTGTGGGGAAAAGCAAGAGAGATCAGATTGTTACTGTGTCTGTGTAGAAAGAAGTAGACATAGGAGACTCCATTTTGTTATGTACTAAGAAAAATTCTTCTGCCTTGAGATTCTGTGACCTTACCCCCAACCCCGTGCTCTCTGAAATGTGTGCTGTGTCAACTCAGAGTTAAATGGATTAAGGGCGGTGCAGGATGTGCTTTGTTAAACAGATGCTTGAAGGCAGCATGCTCCTTAAGAGTCATCACCACTCCCTAATCTCAAGTACCCAGGGACACAAAAACTGCGGAAGGCCGCAGGGACCTCTGCCTAGGAAAGCCAGGTATTGTCCAAGGTTTCTCCCCATGTGATAGTCTGAAATATGGCCTCGTGGGAAGGGAAAGACATGACCGTCCCCCAGCCCGATACCCGTAAAGGGTCTGTGCTGAGGAGGATTAGTAAAAGAGGAAGGAATGCCTCTTGCAGTTGAGACAAGAGGAAGGCATCTGTCTCCTGCCTGTCCCTGGGCAATGGAATGTCTCGGTATAAAACCCGATTGTATGCTCCATCTACTGAGATAGGGAAAAACCGCCTTAGGGCTGGAGGTGGGACCTGCGGGCAGCAATACTGCTTTGTAAAGCACTGAGATGTTTATGTGTATGCATATCTAAAAGCACAGCACTTAATCCTTTACATTGTCTATGATGCAAAGACCTTTGTTCACGTGTTTGTCTGCTGACCCTCTCCCCACAATTGTCTTGTGACCCTGACACATCCCCCTCTTTGAGAAACACCCACAGATGATCAATAAATACGAAGGGAACTCAGAGGCTGGCGGGATCCTCCATATGCTGAACGCTGGTTCCCCGGGTCCCCTTATTTCTTTCTCTATACTTTGTCTCTGTGTCTTTTTCTTTTCCAAATCTCTCGTCCCACCTTACAAGAAACACCCACAGGTGTGTAGGGGCAACCCACCCCTACATCTGGTGCCCAAAGTGGAGGCTTTTCTCTAGGGTGAAGGTACGCTCGAGCGTGGTCATTGAGGACAAGTCGACGAGAGATCCCGAGTACGTCTACAGTCAGCCTTACGGTAAGCTTGTGCGCTCGGAAGAAGCTAGGGTGATAATGGGGCAAACTAAAAGTAAAATTAAAAGTAAATATGCCTCTTATCTCAGCTTTATTAAAATTCTTTTAAAAAGAGGGGGAGTTAAAGTATCTACAAAAAATCTAATCAAGCTATTTCAAATAATAGAACAATTTTGCCCATGGTTTCCAGAACAAGGAACTTTAGATCTAAAAGATTGGAAAAGAATTGGTAAGGAACTAAAACAAGCAGGTAGGAAGGGTAATATCATTCCACTTACAGTATGGAATGATTGGGCCATTATTAAAGCAGCTTTAGAACCATTTCAAACAGAAGAAGATAGCATTTCAGTTTCTGATGCCCCTGGAAGCTGTTTAATAGATTGTAATGAAAACACAAGGAAAAAATCCCAGAAAGAAACGGAAAGTTTACATTGCGAATATGTAGCAGAGCCGGTAATGGCTCAGTCAACGCAAAATGTTGACTATAATCAATTACAGGAGGTGATATATCCTGAAACGTTAAAATTAGAAGGAAAAGGTCCAGAATTAGTGGGGCCATCAGAGTCTAAACCACGAGGCACAAGTCCTCTTCCAGCAGGTCAGGTGCCCGTAACATTACAACCTCAAAAGCAGGTTAAAGAAAATAAGACCCAACCGCCAGTAGCCTATCAATACTGGCCTCCGGCTGAACTTCAGTATCGGCCACCCCCAGAAAGTCAGTATGGATATCCAGGAATGCCCCCAGCACCACAGGGCAGGGAGCCATACCCTCAGCCGCCCACTAGGAGACTTAATCCTACGGCACCACCTAGTAGACAGGGTAGTGAATTACATGAAATTATTGATAAATCAAGAAAGGAAGGAGATACTGAGGCATGGCAATTCCCAGTAACGTTAGAACCGATGCCACCTGGAGAAGGAGCCCAAGAGGGAGAGCCTCCCACAGTTGAGGCCAGATACAAGTCTTTTTCGATAAAAATGCTAAAAGATATGAAAGAGGGAGTAAAACAGTATGGACCCAACTCCCCTTATATGAGGACATTATTAGATTCCATTGCTCATGGACATAGACTCATTCCTTATGATTGGGAGATTCTGGCAAAATCGTCTCTCTCACCCTCTCAATTTTTACAATTTAAGACTTGGTGGATTGATGGGGTACAAGAACAGGTCCGAAGAAATAGGGCTGCCAATCCTCCAGTTAACATAGATGCAGATCAACTATTAGGAATAGGTCAAAATTGGAGTACTATTAGTCAACAAGCATTAATGCAAAATGAGGCCATTGAGCAAGTTAGAGCTATCTGCCTTAGAGCCTGGGAAAAAATCCAAGACCCAGGAAGTACCTGCCCCTCATTTAATACAGTAAGACAAGGTTCAAAAGAGCCCTATCCTGATTTTGTGGCAAGGCTCCAAGATGTTGCTCAAAAGTCAATTGCCGATGAAAAAGCCCGTAAGGTCATAGTGGAGTTGATGGCATATGAAAACGCCAATCCTGAGTGTCAATCAGCCATTAAGCCATTAAAAGGAAAGGTTCCTGCAGGATCAGATGTAATCTCAGAATATGTAAAAGCCTGTGATGGAATCGGAGGAGCTATGCATAAAGCTATGCTTATGGCTCAAGCAATAACAGGAGTTGTTTTAGGAGGACAAGTTAGAACATTTGGAGGAAAATGTTATAATTGTGGTCAAATTGGTCACTTAAAAAAGAATTGCCCAGTCTTAAACAAACAGAATATAACTATTCAAGCAACTACAACAGGTAGAGAGCCACCTGACTTATGTCCAAGATGTAAAAAAGGAAAACATTGGGCTAGTCAATGTCGTTCTAAATTTGATAAAAATGGGCAACCATTGTCGGGAAACGAGCAAAGGGGCCAGCCTCAGGCCCCACAACAAACTGGGGCATTCCCAATTCAGCCATTTGTTCCTCAGGGTTTTCAGGACAACAACCCCCACTGTCCCAAGTGTTTCAGGGAATAAGCCAGTTACCACAATACAACAATTGTCCCCCGCCACAAGCGGCAGTGCAGCAGTAGATTTATGTACTATACAAGCAGTCTCTCTGCTTCCAGGGGAGCCCCCACAAAAAATCCCTACAGGGGTATATGGCCCACTGCCTGAGGGGACTGTAGGACTAATCTTGGGAAGATCAAGTCTAAATCTAAAAGGAGTTCAAATTCATACTAGTGTGGTTGATTCAGACTATAAAGGCGAAATTCAATTGGTTATTAGCTCTTCAATTCCTTGGAGTGCCAGTCCAAGAGACAGGATTGCTCAATTATTACTCCTGCCATATATTAAGGGTGGAAATAGTGAAATAAAAAGAATAGGAGGGCTTGGAAGCACTGATCCAACAGGAAAGGCTGCATATTGGGCAAGTCAGGTCTCAGAGAACAGACCTGTGTGTAAGGCCATTATTCAAGGAAAACAGTTTGAAGGATTGGTAGACACTGGAGCAGATGTCTCTATCATTGCTTTAAATCAGTGGCCAAAAAATTGGCCTAAACAAAAGGCTGTTATAGGACTTGTCGGCATAGGCACAGCCTCAGAAGTGTATCAAAGTATGGAGATTTTACATTGCTTAGGGCCAGATAATCAAGAAAGTACTGTTCAGCCAATGATTACTTCAATTCCTCTTAATCTGTGGGGTCGAGATTTATTACAACAATGGGGTGCGGAAATCACCATGCCCGCTCCATTATATAGCCCCACGAGTCAAAAAATCATGACCAAGAGGGGATATATACCAGGAAAGGGACTAGGGAAAAATGAAGATGGCATTAAAATTCCATTTGAGGCTAAAATAAATCAAAAAAGAGAAGGAATAGGGTATCCTTTTTAGGGGTGGCCACTATAGAGCCTCCGAAACCCATACCATTAACTTGGAAAACAGAAAAACTGGTGTGGGTAAATCAGTGGCCGCTACCAAAACAAAAACTGGAGGCTTTACATTTATTAGCAAATGAACAGTTAGAAAAGGGTCATATTGAGCCTTCGTTCTCACCTTGGAATTCTCCTGTGTTTGTAATTCAGAAGAAATCAGGCAAATGGCGTATGTTAACTGACTTAAGGGCTGTAAACGCCGTAATTCAACCCATGGGGCCTCTCCAACCCGGGTTGCCCTCTCCAGCCATGATCCCAAAAGATTGGCCTTTAATTATAATTGATCTAAAGGATTGCTTTTTTACCATCCCTCTGGCAGAGCAGGATTGCGAAAAATTTGCCTTTACTATACCAGCCATAAATAATAAAGAACCAGCCACCAGGTTTCAGTGGAAAGTGTTACCTCAGGGAATGCTTAATAGTCCAACTATTTGTCAGACTTTTGTAGGTCGAGCTCTTCAACCAGTTAGAAAAAAGTTTTCAGACTGTTATATTATTCATTATATTGATGATATTTTATGTGCTGCAGAAACGAAAGATAAATTAATTGACTGTTATACATTTCTGCAAGCAGAGGTTGCCAGTGCTGGACTGGCAATAGCATCTGATAAGATCCAAACCTCTACTCCTTTTCATTATTTAGGGATGCAGATAGAAAATAGAAAAATTAAGCCACAAAAAATAGAAATAAGAAAAGACACATTAAAAACACTAAATGATTTTCAAAAATTACTAGGAGATATTAATTGGATTCAGCCAACTCTAGGCATTCCTACTTATGCCATGTCAAATTTGTTCTCTATCTTAAGAGGAGACTCAGACTTAAATAGTAAAAGAATATTAACCCCAGAGGCAACAAAAGAAATTAAATTAGTGGAAGAAAAAATTCAGTCAGCACAAATAAATAGAATAGATCCCTTAGCCCCACTCCAACTTTTGATTTTTGCCACTGCACATTCTCCAACAGGTATCATTATTCAAAATACTGATCTTGTGGAGTGGTCATTCCTTCCTCACAGTACAGTTAAGACTTTTACACTGTACTTGGATCAAATAGCTACATTAATCGGTCAGACAAGATTACGAATAATAAAATTATGTGGAAATGACCCAGACAAAATAGTTGTCCCTTTAACCAAGGAACAAGTTAGACAAGCCTTTATCAATTCTGGTGCATGGCAGATTGGTCTTGCTAATTTTGTGGGAATTATTGATAATCATTACCCAAAAACAAAGATCTTCCAGTTCTTAAAACTGACTACTTGGATTCTACCTAAAATTACCAGACGTGAACCTTTAGAAAATGCTCTAACAGTATTTACTGATGGTTCCAGCAATGGAAAAGCAGCTTACACAGGGCCGAAAGAACGAGTAATCAAAACTCCATATCAATCAGCTCAAAGAGCAGAGTTGGTTGCAGTCATTACAGTGTTACAAGATTTTGACCAACCTATCAATATTATATCAGATTCTGCATATGTAGTACAGGCTACAAGGGTTGTTGAGACAGCTCTAATTAAATATAGCATGGATGATCAGTTAAACCAGCTATTCAATTTATTACAACAAACTGTAAGAAAAAGAAATTTCCCATTTTATATTACTCATATTCGAGCACACACTAATTTACCAGGGCCTTTGACTAAAGCAAATGAACAAGCTGACTTACTGGTATCATCTGCACTCATAAAAGCACAAGAACTTCATGCTTTGACTCATGTAAATGCAGCAGGATTAAAAAACAAATTTGATGTCACATGGAAACAGGCAAAAGATATTGTACAACATTGCACCCAGTGTCAAGTCTTACACCTGCCCACTCAAGAGGCAGGAGTTAATCCCAGAGGTCTGTGTCCTAATGCATTATGGCAAATGGATGTCACGCATGTACCTTCATTTGGAAGATTATCATATGTTCATGTAACAGTTGATACTTATTCACATTTCATATGGGCAACTTGCCAAACAGGAGAAAGTACTTCCCATGTTAAAAAACATTTATTGTCTTGTTTTGCTGTAATGGGAGTTCCAGAAAAAATCAAAACTGACAATGGACCAGGATATTGTAGTAAAGCTTTCCAAAAATTCTTAAGTCAGTGGAAAATTTCACATACAACAGGAATTCCTTATAATTCCCAAGGACAGGCCATAGTTGAAAGAACTAATAGAACACTCAAAACTCAATTAGTTAAACAAAAAGAAGGGGGAGACAGTAAGGAGTGTACCACTCCTCAGATGCAACTTAATCTAGCACTCTATACTTTAAATTTTTTAAACATTTATAGAAATCAGACTACTACTTCTGCAGAACAACATCTTACTGGTAAAAAGAACAGCCCACATGAAGGAAAACTAATTTGGTGGAAAGATAATAAAAATAAGACATGGGAAATAGGGAAGGTGATAACGTGGGGGAGAGGTTTTGCTTGTGTTTCACCAGGAGAAAATCAGCTTCCTGTTTGGATACCCACTAGACATTTGAAGTTCTACAATGAACCCATCAGAGATGCAAAGAAAAGCACCTCCGCGGAGACGGAGACACCGCAATCGAGCACCGTTGACTCACAAGATGAACAAAATGGTGACGTCAGAAGAACAGATGAAGTTGCCATCCACCAAGAAGGCAGAGCCGCCGACTTGGGCACAACTAAAGAAGCTGACGCAGTTAGCTACAAAATATCTAGAGAACACAAAGGTGACACAAACCCCAGAGAGTATGCTGCTTGCAGCCTTGATGATTGTATCAATGGTGGTAAGTCTCCCTATGCCTGCAGGAGCAGCTGTAGCTAACTATACCAACTGGGCCTATGTGCCTTTCCCGCCCTTAATTCGGGCAGTCACATGGATGGATAATCCTATAGAAGTATATGTTAATGATAGTGTATGGGTACCTGGCCCCATAGATGATCGCTGCCCTGCCAAACCTGAGGAAGAAGGGATGATGATAAATATTTCCATTGGGTATCGTTATCCTCCTATTTGCCTAGGGAGAGCACCAGGATGTTTAATGCCTGCAGTCCAAAATTGGTTGGTAGAAGTACCTACTGTCAGTCCCATCAGTAGATTCACTTATCACATGGTAAGCGGGATGTCACTCAGGCCACGGGTAAATTATTTACAAGACTTTTCTTATCAAAGATCATTAAAATTTAGACCTAAAGGGAAACCTTGCCCCAAGGAAATTCCCAAAGAATCAAAAAATACAGAAGTTTTAGTTTGGGAAGAATGTGTGGCCAATAGTGCGGTGATATTACAAAACAATGAATTTGGAACTATTATAGATTGGGCACCTCGAGGTCAATTCTACCACAATTGCTCAGGACAAACTCAGTCGTGTCCAAGTGCACAAGTGAGTCCAGCTGTTGATAGCGACTTAACAGAAAGTTTAGACAAACATAAGCATAAAAAATTGCAGTCTTTCTACCCTTGGGAATGGGGAGAAAAAAGAATCTCTACCCCAAGACCAAAAATAGTAAGTCCTGTTTCTGGTCCTGAACATCCAGAATTATGGAGGCTTACTGTGGCCTCACACCACATTAGAATTTGGTCTGGAAATCAAACTTTAGAAACAAGAGATCGTAAGCCATTTTATACTGTCGACCTAAATTCCAGTCTAACACTTCCTTTACAAAGTTGCGTAAAGCCCCCTTATATGCTAGTTGTAGGAAATATAGTTATTAAACCAGACTCCCAGACTATAACCTGTGAAAATTGTAGATTGCTTACTTGCATTGATTCAACTTTTAATTGGCAACACCGTATTCTGCTGGTGAGAGCAAGAGAGGGCGTGTGGATCCCTGTGTCCATGGACCGACCATGGGAGGCCTCACCATCCGTCCATATTTTGACTGAAGTATTAAAAGGTGTTTTAAATAGATCCAAAAGATTCATTTTTACTTTAATTGCAGTGATTATGGGATTAATTGCAGTCACAGCTACGGCTGCTGTAGCAGGAGTTGCATTGCACTCTTCTGTTCAGTCAGTAAACTTTGTTAATGATGGGCAAAAGAATTCTACAAGATTGTGGAATTCACAATCTAGTATTGATCAAAAATTGGCAAATCAAATTAATGATCTTAGACAAACTGTCATTTGGATGGGAGACAGACTCATGAGCTTAGAACATCGTTTCCAGTTACAGTGTGACTGGAATACGTCAGATTTTTGTATTACACCCCAAATTTATAATGACTCTGAGCATCACTGGGACATGGTTAGACGCCATCTACAGGGAAGAGAAGATAATCTCACTTTAGACATTTCCAAATTAAAAGAACAAATTTTCGAAGCATCAAAAGCCCATTTAAATTTGGTGCCAGGAACTGAGGCAATTGCAGGAGTTGCTGATGGCCTCGCAAATCTTAACCCTGTCACTTGGGTTAAGACCATTGGAAGTACTACAATTATAAATCTCATATTAATCCTTGTGTGCCTGTTTTGTCTGTTGTTAGTCTGCAGGTGTACTCAACAGCTCCGAAGAGACAGCGACCATCGAGAACGGGCCATGATGACGATGGCGGTTTTGTCGAAAAGAAAAGGGGGAAATGTGGGGAAAAGCAAGAGAGATCAGATTGTTACTGTGTCTGTGTAGAAAGAAGTAGACATGGGAGACTCCATTTTGTTATGTGCTAAGAAAAATTCTTCTGCCTTGAGATTCTGTTAATCTATGACCTTACCCCCAACCCCGTGCTCTCTGAAACGTGTGCTGTGTCAACTCAGGGTTGAATGGATTAAGGGCGGTGCAGGATGTGCTTTGTTAAACAGATGCTTGAAGGCAGCATGCTCCTTAAGAGTCATCACCACTCCCTAATCTCAAGTACCCAGGGACACAAAAACTGCGGAAGGCCGCAGGGACCTCTGCCTAGGAAAGCCAGGTATTGTCCAAGGTTTCTCCCCATGTGATAGTCTGAAATATGGCCTCGTGGGAAGGGAAAGACCTGACCGTCCCCCAGCCCGACACCCGTAAAGGGTCTGTGCTGAGGAGGATTAGTAAAAGAGGAAGGAATGCCTCTTGCAGTTGAGACAAGAGGAAGGCATCTGTCTCCTGCCTGTCCCTGGGCAATGGAATGTCTCGGTATAAAACCTGATTGTATGCTCCATCTACTGAGATAGGGAAAAACCGCCTTAGGGCTGGAGGTGGGACCTGCGGGCAGCAATACTGCTTTGTAAAGCACTGAGATGTTTATGTGTATGCATATCCAAAAGCACAGCACTTAATCCTTTACATTGTCTATGATGCAAAGACCTTTGTTCACGTGTTTGTCTGCTGACCCTCTCCCCACAATTGTCTTGTGACCCTGACACATCCCCCTCTTTGAGAAACACCCACAGATGATCAATAAATACTAAGGGAACTCAGAGGCTGGCGGGATCCTCCATATGCTGAATGCTGGTTCCCCGGGTCCCCTTATTTCTTTCTCTATACTTTGTCTCTGTGTCTTTTTCTTTTCCAAATCTCTCGTCCCACCTTACGAGAAACACCCACAGGTGGGTAGGGGCAACCCACCCCTACACCTTTTATATTGATCATTAAATTCACTTCTAACTCTGAGATTCTATGTGATTATGGTGATGGTGGTGGTTCTAATTTGTGCCCAAACTATGCTTATTATTGTAATTCAAATACATCTGAGATGAGTTTTGTGGACAGGGAGCTATTAGGCATCCACATCTATAGACTGATCTGAATAAATTGGAGTACTGATTAAAGTGGATGGAGAAGACAATTTTAAATGAGTTTATCTATTCTGGAGCATTGTCTGACATCTGCAAAAAGATGCTGAGGGCAGAAAATCGGGAACTGATTTTACAACTGAGACTTTCATGGAGTCACTGAAACTTTCATGGGGACATTGTTCCCTGGCTCTGTTCTTTAGTTCTAGTCTTGCCTATTTCCAAATGTGCAAAACAAATACTACTTCCCAGGAAGCCTTTCTGCATTTCCTAGTTAGAACCAAGTTTCCACATCTATGACTTCTCTTTATAATTTGCATCTTTTATGGCACTTGTGAAAACTGTTTCATATTAAAGTTATTTGTGAATTTTCCTGTCTCATTGATATACTTACTTATACATGTTAAATGTATTGAAAGCTTATTTACCACTACAAGCAACCTATTTTCGAACAACATAGAAGGAATAGACTAATAACTTCAAGCAAATTAAGGTCAATGTCCATGCTTTATATTTTTACCTCTTCGTTTTACCTACCTTTATCATAGTGGACAGAACAATTTCTTACAAGTGGTTAGCACACATTCAATATCTATTGGTTTTCTAGGACTACTGAGGACAGAATGTGTAATAAAGGAATGT
The DNA here is from genome assembly GCF_000001405.40 of Homo sapiens. Classification (NCBI taxonomy): domain Eukaryota; kingdom Metazoa; phylum Chordata; class Mammalia; order Primates; family Hominidae; genus Homo; species Homo sapiens. The sequence goes on along the minus strand of NC_000008.11, from coordinate 7,497,072 downwards.
AGAAATTCAGGAGCCATGAAGGAACAGACAGGGGGCTTCATGATGCATGGAGAACCTCTAATAGGAAAAGCTTCACAACAGAAGGAACGAAGGATAGTTGAGGAGGTATGGACATAAACATTTCTTAGGAACAGAGTCGTGGTTGTATGAAGCAAAGAGAATCTCAAAGACGCAAAGACTTAAGAGAATAGTAAGCAAGATGTTAGTTTAGTGGTTTTAATGGCATAATTTCCAACCAGTGTGTGAAAGCCAAAAAGTCTAAAATAATGTATGGATAAGAGATTTGGACCGACGACTCAGACATGAAAAAAAATTAGCTGTCTAAGAATCTAGTAACATAACTTTAGTTTAATTTAGACTACAAAGGCTGTACTTCCCTAACTTAACAAATATGTTTGGCATTTCCTTGGATAATCTTTTCTTTCTTTTTTTTTTTTTTTTTTCATTTTAAAGAAATCACTTTAGAATATGCTGGCCAGGCGCGGTGGCTCATGCCTGTAATCCCAGGGCTCTGGGAGGCCGAGGAGGGCGGATCACGAAGTCAGGACATCAAGACCATCCTGGCTAACACGGTGAAACCCCGTCTCTACTAAAAATACAAAAAAATTAGCCAGGCGTGGTGGCGGGTGCGTGTAGTCCCAGCTACTCGGGAGGCTGAGGCAGGAGAATGGCATGAACCTGGGAGGCAGAGCTTGCAGTGAGCCAAGATCGCACCACTGCACTCCAGCCTGGGCGACAGCGCGAGACTCCGTCTCAAAAAAAAAAAAAAAAAAAAAAAAAAAGAATATGCTGAACCTGCGTTGCAGATTACAAAGGAGGAAAGAGATCTAAAAGTACAAAGATGTCTGAATTCCTTGGCAGAGCTGTTAGGGAAGTTGACTAGAAACTATTATGGATGGAGATGGTCCCGGTCAATGTGGTCCCATTGTTTTGTGTCGGAGCTCAGGAAAAGATTTTCAGTGACTGGTTTGCCTTGGAACCTTCAACTTTGTAAAAGTTGAGCTTTCATCTCAAAAGACAGATCCTGAGCAGACTGTCATCTCTACTTCTAGAAGAATTTCCCTCTTACCTTGGAAAATTTGAGCAAGAAGAATGAGAGCAGCCAAAATAAAGACAAATATTTTCATGGCTCCAGGCATCAGTGGAGAGCTGATGAAGGAAGTGCAGTAGCTGGAATCAAGCTCTTTTATCAAGGGGCATTGATTAAAATATGTTCTACTGCCCTGAAGGGACTGGAAGTCATCCTCGGTTTGTAATGTTCATTGGGAACATACTATTTTCCATGCTCCACTGACTAATGTGTGGGCTGATGGATCAGATTTTAACTAAACCACATTTGTGGGAGACAAACGCAGAGAACCCTGCCTTTCTGCCTGGAATATTCTATTCTGTGTCTCTGCTTAGACTTCTCTCATTTTTCCTTCAAGTCTTATCTCAAGTATTACCATGTCTATAAGATATATAGCCACCACGCTTTTCCTAGTACATGATTTTACATAAAACCTATTCTTAAAATAATAATTAAAACAAACACACAAAAACCTTTAATTTTAAATTCAGGAGTACGTGTGCAGGTTTTTTTTTTTTTTTTTTTTTTTTGACAGGGTCTCGCTGTATTGCATGGAGTGCTGTTGCTTAAGGAGAAAAGGGTTAATCCATTGAAAATACATAAAAACCATTAACATGTTTTTATATTATTTGATTTAATTAAAGGGAGAAATAGACACTTCTATATTCATAGTAGAAAATTTTTACACCACTCTCTCAGCAACTGATAGAACACAGGGAAAAATTAGCAAAGTCATGCATGATCTGAACAATACCACCATTCCACTGACTGCATTGATATTTATAGAACACATCATAAGACAACTGCAAAATACACATTTTTTTCAAGTACATATGATACATTCATAAAAATGAACCATATGCTAGGCCATAAAACAAATATTGATGTGTTTAAGCACATTTAAATACTTCAGAGTGTATTTCTCACCACAAGGGGATTAAATTGGCAATCTATAAAATAAGCTATTTAGGATATTTTCAAATATGTGGAGATAAAGCAACATCATTCTAGATTGTGTTTGTATCAAAGAATAAATAATGAGAATAATTGGAAAGCATTTCTGTATATCGAATTTTGTGGAGCACAACAAAACAATGACTTCGAAAGAAATTTGTATCCAAATACTTATTGTAGAAAAGAAGAAATGTTTAAATCTATGACTTAAAATTATGCTCTAAGAACCTTAGAAAAGGGAACAATGTAAGCCCAAGTATGCAGAATAAGTGAAAAAGAAGTTATCACTACAGATCCAAGAAACATTAAACTAATATAAAAATGTTGTCAACAGGTATATGCCAAAACATTTCACAACTTACATAAAATAAAAGAATTCTCTCAAAAATTTAACTTACCAAAATTGGCACAAGAATTAGCAGAAAATATAAGTATTTCTGTATGTCTTAAAGAAAGTAAGTGTGTTATTAAATGAAGAATGGCTTCTGCTTAAGATGTAGAAATACGTAAAGAAAATCATCCCACATGAAACAAGTACACAGCAAAACACACGGCAGACTGCAAATATTCAGTTTCTTGAACTCATTGGAAAGCTAAGGTCACAAATCAGCCACCTACCTAGAAATATAAGAAAAGACAGGAACCTCCAAAAAATAAAGACCATGAGTGCTTGCTTACCTGAAGCAGATTACCCCCAGAATATGATTTAAAAGATTTCAGGTAAAGTCTGTAGAGAATTGCTAAGAGCAAGCATAAACTAGAGAAACAATATAAATGTCTGGGGTCACAGACAAAAGAGAAGTTCACAGCAACTTCTAATGTCTTCTCCATAGACTCAGCAGGTGCTTACAAAAAAGATTAGAGTATTTCATGATGTAAGTCGGCTGAGGGGAACAGTAGCCACTGTGAGAAAGAACGAAAGCTTGCAAGAATCTTTCTCTTTTATGGAAAAGAAAGTCTTAATTTCTTAATTAAGAAACTGAGGGAAGAACAACAGTTGTTTGTACGGCACTGGTGAATGAACAATCTAAAAAAATGCAAAACAAAATATTAAAGCTAGGAGAACGAGGAGAAGGGAGCACATTAAAAAAGAAAAATAAAGAACATCCTCTACCTTTGTCAACAGAGAAGGCATACATGCCTCCTGCCTGTAGAAAGATGACAGAATAACTGCAGCAAACTTCTCATCAAAAAATATGCAAGCCAGGACAGGTGTGGTGGTTCACGCCTGTAATCCCAGCACTTTGGGAGGCCAAGGTGGGCAGATCACTTGAGCCAGGAGTTTAGTTCGAAACTAGCCTGGGCAACATAATGAGACCCCTATCTCTACAAAACATACGAAAATTAACTGGACATGGTGGCAGGCACCTGTGGTCCCAGCCACTCAGGAGGCTGAGGTGGGAGGATCACTTGAGCCCCGGAGGCAGAGGATGGGGTGAGCCGAGATCATACCACTGCACTGCAGCCTGAGCTTCAGAGTGAGACCCTGTCTGAAAAAAAAATCGAGGCAAAATAAAATAGAGTAACATCTTTACAATGTTCCAGTGGAGCCATTTGGCCCTGGGTTTTACTATGTGGGATTTTTGTTAGTGTTATTACTGTCAATTCATGCACTTTATTTGTTATAGGTCCATTTTAGACTTTCTATTTCTTCTTGAATTAGGTTTGATATGTATGCATTTCTAGGCATTTATTCATCTAGATTATCAAAATTGTTGCCATAAAATTGTTTATAGTATTCCTTAATAATATTAAAAAATACTTTTGTAAGATCTTTTGTAAAACTTCTCTTTCACTCATGATTTTAGTAATATGAGTATTCTCTTTTTTTCTTAGTCAGTCTAGTTAGAGGCTTGCCAATTTTGTTGATCATTTCAAAAAATAAATTTTTGTTGTGTTGATTTATTCTATTGTTTTCTTAGTCTCTATTTCATTTATTTCCGTGCTAATATTTATTATTTTCTTCCTTGTGCTTGCTTTGGGTTTAGTTGGCTCTTCCTTAATTTTCTTGAGATGGAAGATAATTTACTGATTTTAAATCTATCTTCTTTATAAATACAGGCATTTACAACCATACATTTTCCTGTAAGCATTGTTTTAGCTGCATCTCACAGTTTTTGTAAGTTGCTGTTGTGTTGTATATTTTAAAGTGTTTGGGGGCTCCCTTTAAAATATTTTCTACATTCCCTTATGTTTTCTGCTTTGACCCATCATTTATTCACATTTATGCTGTTTAATTTCCACATAGTTGTGACTTTCCCAAATTTCTTTCTATTATCCCATTTTGTTCAGAGAACATACTTTGTATGATTCCTATCCTTTTAAATGTATTGAGGAGCTTGTATTTAAATCTAACATACAGTCTATTCTAAAGAATATTTCATGTGAACAGAAGAAGAATGTGTATTTTGCTGTAATTGGTGCAGTGTTCCACGCTTTGAGGTCATTGTGTTACAGTGCTATTCAAATCTTGTATTTCCTTGCTAATCTTTTTTCTAGTTGTTTTGTCTATTATTAAAAGTGGTATATTAAAGTCTCCTGCTATTACTGTTGACTTCTCTATTTCTCCCTTCAATTCTGTCAATTTTCTCTTCATGTATTTTGGCACTCTGTTGTTAGGTGCATGTTTTTATACTTGTTATATTATCGTGATAGATTAACTTGCTAACATTACAAAATGCCCTTCTTCATCTTTAGTACCAATTTTGTCTTAAAGTTTGTTTTGTACACTATTGGTATAGCCACTACAGCTCTCTTTTGGTTATTGTTTGTATGGCAAATCTCTTTCCATCCTTTTACTTTCAGTCTCTTTGTTTCCATGAATCTAAAGTGTAAAGAAAGTGTTCCTGGACCAAACGGAGAGTTGGGCTGCTATTTCTCACAGCCCAATAACAAGATGCAAATAAACTCGGGAGGAAGAGAGTTTTTATTTCTGCAACCAGTTATAGGGAGAAGTCCTGGAAATTATCGCCAGACCAACTTAAAATTACAAAGTTTTCCAGAGCTTATATACCTTCCAAGCTATATGTTTATGTGTAAGTGTGCATTCATCTAAAGACATAAGTTATTAACTTCTTTTAATCTATAACTAAGGTCTGAGTCCCGAAGACCTTCCTCTGGAGCCTCAGTAAATGTACTTAATCTAAATGGGTCCAGGTGCTGGGGTTATTACCCTCACCTTGTCTCCTGCTAAATCACTGATATTTGGGGAGTTTCTTCAGACCTCCTATAAACTTGTTTAATCCTAAACGGGTCCTGTTAAGAACTCCTTCATTAGTTTGTCATGCTTTAAGGCCCAGGAAAGGCCTAAGCAAAACTCTTAGTGGGCTTTTGTTACATTCAAGCCTTTATATCAGGGCACTGGCTTTTTAAGCTTTTAATATTTAACTTAACCCCTCAGTGGGTACTAAAGCAGTTGTTATGGAGTCTTGCGTTAGTGAGACTTGGCCTGCCATGAAAGGGAACAATTTGTGACTAGGTGAGCACCTGTGGGAGGTGTCCTCTGCAGCTGCCATCTGGATGCTACATGAGGTCATTAGTGAGGTAATATCAGGGCACAGCTACTGGTCTACCACTTTGTATGACTCTGAGACACTCACATGAATCTTTCATTAAAAGAAACTTCAACTAGGTTCCAGAGCATTTTTTTAAGATAAAGCAATGCAGTATTTGGAATGAGTAAGTAGTATTCCAGTTTCATGGTGTTCTGTAAGCTAGCAGCTGCATTTGCACTGTGGAGACCTGGGGAGGAAGACCATCTGCCAGCAGAAAATTACTGTGAACTGGACTCTTAAGACCAAATACCCCACTTCCCACTTCCCTGGGGTAATTCCTGTGTAAATGAAGGAAACACTCTAGGCTTCTTGAGGGCTGTGTTTCAAATCTCTTTTGGAAAACAGTGGATCATATGTAAATAGAGTGAATCTAAAAATTGAACCAATCAAGCATTAAAAGGGTTCCCCCAATGGATAGTTCTATAGAAAGAATTTAATATGTACAGATAAAGTGTTGGAAAAGATGACAATGCAAAGCGGGAGCAATGAGGCAACCCTACTGATAGTCACAGCAGAAATCTCCCACTGCCCTAAGGTTTGAGGAAAAATGGAAGGATTTGTGTGAGCCTGGGAGCAGCACTGGCTGGCAGAAGCTAAACTTGCGGTGGGACTGCCAGGTGAGTGCAGAAGACAGAAAAGCAGCGGCCTTGCTGAGCATGAAAAGCCACTGCTGGAAAAGAGAGGGAGTCGGGGAGAAATTCACATTGTCCTTCCTTCTTCAATCTCCCATTCTCCTAGGAGACACATTGACCAAAACTAGCCAGAAGTCAGGAAGCCTGGAAAATGTAGTTTGCAACTAATAGTTCCCATTTTACTCAGCAAAGCAGAAAAAAACAAGGAACAGATTTGAGCACAAAGAGACAAATAATAGGCCCAAATGTTAAACAAAACATTGTTTAATCTCATACGTTAAAACTAAGTAACCAAGTTCAAGTCACTGGTCATAGGGCTGGTAATTTTGGCCTTTATTTTGTGAAGCTGGATTTTATTTCACAAGGCAAAATTAGACAGTCAACCATTTATGCATATTCTGTGTTGAACATTTTAAGTTAATCTCTAATCATTTTCTTTCACAGGTAAATACACCATAAGTACTAGAATCAATGAATGACAATATTTAGACAAACCAAGAAATAATGTGAATATAAAAATAATGTATTATATTTGATAGAATTATTATTCCATTAACATAGTTAGTACATATAGATGGATACATAAAACATGACAGCAATGTGCACAGCAGTTACTGGATCCTAGCTATGGCTCTGAAGAATTAACAGCCTCTTGAGCCTCAATATTTTCAAATATAAATGGCAGTAATAAAACCTACCTCATAAGGTAATCATGAGTCATATGAGAGAAGTATGGAAAATACTTCATAAATTGTAAGGTACTCTACATATACATAGTAGTGGTATCTGATTGAGCAGATACTAGGTACACACTCATGTCTTGATGTTTTTTAAAGGTCATCTCGCCCAGCATGGTGGCTCATGCCTATAATCCCAGCACTTTTGGAGGCCAAGGCGAGCAGATCACCTGAGGTCAGGAGATCGAGACCAGCCTTGCCAACATGGTGAAACCTCATCTCTAGTAAAAATACAAAAATTAGCCAGGCATGGCGGTATGCGCCTGTAGTCCCAGCTACTTGGGAGGCTGAAGCAGGAGAATTGCTTGAACCCGGGAGGTGGAGGTTGCAGTGAGCCAAGATCGAGCCACTGCACTCCAGCCTGGGCGACAGAGTGAGACTCCTTCTCAAAAAAAAAAAAAAGAAAAAAAGTCATCTTTAAAAAATAAGCAATAAAACGTAACAAAGGGAGAAAGAAATGAGAATGATTCTGAGACTCACTCACTGTGTGATTTGGATAAGCCACATAACTTCTCTTGAACTTCTTTGAATATCCAGGTCTGCTTCTAAGGCCAGAAGTGTGCTGGTCTGGTTTGTCAGATCCTCTGTCTGCAGCAGAGAAAGTTCAGCCTGCAATTTCCATCGGGCTTCTCATTCTCCAAGCACTCCTTCCTGCATTTTCCCCGACCAAGCTTGCACGACTCACAGACAGCAAACTCACCTGTGCCAAGAAAGAGCTGCTGAGGGAGCTTTCCAGGAAATGTCTAGAAATGGGGAACATGTCAAAGACCACCAAAAAAAAAGGGACAGTTCGTACGTATGATTACAAAGAATATTTTCAAGAATCAGCCCAGATTTTTCAAAAATAGTTTCTGCTTTTTGCAGTAGGGAGTTGGGGAGAGTTAATTTTTATGCAACAGATCATCGCAATTCCTACTCTCCAAGTGTTTATAATCTGGCAGGGATCAAAAGTAAACCACAGACAGACAAAGAGACATACATATTACAGAACTATAAAAATACATACCTGATATGACTGTGAAGTTTACTAGACAAAAAATGGGAGGGGTATATTGTGGTTTTTTAAAGATCCTTGAAGATCAACTCTAGTTTGGGCCTAGTAGCCGGCAGGTTAAGGTCCATATTCTCATTTGTCCAGTGGCCATTCTAGAAGCACCTGACTACATTTTTTAAATCAGTTTAGGGATCAAATGGAATATTATATGTAAATATTTTCATTATAATAATACCTACCACATAGGACTGTTTTGAGGATTACATGACAAAGTCCATGTAAAGTTTTTAGCAGGATGCCTGGTACAGAGCAAACACTCAAGGACTAGTAGCAACCTTCATATTTCTCACTTTGAAATTCTGTCTAAAACCATTTCAACTTTGTCTACAATATTTCTTTTAGTTTTGTTTACAATGTCCTTTCTTTCTGTATAAGATGACTTCAAAGAAAAAGAAAAGATCTGGGGGCTATTCGTTATGAATAGCTTTTCTGCAATGGTGCTGAGTTTTCACTGAGGCAACCTCACTCTTTAATTTGAGCTTCCTTCAACTAACCTCATGCATTTGTGACATATATTATTACCAGACTTAGCAGCAGAGCTTGCAAGAGATGGGCAGGCGTGTTCACAGAGCAGTGCTAATTGGCTGGTACAAGAATAAATCTAAGAACTTGGTTTAGTGAGCACCAACAGCTAATGGGAAAAGCCACTGAGTCCAAATCTCTATGGCCAAATTACAGTCCAGTCACAAAGATATTTTTCTGTGAAATCAAAAATATCCAAATATTATACTTGGAACAAGAGAAAGAGAAGGAGATAAGTTAGTGAACTGATTTTTCAGACAATTCTATTTCTGCCACTATCTCTGTCCCCTCTTTGCCTCCAGACATCAGAGAGACCTAACAGCGCCAGAGCTCCTAAGAGAAAAAATAATTATATACAAGAGATTTAACTTACCTGATGGAAATGGTTGGGAAAAATCAAGTCCTGCCTGGCACCCTAAATTCAAAACAAAATACATTTTGAAAATTAAAATCAACACAGGAATTAACACTGTATAAAACACTCCCAACTTCACATGTGACATAGCATAACAGGAGACAGTAGATCACAGAGTTGCAATCTTTATTCTGTTTCTCAAGGCCAGCATTCCAGGTAACCAGCAAAAACAAATTACAAAAAAAAAAAAATACACTATATGCTGTTTGCTCTTAGTAAATGTCACTGTAGGTCTAAGAAATTCCCATGACAGGTGCCATGAGAGCTTGACCATTAAGGTCAAACATGGAAGAATCAACAGGCTTTATAATCTGCCCAATCAAAATCCCATCCATTTTTACTTACCTGATGGCAGTTGAACCAAAATGAAGAACATAGCAAATAGAAAATAAAATGTCTTCCTGATCAGGGCCATCTTTTAGGGAAGACTCTTCGGAATAGAGATTGGGATTTCCTTGAGAAGACCCAAATGAGAGGCTCATTTTTATTTAAAAGTAATGGGGAGATGCTCTTGATCCGTGAAGTGAATCAATAAAACACAATTATATGCTCCATTTCCCAGGATAAAGGGATGATATCATGGATAATAACCCTTGGCATCCAGAAAGCCTTTTATTTTGGGGAGTCTAACTGGTGTAGTGGAAAGAACACCAGGCTAGAGGTTGAAAGAGCAGGGGCCATGTGAGTTTCCACCATACTAATGCAGGGGCCAGAAGATAGTGACCCCTTTCATCTCTTCCAGCTTCTGTTTTCTGGGAGAAAATAAGAACCCACTTGCAAATTCTGCCTGCCTCTAAAGGTGTTGTAAGAATCTAGTATGATTATAATGCAAAAGTGTTTTGAATATGTGGAATGCTTGGAAGGAGGCCTGGTACCATGTAAGAACTCAATAAATGTGGACTCTCACTTTTCTAGCTTTCATTTTTATTCTCTACAAGTATCACAGGGAGAAAAGGAGGGGTAGCAATCATTTTGTCAAGTTAGCTCTGAGTCCCCTTTCCTGTAAGATATCACCTCACGCACCAAAGCCATAATTACTGCATATTTTAAATTCATTAAGGACATGAATATTGGCCCAGATGGGTGGCTTATGTCTATTATCGTAGCTTTTGGGAGCCTAAGGCAGGTAGATTGCTTGAGCCCAGGTGTCTAGGGCAAGGCATGATGGTTACCAGCCCCTTGCTGCGCCAACAGTGCCATGGTACAGGTGAGCAGCATGGCAGGACCAAGCACGAAAAGCGTGCAGCATACAGCAAGATTCACATTTTTTAACAAATATATGCTTAGGTCAAGCCCTTTGCCAAGTTTACAAAGCTCAAAAAGACTGAATCTGGAATTCAGATTCCACCTCACTACGGTTCCTCAGCTCTTAACTGAAGCATTGAGATATTGTATAATTACTCCCATTTTACATATGAGTAAACCAAAGCTGTTCAGGAACACAGCCAGGATTAGAAACGAAACTACTGGACTCCAGATTTTTTTATTTTTTCTGTGTCTGCCCTACTCTGTCCTCCCTTCATCCCCACTTTCCTTCTTCAAAACTTTCCAGAATCAGAAATATGATGAGCTGTAGACTGAGTGACACCCACTGAGGTTGGGTGGGCTCTGTGCAGCAGAGCATGGAAATCCTCTCGTTTCTGCTAAGCCTCACTGATCAAGATGTTACTTGGTCTGGAGAAATGTATAAATGTGGGTGTTTGCGGCTCTTTCCTCATGGACACGGTGCTGATCTCTCAAGACCCACCCAGTCATGAGGACTTTCCTCTTTCTCTTTGCCGTGCTCTTCTTTCTGACCCCAGGTAAAATGGGCATCTTTACAGGGAAGGTGATCGGAGGTGGTGTCCCACAGACAGGGTCCCCTTCAGTGAATGCCTGGGCGTGATCAACCCATCTACTACAAGAGGTGATATCCCCCAACGCCTCTTCTGTAATTCCTTTGCATTTTACATTGTTATCTAGGAGGGGCTGTCACAGGTTTGAAAGAATAAAAGAAGGCCAGGAAAGATGCCTTTTGGCATCCCATCTCATGCTCACTAACAAAAACAAAAATTGAGAAAAAATTAAAAACAAGGATAGCAGTCTATGAACCTTTTAAAATGTAGTTATGGTAGAGATTGAGACAGGTAAGGAGAAGGGACAGGTAAGGATCTGAGCTTAGAGACACCTATGCACTCATGCCAGTCATGGCAACAGGTAAAGCAGCGTAACTTGGACTGCCATTTCTTGATCACATATCATCAAGCCAAGTACTGTGATGAGAGCTTCACATAAAATGCATCTAGTCTTCCAGTGCCAGCGCCTTTACGGAAAACTCTGTCTTACCCCTAATTTAATGGAAGTTAGAGAAAATCTTTTTGGGTTTGAAGGTCCATTTTACAAATTTTATTACAGATGCAGAAATTGTGCCTCAGATGGGCTCAGTGCTTCTCAGAGTCTTATAGATAACCAAAACAAAGCCAGGGTAGGAGCCCAACTGTCTTGCCACAGTAAGAGGCATTAAAGACACCCTTCCCATATCAAAACTCTCTTCATTTTCTCCTGCTCCTGGGAATCTCCAGTGGCTCCAATTGTATCCTCTTCAAAATTAAGGCTTAAGACCAGGCTCATGTGAGCCTCCAGAGAGCTGAAGAAAGGGATTCTCAGAGCCCACAGTAACTCCCAATTTGTGCCAGATACCAGTGATATACGATCCCAGGTATGATGCTCAACTTTTCACATCAGCTGCTCATAGCTCTGGTCTGTTTTGTGACAAGCCTGTGAGAGTAGATTCTGTGTCAAAACATGAGGATCTAGGACCCACAGTGACCTATGCCGTATTCAGGCCACTGGTTTTGATATGCACGTTCGAAACTGGCCAGAGGTATCTTTTTCAGATCACTCATACTTATTATATAATAAGTCAAAAAAAAGATGTTATATTCTATAAAATTATCTGTTAGATAATACTATAATTATAAAAGTATAATTAGTTACTATAATTATTATGTAATTACAGATACTTATCTATAATTACATAATGCTTGTTATATAATTATTAGATAATCTAATAATTACCTATTAGATATACTAGAGTATAATACTATAATACAATAGTATTAGAGAAAATCTTTTTGGTTTAGTTTAGTATTATAGTATAGCATAGTATATACTATAATTATTTACTGATGTTACAGTATGGTATTGTACTAGTATTATATACTATATAGTATTGTACTAGTATATATTTTATATATATATATATACATATTTTTTTTTTTTTTTGAGATAGAGTCTCACTCTGTTCCCCGGGCTGGAGTGCAGTTTCACAATCTCAGCTCACTGCAACCTCTGCCACCGGGGTTCATGCGATTCTCCTGCCTCAGCCTCCTGAGTAGCTGGGATTACAGGCATGTGCCACCTTGCCTGGCTAATTTTTTGTATTTTTAGTAGAGACGGGGTTTCACCGTGTTGGTCAGCCTGGTCTCGAACTCCTGACCTCGTGATCCACCCTCCTCAGCCTCCCAAAGTGCTGGGATTATAGGTGTGAGACACTGCACCTGGCCAGATACTATATTATACTAGTATATTATTACTAGTAGTATTATATACTAGTATGTAATATAGTATATATACTAGTATAATACTCTAGTATATAGCATAGTATACATACTAGTATAATACTCTAGTATATAGCATAGTATACATACTAGTATAATACTCTAGTATATAGTATAGTGTATATACTAGTATAATACACAAGTATATAGTATAGTGTATATACTAGTATAATACACTAGTATATAGTATAGTGTATATACTAGTACATACACTAGTATACAGTATAGTGTATATACTAGTATAATACTCTAGCATATAGTATAGTGTATTATACTAGTATAATACACTAGTATATAGTATAGTGTATATACTAGTATAATACACTAGTATATAGTATAGTGTATATACTAGTATAATACACTAATATATAGTATAGTATATATACTATTATAATACTCTAGTATATAGTATATATACTAGTATAATACTCTAGTATATAGTATAGTATATATACTGGTATGATAATATAGTATATATACTATATTATTACTAGTAGTATTATATACTAGTACATAGTATAGTGTACATACTAGTATAATACACTAGTATATAGTATAGTATACTAGTATAATACACTGGTATATAGTATATATACTACTATAACACACTAGTATATAGTATAGTATATATACTAGTATAATACTATAGTATACACTATTATACCAGTATATACTATAATACTAGTATTTTTATAGTATATACTAATCTATACTATGATACTATACTAAACCAAAAAGATTTTATCTGAATACCACACTATAGTCTATGGTATAGTATTATATTAGTATCTGCCTTACAGTAGGGCAGAGAGAACATAGACCCCTGCCAGTGAGAGCCAGAGTTCATCGAGCTTTGAAATAGTGGAGTATTTTCACTTATGAACTGATGTGCTGATCCTGGATAATCATTAGTGCATATGCTGGCACTAATCCACCTGGCTGTAAGTTTTATGTAGATTTGAATTAGGCACCTTTATATGTTGACATTAAATGTATATACATTATAGTATAGACATTAAATGCAATCTCTGTACATCTGATGCCTTCATTATATATACACAAATTGGGCAGCTCTAAAATGTTGATCCTGATAAGACGTGCTGTCTGTCCTTAACTTGAAGCAGGCTGCTCTTGGGACTGCTACTGATAAAGCCCTAAGGTGGGAACTGGAATTCTCCACAAAATGAACTGAGAAAATCTTAGAAAAACATTCCCAACATGCTGCACCCTCCTTCTCTAAAGCACAAGTTTTCCGCAGTCGTTGCTTTGGTGAATATGGAGGAGAAATCAGGCTGAGCCTTCCAAGCAAGTTTCTATCTACCACAGTAAACTCATTCTCTTTTTATATCTTTATCCCTTCCTTTGCTCTGGTCTGGAGCTATCTCCTCAGTCTCAGCTCTTGCTCTACTCTCACCAAGTAGCAGCCTCTGAGAGTGCACTAGGAAAATTAGCAGCCTCTGGGAGTGTTTATGGGAACAAGTTGATAATTATCCCCAACAGATTTCGATTAAAGAACCATAGCTTAGGGACGTTTCCCAAAGCTCCTACACAGCTTGGTCTCAAATGCTGGAAGACAAATGTATTCTTTCCGGTATTTCACCCTGTGTGACTATGAGACTGAAATATCAGATAAAAATCAGGTCCCCTACCATCTCATCTACCGGTAGGATATGGCACTATGACAGCTTGTGAAAAAATCTTCACCAAGTAGTCATACAACCGTATCTGGTAAACATACATGTCTGAAAAGGGAATTAATCCAAATGGCTCCTTCCCTCGTGTAGCCAAGAATGCATTTTTTGATGAGAAATGCAACAAACTTAAAGGGACATGCAAGAACAATTGCGGGAAAAATGAAGAACTTATTGCTCTCTGCCAGAAGTCTCTGAAATGCTGTCGGACCATCCAGCCATGTGGGAGCATTATAGATTAATGCAGAAGATTTAGGTTTCCAGAGAAGCATACATAACCTAGCTTCTTTTTACTCTTGCCTCTGCTGTAGGCAGACACTTTAATAAAAATAAATGACTGTCTTTGCTCAGTTTGTCAAGTGTTTCATTTAGAAAGGAGAACAACACTGCCTGACCTTGATGCTCCCTCCATCCCGGTTTATTTTTCTATCATTCTGGAGTAGACAAATCGTCCCAAAGCCATCTGAAATTTTTCTTAAAAGAGGACTAGAAGAGACTAGAAATCAACAAATCTCTAGCTTGTGCTCAGTCTAGTAAGTTGGCGCTTACTAACCTATTGACATGAAAGAAGTAAACAAAAGAAAATAAAGAAAAGAGAGAGGGAGGTGGAAAGAAGATGAATAGGTAGAGAAATGAGCACACTTTTTTTTAATACAAAACAAAATTTTATTCTTTTTTTTCTTTTTCTTTTTATTATACTTTAAGTTCTAGGGTACATGTGCACAATGTGCAGGTTTGTTACATATGTACACATGTGCCATGTTGGTGTGCTGCACCCATTAACTCATCATTTACATTAGGTATATCTCCTAATGCTATCCCTCCCCCCTCCCCCCTTCCCCCTCCCCCCACCCCACAACAGGCCCCGGTGTGTGATGTTCCCCTTCCTGTGTCCAAGTGTTCTCATTGTTCAATTCCCACCTATGAGTGAGAACATGTGGTGTTTGGTTTTTTGTCCTTGAAACTGGAAACCATCATTCTCATCAAACTATCGCAAGAGCACACTTTTTAAAAATTTTTACCATCATGCCATATGCCCACATAAATGAGCATACATTTACATGAATAGCTACATGAACGACAAATTGATGGATAGGCGGTCCATTTATCAAAGACTTTTATGTGTCACACACACACCTGTCTAAATTAGTCATCATGACCCCATGTCTTTAATTGGGGCTAGTTAAATATTTTCTATAGACTTGTTCTCTACACGTAAGTCTGAGATAAAATTTGCTGACAGGCAAGGGAGTCATAATTACCTCTATGAGTCTCAGTAACTCTAGTGATTTAGACCCTCTTCCCCAAATCACTGCCTACGATTTTCCTAGGAACTGGCTGACAGTTTACCTTCTGATTCTAAGCCTCAAAATTACTGTTATGGTGGGAATGTGTTCTTCCAAAATTAATGCTGAAGCCTAATCCCCACTCTGGTGATTAACAGATGAGGCCTTTGAGGAGGTGATTAAGCCTCAAGGGCCCTGCCCTCATGAATGGAATTAGCACCCTTATAAAAGAGGTTGAAAGAAACTGCCTTGCTCCTTCCACCATGGGAGGACACAGCGTTTGTCTCTTCTGCCATGTGAAGGCTGAGCAACAAGGTGCTATCTTGAAAGCACAAACTGGGTCCTCAGGATATAGTAAATCTTTTGAGGTCTTCCAGCCCCTAAAACTGTAAGTAATAAATTTCTATTGTTTATAAATCACCCAGCATAAGGTATTTTATTATAGCAGCATGAATGGACTGAGACAATTACTTAGTTTAAGTAAGAATTTCCTATCATGTTTCCAGTGCTCAAGAGTTAGTTTTGGTTTCCTGCTGGCTCAGAAATCTTGCCTTACCTCCCCTTTAATTTTTCAAAGTCGATAGATTTAATTCTATTAGAATCAATAACCCTTTCATGAAAAGGATGTTTTAGTTACACTTTCTAGTTTGAGGTAATTGTAGATTCCTCTACAGTTCCAAAAATAATAATAATAATGCAGAGAGATACCCAGATCTTTTACTCTATTTTCCTCAATAGTAACATCTTTGTAAAACCATAGTGCAATATCACAACCAGGTTATTGACACTGATGCATAACATTTCCATTATCAGGAGGACTTCTCATGTTACCCTTTCAGAGCCACTCTCTCTTCCCTCACACCTCCACCTCCGTCTTAACCCCTGTATAAGTGATTTATTCTCCATTTCTACAATTTTGTCCTTTTAGGAATGCCATATAAATAGAATGTATATATCCTTATTAGACTGGCTTTTTTCAGTCAGCATAACTTTCTGGGGATTCATCCAGGTTGTTGCATTTATCAATAGCTCTTTCCTTCTTATTGTTGGGCAGTATTCCAGGATACGGATGAACCACAGTTTGTTTAATCACTCCCTCATCGTAGGCCATCTCTCTCTCTCTCTCTCTCTCTCTCTCTCTCCCTCCCTCCCTCTTTTCCCCCACTTCATTGCCTCCTCTTCTCCTCTCTACCTCTCCTTCTCTTTCTCTTTTGCATAGGGATATCAATTGTTCAAGCACCATTTGTTGAGAAGACTATTCTTCCTCCATTATATTACCTTTGCTTCTTTGATAGAGAGGAGTTGCTTTGATCTTTTCTGAGCTATCCATTCTGTTCTGTTTCTCTGTTTGATCTATTTATTTATTGCTTCACCACTCCCACACTGCCTTCATCATTGCAGTTTTTTAGTGAGTCTTGATATAAGGTAGTGTAAGTTCACTGTATTAACCCATTTTCACATTGTTATAAATAAATATCCGAGATGGGGTAATTTATGAAGAAAAAGAGGTTTAATGGACTTACAGTTCCACACAGTTGGGGAGGTCTCACCATCATGACTCAAGGCAAAGGAGGAGCAAGGTATGTCTTACATGGTGACAGGAAAGACAGCGTGTGCAGGGGAACTGACCTTTATAAAACCATCAGATCTTGTGAGACTTACTCATTTTCATGAGAAAAGCACAGAAAAGAAACACCTCATGATTCATTTACTTCTCACCATGTCCCTCCCATGACTCATGGGGATTATGGGAGCAAGAACCCAAGATGAGATTTAGATGGGGACAGAAACCCTATCATCCACCAACCTTGTTCTTTCCGGTATTGTATTGACGATCCTAGGTCTTTTGAATCAGTATGGAAATGTCAACAACATATTTTGCTAAAAGTTTGACTGGGATTATATTTAATCTATAGGTCAAGTTGTAAATATTGACATCTTAACGTTAAATTCTCTATTATATGAACACAGAATATTTCTCTTGTTAAAATAATTAAATGAGAGGCCATTAGACTGCGGGAGCTTCAGTGCACTCGGTTTCTACATAAGCAAACTAAAACCCAACTCGGTTTGAATGGTAAAAGAAAACTTTAACCAATCAGAAACCACCAACTAACCTCTAACAAGGGAATGGAATGATTCGAATAAGGCTTATACTCCACCTTAACCAATTAGATGTTTAATTTGCCTTTCTTCCATTTTCACCCTATAAAAGCCTTTTCCTCGTGCCTCTTTGCGTGAGCCCCAAAAGACTTGTGTTTTGGAGCCTGCCCGATTCTTAAATTGATATCTGCTCAAAAGAAAACTCTAAGATTTTTATGTGCCTAAGTTTATTTTTTAATACTTCTGTTGTCAGAAGAGGGACCCAAAGAAGCCCTGATAATGGTTCCTGGGACAATGAGTAGCCAGATGTAGTTACCAGCTGAGCCGGTTTTACTCACCGCTTTCTCTCTGTGTCTGGATCCAGCAGAAACTGGACTGGGTCCAACAGAAGGTCTTAAGAAGGCAGGGTTTAGGGAAGACAAAGAATCATGAGTTCATCTGTATCCAGGTAGTCTGGAACCTCTCCATCTGGGACTCTAGCTACGTTCATGTATAAAAATTATGGACCCAGAACCTGTGTTTTTCTAAATAAATGTGTAAACTTTACTAAAGACAACTTAGAATTACACTGGTCACAGTGAAGAAATTTTAACCTAAACAGTTATTCATCTATAAGCTACATTGAAAGAGAAGTGATCTTAAATGCCTCAAAAAAATGAGATATGTTTTTAATTGGCATGCAGAAGCTTCTAAAAGACTAAGCAAATCAGAACTTGCCTTTCTTAAAGACTCTTTACAAAAGGCAAATTAAAAGCTTAAGCACTTAATCAGTGATGATAAAAAATTGCACATTGACTCACTCAACTCTCAATGCTCCTTCTTTTCCTCCTGTCTCTCTTCTTCCTCTGCCTAATTACTCTGATTCCACTACCCTCTTCACTCAGCTGCCTTTCTACTATGAAGATGAGAAGCAAGTTAGGAAAATGCCTTCTAAAGTTAGTTCCTCAGATCAACTGTGTCTGCCTTCTTTAATTACCTTTATGTCTTGGTCAAAATCCGAACTGACAGAAATAGTGAAAGACTTCCCTAACCCAAAGGAAAACCCCCAGGAATTTGCTGAGGAATTTAGAATCCTCATTTAAACATACAATCCATGACTTCCTGATCTTTGTCAATTTATCCACATGATACTGGGACCTGGTCAAGCCTGCAAATGGAGGCGATGGTTGAATGGGACTAACCTGAGGATGATATTAAGGATCTTATGTCTCAGACAGCTGCAAGGGATGAACAAAAAAGAGGCAGGGGAAAAGGAAGCATTCTATAATCTTATAAGTAAATCTCATCTTTACCTGAGCCTGTGTGTCCCTGCACTGTGACTGTCACAAGAACTTTTTTTTTTTTAAATCTCTGTCACCAGGCTGGAGTTCAGTGGCATGATCTTGGCTCACTTCAACCTCCTCCTCCCAGGTTCAGTGACTCTTCTGCCTCAGCGTCCCAAGTAGCTGGGACTACAGGTGTGTACCACCACACCTGGCTAATTTTTGTACTTTTTAAGTGGAGATGTGGTTTCACCATATTGGGCAGGCTGGTCTTGAACTTCTGACCTGGTGATCTGCCCACCTTGGCCTCCCAGAGTGCTGGGGTTACAAGCATGAGCCACCGTGCCCGGCTCTCAAGAAATTCTTAGCTACCCCCATCCCTCAAGTGAGACAGGAAGGTCAGATGGGGCTGGAATAGGGAAACGTCTTCCCCTCCAGGTGGGATATGGCTCGAGTAAAATTGTTTTTCCTGCAGAGGAGGAGGCTTTGGTTATGGGGAATCCTCTGGACATGTTTCACAATATCACTCTTCCCTTCTCCTTTCAGGGCAATGAGGGCTTCCATTCTGGCTCTTCACCATGATAACCTTGGGGGCTTCCTGGATTTAAAACCCAGGAAAGCAGGGGTTGAGAAGGGAGAGCCTTTGACCATGGTCTCTAGCAGTTTTTCACTCTCCTAAATGTCCACGTTCAGCCTCCAGCAAGTTGTCGAAGTCACCGTAAGTGTTCCTGCTAGTTTATGGTTTCAGAGCTTCCATTCCAGGTTAGCTCATCTCAGCTGTGACTCCAGATTTCCACGCAATGGGTTTGCCCGGAGCCCTCAGTTCCCTAATGGGTCCAAGAAAAGTCATTGATTTTTCCATTTATTTGGCTTTTTTTTTCTTTCTTTAAGGAGTAAAGTAGTTACTTTCAGTCTTTTTACTTGTAGCGACCGAAACCAGAACTCTGAAATACTTCATAAGGACTCAGCAAATAAAGCTTTTATTATTTTTTTCTCCTAAGAAGATATAGGATTTCTTTTGAAGTTTGGTTATTCAGTCCCTGTATATGAATTACCTTTTTTTTTTGAAGAATTGCTGAATATTTATTATCATCAGAATTTTTCAGTTTTCTTCAGAATCCTGGTCACATAGATGACCTTGAATATTGGCTGATGTTTTTCCCTTGAAGCTCATCATCAAAAATTACTAAAGCCTGACATGTGGCAGGCTAGGAGGGTCCCATGGATCCTGCACATTTGTGCTTGCTGTGTGTCTGCTGTGAGGAGAGTATCCGACGGCCTCTACGTGCTGCACGTTTGTAACCTGCGGCAGGATTCCCATGGCTACCACTCTTGCCCTGGCTGCTTCCAGGCAGTGAATGAGCACAATGTGGACTAGAGCTGGGCCATGTCTGCTGGTGTAGGACAGTCTTTGCCCTGGGGTTCCCCACTGGCAATGCTGAAATTTTCTGCACTGTAGTCTGAGGCTCCCCCGACTCCAAACCTTTTCACAGGTGTTAATTGACGTCATGTTCTGAAGACTTTCCCTACTCAATCTTGCTCCCTCTCCCCATCATCTTTTTGTTTTGAATTTTTATTTTATTTTATTTTTTTCAGAGACAAGGTTTTGCTGTATTGCCTACTACACTGGAGTGCAGTAGTGCCATCATAGCTTACTGCAACCTCGAACTTCCGGGCTCAAGAGACCCCCCTGCCTCAGCCTCCCAAGTAGCTGGGACTACAGGGACACACCACCATCCCTGGCTAATTTTCTTTTTGTGTAGAGTCGGGGTCTCTCTATGCCGTCCATGATGGACTCAAACCCCTGAGCTCACATGATCCTCCTCCCTCGCTCAGCCTCCCCAAGTGCTGAGATTTACAGGTGTGAGCCACTGCGCCTGGCCCCCCTTTATCTTTCACAGGCATTTCCCAATAAATTTATTTCCTTTCTAATTCCTGTTGATAAATGCTTCATGGAGCACCCAAACTGGCATAGTTTATGATTTCTGATGTTCTATTCTATTCCGTTACTGTGAAAGGAGACCTGGTTTTCCATCACATTCTCCCCTAAGTGAGAACTCTGGGGAAGACACACTGACTGCTAGATTTTGCTTAGGATGTGCAAGCAACGTATGTCTGTCAGGCTTTGTCTAATCTGTGTTCTAGAATAAGGGGAGCTTATTCGAGAATGTCAACTTCCAAGATTGGACGTTTTTACTTTCTCTAAAATATTTCATTTTAGAGAAATGAAGTATTTTTTTTTTTCTTAAAATAAAATTATCTGGTGTTTTCCCTAAGGGCAAATGCCAGGAGCATATGCTCTATATGTTTTGCCTCGGGTGGGGTTGGGGTTAAATCCAGGGAGCATATACCCCTGGTTGAGGGCCAGGCGTATGCTCTCTGGAAGGTTATGTTTTATTTGAAGCCATTGTTAGAAATACAGCATTCCCATGAATTGTCTCCTTTTAACCTCTCTTCTCATTCTTGTCCTCCTTTTCACCTAAGCCCTAAGTGAGCCTGATGCTCTGTGGTTACAATCCCACCCTTGGACAATGCCCGCCATCAAGTATTCCTTGTTGTCACTTGTCATCCTCATCCTATACTTTTTCTATCACAGAAATGTGCTGGGACTTTTCACGCATTTATGACCTCCCCACGCTCCATGCCATTCTTCTCCTTGACGTTGTATGTTTGTTTCAATGTTTACTTCAGAGAGGTCTTGGGGGCTATGGACTTCAATTCCATTAGCCACATCACAGTTTTCAACAAGAATCTCCTGACTGAAATGTACTGAAATGGAAGAGAAAGTCCTCTCACCAGAATTGAGGAATGTCAAGGCTGGAAGGTATCTTAGAGATCATCTAATCCAGTTCTTGCTTCAGAAACGATTCGGGGAAGCAAGTGAAGTGACTTGGACTTTACCTATGGTAATACTGTCTCCCCACCCTCAACACTGCCCAGCTGGCATTTCTGTAGCCCCAACACCTCCCCCACACTGTGCCTTGGTGAGTCTTCACCAAGGAACGCTGCATTTTGATAAGCCTCAGTAATCAAGAGCAGCCTCTGCCCATAAATACACCTGCCCTGCTCCTGCCTGGGGTGATTCCCTCCGACTTGCGTCTGCTTCTCGCCAGCAGCCCCAGCATTATGCAGAGACTTGTGCTGCTATTAGCCATTTCTCTTCTACTCTATCAAGATCTTCCAGGTAAAAAGGGACTCTCAGCTGGAAATATACACAGTTGCTGGGGATGACAGGGGGAGAAGAAAAACATTTGATTTAGAAAATAAATCCTGAAGGATGGAGTAACCTTCTTCAATCTCAGCCTTTTTTCTCTTTGCTTTCATTGGGTCCATTAGTAAAATGCAGTATGTGGCAATCCTTGTATGCACCTTACAGCCATGAGGCTTACTAGCTCAAGGAGGAAAAAAGAAACGTAGGGATCAGGAGTCCTAGATGTCCTTGGCACCCTGGCCACACACGGTAACAATTCCTCATGGAATCCTCAGCAGTGAGGACTCACTAGCCATGCTTGTTCCATTGCAGGGCAGCAGCAATTATTCATTGTTGATTTTGTAGAATAAGATGCCTTCTCCCATCCTCCTCCTTCTGAACAGCTTTACTCTGCACAGAAAGGGCGCCTACTCATCCTCCTAAATTTTGCAACTTTTCATATCAAGTCAGATGATTAGGATTAAAGGGGATGCAGTGATTTCAGTAGGCAAGAACGTAATTTACTGACAACACAAATAGCAGGTGCCTTTGAACTCTGCTCAGGAAATTTTAGACTGAGATGTCAGCAATCTTCTGACTCCTACGTTAATCTATGTCCCCAGAAGCATGTATTTCTTAATATATTTGCAATGGATATGAGTGAGCACCTAATCTAATTCCCTTCTTTTACAAGCTGAGCAGCATTCTCTATAGTACAGTGAGAGAAAATAAGATTTTTAGAGTTGCTTAACAAGTCTAGCAGTGCTGGGACGAAACCAATTGTTTTGACTCGTAGAAGCCATCGGATCTTCTCTTCCAAGCTGCTCAGTCAATTTTATGGGGCTTTGACAGACACCCAGCACCCATCTTTTTACCCTTCCAGGCTGTGCCTCCACTGTGATTCAGATGGGTTAATGATTTTTTTTCAGAGGGTACCTGTTTAGGTTAACTCTTCCTTTTTCTTTCTTCCCGTGTCATTTCCCAAAGACACTTCTGTGAAATTCTGCTATGAGCATGTTCCAGGTCTGTTAAAATATGATAGCAATTTATCAAAGAACAGGTTTTCTTCAACCTTTGATCCCAAGACAAAGAACTTGGGATGGAAAGCCTGGGTCAGGGATCCCTCCAGATCCCGAAGAATGCACCGCAGAGCTGGCTGCCATTATCCACACTTGGCTGCTGAGGGCTGGGTCAGACTGTCCTCTGCAGTTGAATTCTGAGAAAGACCATTAGCAGGAAGAGGATTAGGGAGGGAAGTGGCAGAAGTGGGTGAGGGTGAATGACATGCGCTGCCTGCCTCTTCTCCTGCCACCCCTGCTTTGGGTAAGTTTGGCTGTCACACACTGTCAGCCCCTCAGATACCCACAGGGACTGGGGATGGGTGCTGTCAACCAAAAATAAAATTCTAAGCCCCCTCCCCAACCATCTAAATGGACTCCCTCCTCAGCCAGGGCTCTTAAAATTTAATCTGAAAGACTGCTTCAGGCCATGAAAGGAAGTGGGGGTTGGACATGCCTCATTACACTTTCCATCATGAACATCAACACAGACTTTAAGTGTGATAAGAAACATTTTACAGCCTGTTCTCTCTGAAGCCTGCTAGCTAAAAGCATCAACTGCATGATACAACTTTGGCCTCCACAATACAACCTCTTGTCGCAACCCAAACATTCCTGTCTATTGATCCCAGGTCTTTAGACAAACTCAATCAATTGTCAACCAGAAAATGTTTAAATTTACCTATAGCCTGGAAGGCCACCTGCCACACACTCCCACTGCACCCCCACAGGCCCCCCGCCACCCCCACTTTGAATTGTCCCACCTTTCTGGACCAAACCAATGTAAATCAGCCAGGTGTAGTGGCTCACACCTGTAATCTCAGCATTTTGGGAGGCTGAGGTCTGCAGATCACTTGAGGTCAGGAGTTCGAGACTGGCCTGGCCAACACGGTGAAACCTCGTCTCTACTAAAAATACAAAAATTAGCTGGGTGTGGTGGTGCATGTCTGTAATTCCAGCTGCTCAGGAGGCGGAGGCAGGAGAATCGCTTGAACCCAAGAGGTGGAGGTTGCAGTGAGCTGAGATCGTGCCATTGCACTCTACCCTAGGCGACAGAGCAAGACTGTGTCTCAAAAAAAACCAAACAAACAAACAAACAAACAAAAAAAACAAAGCAAATCTTACACGTATTGATTGATGTATTATGTCTCCCTAAAATGTATAAAACCAAGCAAGCTGTATCACAACCACCTTGGGCACATGTCCTCAGGACCTCCTGAGGTTGTGTCACAGGTGTGTCCTCAACCTTGACAAAATAAACTTTCTACATTAACTAAGACCTGAGACCTGCCTAAGATTTTCTGGGTCTGTAGAGCAGAGGAGGAAAATTGCTTATGCAAGAAAGAAACTAGTGTAGTGTAGTCTACCCTGGAATGTATTTATTGCTTAGGAAATGTTTATTACTCAGCCTTAGTGTATGGACTGCATTCTCCCTTTTGCATTCTGTTTACTGAGACTGTAAGACATACCAACTAGGTTTCTGTTCCAGCTTTGACACATAAGTTGCTGTGTGACGTCAGATTAGTCACTTTCCTTCTCTGAGCCTTCATTCCCATCTCTAAATAGATGGCCTGTGAGGGCTTGTTTGAAACTGACAGTCTAACATTTTAAAGGTTGGGTTCTCTTCCTAGTCTATTCTCCTTCTCCCCTAACGCTAAGCTTCGTTTTCCCTGAGCAAGCATGCTGTCCTCTTTTTCCTCCTCTAACTCCAGGTTGTAAAGCGACCTGCCACAGATATGTCAGAAGGCACATATCTGCTACTCAACCTCCACCTACTCCCTCAGCATGATACACACTGCAGCCCACCTCACTCCTTTCTTCATTGCCTTGTACTGTGACCACAGGGGCTTGCTTTTGAATGAAGCCTACAGCAAAACAGTCTTTCCTCATCACCCGCTGTGGGGCCATTCCAAATATTAACCCCTTCAATATCCTATCCAGCACATGAATTGGTCAAACTGCCTTTTAGTCCTCACCTACATCCTGGACAAAGAACCTTGATACCTAAGCATCAGAAACAGGAGGCTTCTCTTTACCAGAACAAATGAAAGACATAAAACCCTGGTGCGAGGATTAGCAGCCCGTTTCTGCTTTGTAGAAAAGGAACAGATGCAACAGGGGAGAAGGACTTAAGGCTAAGATGAAATTAGGACTCTTGGGCCCCGACCTCTGCAAAGAGGTCCATTTGCAGCCCTGACTCTCCTCTCCCCAGGGTTCTTCTGACACCCTCTCCCAAGCCTGGCTCCTGCTGAGTTTGCTAGAGAACCTCTAGCAAAGCTCTCTCCAGCGAGACTCTCTCGGTCCACCTTACGCTGTCCTCCCTACCATCAGCCTTGCTTCTGGGTTTTCCTGATATCTCTGTAAGATCCTATCAGTGTGGCATGTGAGATAATGAGTTTTACAAAGCTGCTTTCAGCCTCAGAGAGCGCACCCTGAGACTGAGAAGCTAAGTCCATGTCTCCTGAAAACTGCTCTGGGCCAACGGCCGAACAATCAGGATTCTGCTCCTTTCTAGTTTCCTCCTCTCTACTTGCAACCACTCTAGTTTATTCTGGTCTAGTCTATCCAATCATTTACTCACCACGTCCTTATTGAGAACAGGCTATGTTCCTGGTAGCAGTTACACAATGGTAAGCAACATAAACATGGGCCTCATTGTCAGGGAGCTCATAGTTCGAATGAGAATAGCAAATAACAAAATATACATACATATATACATATCTATATCTATGTCTATGTTTGTATGTATCTCTCTCTATATATGTGTATATATATATACCTATATAGATACATAGATATATAACTACAACTTGCGATAGGTGATATAAAAGAATAACAAATGCATAGGGAGAAAAATACTTTTGGGGCATTTGAATACACGAAGAGGACAGAGAAAGATTTGCCCAATATTGGGAACTTAAGGTTGAGACATAAAAGTTCAAAGAATTCACTTATGGGAAGGAAGAAAAACCTTCCAGGCAGAGGGGACAG
Source organism: Homo sapiens (assembly GCF_000001405.40). NCBI lineage: Eukaryota > Metazoa > Chordata > Mammalia > Primates > Hominidae > Homo > Homo sapiens. The sequence continues at coordinate 7,470,955 of NC_000008.11, read as the reverse complement.
TGCACGTGAAGGTACCAGGATAGCAAAGAGTAAGCTCACACGGAACAGAAGGGAAGCCGGCGAGAGTTTCATGGACAGAGTGAGGGCCACAGTGGAAAAGCATGAGTCTGAAAAAGTGGCCCAAGATCAGATCACGATTGCTTTGGAGACCAAGTAAGGGGCTTGGAGAGATTTAATAAAGAAAACAATAGTAAACTTGTAGGGATTTTGAAAATAAGTGTGACATGGAATGATGTACATTTTCAAATAAAATCCATGCTGGTTGGGAATCAGAAGGTCAAGTCAATCATCTAGGAAAGTGGAGGAGGATGGGGGTCCAGGAAAACCTCTACCACCATGCACTAGCATTCTCTACCCCCCTCCGAAAACACCTTCTACCAAAGCCTTGCCTTTTGGTGCCAGTAAGCAATTAATGACAGTGCCATATCCTGTTATCTAGTGAGAAGCGAATTTGAATTGGACAGAATATGTGGTTATGGGACTGCCCGTTGCCGGAAGAAATGTCGCAGCCAAGAATACAGAATTGGAAGATGTCCCAACACCTATGCATGCTGTTTGAGAAAATGGGATGAGAGCTTACTGAATCGTACAAAACCCTGAAACGCAGTAGTGCTGGTCCCTAGAGTCGCTGGAAGTAGGACCTCAGTAGCTTTCCTTCCTGCGGCCTAGCAGCAAGGGCATCCCCATTGCAACCACGGGTTCAGTTATCAAAGAAGGTTTGCTGAGCTTCCACTCAATGCAAAGCCAATATAGGAGATTGAAGAAGAATACAGGCTGGAAAGCCGCCTCTGGTTGTGATAATGGAGAATAACAATGGGAGTTAAGCATGAGTTTCAACACTTTATAAGTTGAACAAAAAATATGTCTACCTAATCAGCTATAAACCTAAGAAAAACATCATTTTTATCCTGATAATATTGGTTTTCTTTTCCGATCGAAAGTTTTGCTCAGGAGTTATATATATCGTGTGTTAATTAAAATGTAAAGTAAATCAATGTTAAGTGTGCCTTGTTTAGAATACACTATATTTCAAAACATAGACCTCTGAGGAGAAAAACAAAAGAGGTGATGTGTGATGACAAGCTTGGGAACCCATTGGAGCTTAAGGGGTTGATCAAGTGGGCGTCTGTGGAGGGTCCCATCCAGCAGAGGGCAGCAGAGAGCAGCCCTGCGCTGAGCTGTGGATTCTTGATCCTGAAAACCTGTAAAGAAAGGTGAGTGATGAAACATTTGACCTGCCTGCCTTTCCTGTCCAAACCAAATTTTAAGGTAGTCAAAAGCTTCTCTCTTCGAAAGCAGTCCAGCTAATAAATGAGGAGTGTCGCCATTTTGCAAACACATAGGGAAACAGGGATCTAGCCAAGGAATGTCAACAGCGATTAAAATAAGCCAGAAAGACAACCTGCTACCCTGTGCTTCCTAATAGAAGGACATAATGCCACGTACGAGCTTCTAGTCATGGTAAGCAGCATCATCCTCACCTTGTCAGGGTGGAAACTGAGGCTGCATTGTGCCCTTTCTACCAAAACAGTGTAATGGCCCTTCGCGTAGGCATCGCCCAGCCTCAATATGTGGTTAGTCTTGTTTCATCCCTTGATAACTCTCTCCTAGATTATCTCAAATAAAAATAAATTATTTCAAAGGTGCCCATTTGAAAATACTCTAGAAGGTGTAACTCAGGGGGAAAGAACTCGTTTTGTAAAATAGAACCCCAATACTATTATCACCCCTGGAAAAAATCAGCATTCATTCCTAAATACAATTTAACAGCCAATCTGTATTCAAATGACCCTGAGCATTTCATAAGTGCCTTTTTAAGAGTTGATTTATTAGAATCTGGATCCTGGAAGGTCCACATACTGCCTCAGGTTGTTTACCTCCAAGGCCTCTTGCACAGATGGTGATGTGTACTTCTATTCCATCTATAAAATATTGTGCTGAAAATTGAGTGCATATCTGGGCAAGCCCCTAGGTCTCAACACTGCAATTACAGGAAAAGAAGAAACTACTGAACCACCCCCAAGGATGCCACACTCCAAATGCAACATACAGAACACGCTATAAGACAATGTGACATTTATTTTAGTCTTACATTTTTTTAGACTCTTTTCATTATTCTCATATTTTGTATTTTATAAAATACTTTTAATACATAATCTCCTTTGATCCTCACCATAAACTCTTGAATTAGGCATGGTAAGTGTCAACATCCTCACCTTTTAGGCACTGTTACTAAGGTTCAGACGGATTAGTGGTTTTCCTAACACTGGCCACGATATTAGGCAAGACCAGGCCTAGACCCCACATCTCAAGTGCAGTTCAGAGGCAGCACAGCATGGCATGTACAAATACGCAAAGCCTGGAATCCCAGCTCTACTGCTTAGCAGGGGACCTTGGGAAGGTGACTTATTTGACTTGTACCTTGATTTCCCCTCCTGCCGTATGGCCATTCTGCCCAACAACACTTACAAACAGAGATCCAACTGCTGACCCTGTGCTACAATTATTTTTTGTCTCCTTTTAAAATGTAATTTGATGCCTTGCCAAGGAGGCCATCTTGTACCTCCCAATGTAAATATAGAGCAAAGCAAGGGACTTCTACAGACTTTAATCAACGCCACCCGCCGTAGTGGCCAGAGAGACAAGAACAAGCAGAAAGCAAAGCTATCTCATTGTCAGATAACGTAGAAAGCCTTGTATCGTGGTCTTCACTGAAGAGCCCTGGGTTTGGCTTGCCGTCCTGGTGTCCTATTGTTTTGCTCTCTAAAGAGGCTGGATTCTGAAACAGCGCCCCCTCCCGCCCTCAGGTGTAATTCACATAGTCATATTAATGAACTGCTATCCTCAGCACTTAACGACATCACAAAGTCGCACTACTTTAATTTCAGGGCTTTACAGTAAAAGAACAAAGATAGATTGTTCTATTTTATTGTTTCCAGAATTGGCAGGAAATATTTAATAATTTGTACCTGATGCACTACAAACACAATCAGAAACCCAATAACATTGCTACTTATCTTCTATCTCCAAAGGATGGATACAGATCTGAAGTCTGTAGTTCATAATGAATGATCAGTAACCCTTTGAAATGTGCCTAATGAAAATCAACAGAAGGAAGGATTGTTTGGATATTTTTCACTTTTTAATTTATGCGTTTTTTATTATTTGAAGTTGAGAGAGAGAGACAGAGATTGACAGAGAAAATCTCTGGGTGAGCAAATCACCACCCAGGTCCTTATTTAAATATCCAAAAGAGCAGAACTTGAAATTTTCAACGTGCAGGAGTTAAGGTTTTCCACACTGGCATATTCTCTTTCTTGCCTCCCAAGAGACATCCCATTAAATCCTGGAAAATATGACTGTGTAAAGGGGAAACATATTGCAGCCAAGTCTGTGCTCAGAAGTTGCTATAGAATCAACTTTCTCTTGCATTACCACATGACCCAAAGAAAATTAGCCTGGAAGAGTCTCACAGGTGAGTGAAGCAGAGATTCCTATGTAGATTTTCTTATCCCTGAATTTTAGATTGTGATATGTCCACAAGGACTGCTGGGACCTCAGTTTCATAGGCACAGAGGGCCCTGTGGGTAAAAATAGGTGGGGTCCTGAGTCTTCCCAACATGACAAAGTCAAAGACAGACACATGGTGAGTGGTAGAGCTGCCTTTGTGGCTGAATCCGAGAGAAAAAAATGGTCAACCTCTGAGGACTGGGAAGGGGCTGAAATGCTTTCCAGTTATGAGAAATTACACCCAAAATAATAAAAGCATCATGGCACCGTGGAGAAAAGATACTATTCCCGTGAAAAACTACATTTCTTCTTATGTCTGTGACCACCATGAACTCCTGCTCTTCCCCAAACAAATCTGTTGCCTTTCCCTTTAACTTTGAGCACCCCTTTGTTTATTTACATGGACTCCATTCTGTTAATAGTGTCTGCAGTGCATAGCCTCCTCCAGATCTTTAGTCTTTAATTAACACATATAGACACATCGCTTTTTCACTCATCCTCCATTTCCTCTTCTTAAAATATTGGTTAGGTCTCTAAGACAGTTTTCAGTTCCAAAATGTTATGATTGTTTCGTCAGAATTGCCAACCTCGGCCAGGCAGGGTGGCTCACGCCTGTAATCCCAGCACTTTGGGAGGCAGAGGCGGGAGGATCACTTGAGGTCAGGAGTTCAAGACCAGCCTGGCCAACATGGTGAAAACCCGATCTCTACTAAAAATACAAAAATTAGCTGGGCGCGGTGGCAGGCACCTGTAATCCCAGCTACTCAGGAGGCTGAGGCAGGAGAGTCGCTTGAACCCGGGAGGCGGAGGTTGCAGTGAGCTGAGATGGCGCCGCTGCACTCCAGCTTGGGCAACTATGCCAGACTCCGTCTCAAGAAAAAGAATAGGCAATCTCAACAGATTTATTTAAACTTATAACAATACCATGTTTTTATTGCCAAAACTAAATGGTGTTTATGCCTTAGCGCTCATGAAAGGATTTCCTGTGTTCTTTCATATGCTGCCTTAAGAGCATTCTTGGGATGGCTGAAATGGCTACAGATCAAATCGACTTCTGAAAACACAATTCATTTTGTGATTCTGTGCATGAAAAAGAAACAAAATACCAAAGAATATTTTTGCACAATTCTCAAAGCTACTTCTTTAACCACGATCCAAAAGCAGTTTTCTCTCCTATCATGTAATTCTTCCTGACTGCTTTTTCCAAAGAAGACTCTAATATTTGTGTCTTTTCCATATATCAGTTATTTTCCCTAGAGGGGAATCTGTGCCTCTGTTAAATGGCATTCTAGTTGGTCTTACAGACTGGTTAGCATGTTACAATCTCAGACTTAAGAATAAGAAAATCTGCATAGGAATCTTTGCTTCGCTCTTCTGTGAGTCTCCTCCAGAGAAACTTTCACTGGGTCATTTAGTAATGCAAAAGAAGAGTCTAAATTTGATTCTGCAGAGAACTTCTGATTCCAAACTGGGCTACAATAGGGTTTTCCTTCTCGCATTCATATTTTCCAGGATTTACCAGGATGCTACTTGGGAAGCAAGAAGGAGGATGTGCCGATGTGGAAAATCTTACCCCCTGCACATGTGTGCAATTTCCAATAAGATCCTTCAGGAATATGTATTTGCAGAACTTCTTATTTGACAATAAAATCTTGATCATTTTACTTTAGCCCACCTACTTAGTCCAAACGAATCAAGATACCACATACTAAGCAGCTTAAAAAAAAAAGAATATGATTTATTGATTGAATGGACCAAAAAAAACTTGAAACAATTATTAGAATATTCTATAATGGGTTCTGCCATCCTCCCCCTCAGGATGGATGTGGCTTTTAGCAAGAGAATTATTCAAAGATTTTTTTAGGACACAGAAATCTGGCAGAAGAGGACAGGAGCTGAGAGCATTGTTGTGTTAGGACAGATGTAACATTAATTGCCTTTATTACGACTTCACCAGCTTTTGCCTGTCAAAGAGCAGAACTAGGCTTTCCCGGCTGCTCTTTTTTAAGATTGTTCTTTTCAGAAGCATGGAAGAGGGGGCTTACTTTATCTCAAGACGTAGACAAAGGAAGTGAGATCTAACTATTTTTGGCTCAGTTTCTTCATTTAAATAATTTCAAATAATTCTAACGACTTCAAAGAAGATTCCGTTACCTGGGTGGTAATTACTCAAATGCTGTTATATTTTAAGTCATGATTTTGATTAATGATTCATTACTATTAATATCTGAATGGTGGAATAGGCTTGTTTTTGTTTTCTTTCCTTTTATAGAGAAGATAAAAATATATAGAAATAAGTTACCAATATACTCCAAAATTTCCATCACTGTTATAAAAGATCCACATTCCAAGTTTAAATAATTACAAATACAACTGTAAGAAGTTGCTATTGAACTAGAGTACAAAAAATACCCAGAGTATGTAGATGAGCGAATAAATCTTCATTTAGGGTTGAGGTAGAGCAGCTGTCTACCTCCTTTCTTGACTGTCTATGTTCTTCCAACATCCAATTATCAGAATTTGATGCAGTAAGTGATTAAAGAAACTTATCATGGGCCAGTTGTCACCTATCTCCGCAGTGTTGCCCTGTGCTCTTGGAATTGGAAGACTTCCTAATTCCTTAAAGTGAAAGGATGTGAATGATGCTCCTGCTCTCCCTGACCAGCACCTCATGCTTTGCAGTGGAGAATCTGTCCTGAGACCCAAAAGATAGTGGCCTCCGCATTGTGCTGCCAGGGCAGCTGCTATGTGCAACTGTCCGCAGCTGCAAACCTTCCGCCCTTTGCTGGTGCTTCAGCGGATGCCCAGGTCTCTATTGTCATTGCTGCCTCTTTCTCCATTTGCTTCCAGCTTTCTCCAGGTAGAGAGTAAGTATTTTTATTTACACAAATGACCTAAGTTGTTTTCTCTGTCTGGATTAAAATATACATGCAAATGAGACATATGAGATAAGCACTATCTTTTCCAGACATCACTGATGTTACATTGGATGCTATGTGAATACAAAACTCTTCAACCAAAGCCTTCTTCACTTTAGTTAAGTCCAGAGCAGACTGTCTGGGTTACATGCATACCTGAGCTAATGCAGCCAAGTAAGAAACACACACTTGGTTAAAATGCTTAAAAAGATGAAGGAGAAGGGAAGACAAGTCCTCTGCTTGGATATTACTAGAGGAGAAAACCCAGACTCAAACACAGATTTTTTTTTTCTTTTTTAAAAGAATTGAATTGGACCCAGTGACATCAACAGGAGGTGTCTGGGGGTAAAGAGAATGGAAAGGGGAGAGAAAAATCAAGACAACTCAAATAAGTTAAAATAGAAAGGAGGGGGGTCCAAAGTGAGGAAGGAGAAGTGGAGGGGACCAAGAAACAGGGAGAGAGACTCAGAGAGGAGAAGAAAAAGAAAAGAACATTTTGAGCAGCCTTGGAACTCTCTGTATAACTTCAGGAAGGGATAGTTTGTAAAACCAGGTCCTACCTGTTATGTTGTGTGTCTTATGCATGATTTTTTAACACTAAAATAAAAACGCTCAGCCAACAGGATAGAATCGACATGGCAGTTTATTTATGTCCCTGTTCTCATGAACATTAGGGGGCTTTTGAGAAGCGTTTGAGGACATTGGCAACTTTATGATAGTTATGTTTGTTCTGCCCCTCCATGCCTTTCATCTTTCTGTTTCTCTCTGTTCTTCCTTATTCACCAAACCCACCCAAGGCATTCAGGCGTATTATTTACTTCCTGAAATATGTGTCTCAAGTGTTTGTTCCACCAGCAGTGGGATAGTAGCGTGTCCACATTGTCCTTTGAGAATGAGAAGTCATCCTGGAGCACAGCTCTTCCCACGCTCCGGGCCCACACACCCAGCCTCACTCCATCAAAGGAGCCCCGCTGCCTGCCCACCCACCCTGGGTGCTTTCTGGCTTGCAGTGCTCTTGGCAGACATGAGGCAACGATTGCTCCCGTCCGTCACCAGCCTTCTCCTTGTGGCCCTGCTGTTTCCAGGTAAAATGGAAAGGTGACCCGGGTCTGGGTGCCAGAATCTCTCTGCAATGGTCATCTGAGGTATGGGAGTCCAGGCTGGACAGGGAGAGATGAAGTCCTTGGGGCATGTATTCCTGGTGGAGCTTTGGGTACGAGTCTCTGAACTGGGTTCATAAATGGCACTCTGAATTGGCTGATGGCACTTGCTTCCCAGGGAAGAGTGTCCCTCCCCGACTCCATTTTCTTATCCTTTTAACATTCCCCTTTCCCTTACAGAGAAGAACATTACATTTTAGGGAATCTTAACAACTGCATTAGTGACACTTGAAATAAATTCTCTGGCTGTGCTGGCTTTGAGGAGGTGCTCAGACTCACCATTCATGGCATACATTTCTTACACTTCATTCACCTTCTCTCTCTACACATAGGTGCATACAACGCATGTGCACAAACGTGCACACACACGGAACACTAGCACCCCTCCCAACTCCCCCACCCAATCACCCATGCTCACTCACCTGGTAGAGTGTAGGTGCCTCATGCTGACGGGTCTGCCAGGCGGAGGCCTCAGAGCATCCTCAGACGTGTGTTTCCACTTGCACAGGATCGTCTCAAGCCAGACATGTGAACCACTCAGCCACTGAGGCTCTCGGAGAACTCAGGGAAAGAGCCCCTGGGCAAGGCACAAACGGGTTTCAGCTGCTACGCCACGCAGTGAAACGGGACCTCTTACCACCGCGCACCCCACCTTACCAAGGTGAGTCAGGGACCAACACGTGCAACAAGTGCATCCACTGGGGAGACGTAGAGGGAACAAATAGACGGGAAGATGTCTGTGCTGGTCGGGGTGGGTGAGCAGTCATTGTTTGGGGAAGACATGGTGCGGGTGCATTGGGCTGCCCTGCCTGTCAGGGAGACCACGGGGTCTCACAGCTTCCCCTGGGGCTGGATCATTGAGGGCCTTGTGGAACGTGGGAGTATTGAGGGGCCAAAAGGCAATTTATCTGAAGCCACACCTGTAATTGCTGGCTTCCTCCAAGAACAGGTGCCAGAGGAGACACTGGTGGAAACATGGCCTCCTGCCAGGTTGCAGCCCCATGCCCTTAGCTTTGGAGGTCGTTCCCGTTCAAGGAATTTACTGAATACCTACCTACTAAGTTTCAGGTGTCCATTGAGGTCTGGGAAATGCTTCCTGAGAATGGGGGCAGAGAATAGACTGTATTGTCAGTCTACTCAGGCAAGGAGGTAGCAGGACATGGCAAGGGACAATTGAGCCCACAGCCACTCTTCTGGACTCTTCCAGAAGGGCCAGGCTTCTGGTCAGCCCCCAAACCCCTGGGCAGGACCAGCTTCAAATCCAAAAGGGCCTGGAAGAGCCTGTAGTTTCCAAGATGCTTCTTTAATGCCAAGCTGATTGCTGACCCTAAGACAGGGAGAACTAGGTTAGCAGATCAGTGGGCAAGAGCAAGAAAGACAGGAGGGTGTTGGCAAATTGCTGTGACATCCAGCAAATAAAGTCCTGCTGAATTTGATGCCTGCAGCATCCTACCCAACCTCCCATCCCTTTCTAATTGGCCCACAGTTCCAAAGGACTCATTCATCTGGATCTCCTCCCAAGGGAAGGGAAAAAGAAAACTCAATTATTACACAACAAATATAAACAGGTGCAATAGTAGGCGTGTGTTATTTAGTCTAACAGTATTCCTGTGAGACAGGATTATTCCTTCCTTTGGTTAAAGGAGATTTAGTGGGGCAGAGCTATATATCTGGAGTTGATGTTTTAGTTTGGAACTTGAAGCTATTAACTATGGAAAGCTGTTTCATATCCATGCCACCCCCACCCTGTCCCTCACGGCTCAAATGACCACTGTTTGATTCTGGAGATGGTCTTAAGAAGCTAATGTTGGATTTTTTCTTTTTTTAATGCAGAACCTGCATCAGATTTAAAAGTTGTTGACTGCAGGAGAAGTGAAGGCTTCTGCCAAGAATACTGTAATTATATGGAAACACAAGTAGGCTACTGCTCTAAAAAGAAAGACGCCTGCTGTTTACATTAAAACTGATGTTGCTGATATAGAAACAAAGCTCTGCCACTTACCTGTTCTCCGGGGCCACGTTGTCCAATCAGGTGCAGGTTTTTTGCGGAAGTGTCTGAGCAGCAGGGAGCGGAGATATTGCCACTTGTGCCAGACAGTTCAAATATTTTATTGTGGCAAGATAAATGACAAAAATGCTACCTGTGATCTTACAGAAGATGACTTAGCTTGACATGAACAGAATTTTCAAAATCACACAATTTGTGCTAGTAAATGTGGATATCATAAACTTTTATTAGAAAGAATTAAAATAATTTGTTCTTTTATTTAAAAACTATTTTTTGAATACCTACTTCTATTCTAGGTACTGTGCAATGGAGTCCATTCTATTCTAAGTACTGTGAAATGTAGTTGAGGTGTCAGGTGTGTGGTCAAACCCATTCTCCATCAGCCCCATCATCTCCTACCTGCAGGCCAGTTCGAAGCCCTGTTCTCTAGCAGCAGCTGAGAGAGTGTGCAGGCAAATGCCTTCTGGGGAGATACTGAGAGCTGGGAGTTACTGCCTGTTCTCTTTGTGCTAAACCTGGAAGAATACCCTCTGGAAGTCCTCTTGTGCCCCTTTAAAACTACCCATTTGTTCTCTGTGGCCTTAGAAGACACAAAATGCAGAGACCCATTTATAACCCGATGGTGCTGTGCAATTCCAGGCTTTTGGTGTCCTGAACAAAGAACTGGATGTGATACTCAGACAGCAAAGCAAGCAGCAAAAGTGTGTGAAGCGCAGTATTACATTCCCGGAGAGGGGAGAGTGGGCTGACTTCTGCCAAATGAGATTAGCATGGCTTCGGTGTACCTTGGGTCTTTTTATGTGTTTTTTCCCCTTCTCTTCGCAAGGCTGCCTGATCTTTTGCCGGTGCCTGCCTTTTGATAGATAGGTGTGTTGCTTAGTTACTTTAGCCTGTGCGGGCTTGTGAATTGTCTCCATCCCATAATTTTAACTACATGCGTGATAGGTAGTCCATATGCATGAGCTTTAATGAGCTGATTATCATACAGCATCCTGTTAAGGATACTTTTTCTCTTTAATGCGCATGCCTATCTCTGAAGAGCTGCCCCTTCCTGGTTTGATCTGGATCTTGCTGGCCATGGGGTCCTTGCTCTCTTCTTTATCTCACTTTTTCTTTTGGCTGCTTCACTTCTGCCTTTTATCTTGCTTCTTGCTCACCCACCCCTTCACCTTGCTTCTGTTTCTGCTTTTATTCACTCTATCCTTTATCCAACTTCCAATTTCCTCTGCAATTCTCCTGCCTCACATTAACTTCTAGAGATAAGTGATTTAGGAGCCAGTCCCCCAGGTGGCAGCTATAAAACTGTGCTTGAAGTATTCTCCTTCAAGGGAGAAGCTGGAGACCTGGATTTCTTGCTGGAGCTAGTCGAGAGGAGCAGGTGCAGTGCCTACCTATACCTCTGTTCAGGCTCCCACAGGTCTACTGTTCACCCTGCCCCTTTGGCTCCCAGATACAGACCCAGAAGTCAACCCTCAGGCAGCAGATGGGAAAATGGGTAGATAAACCCCTTGCAGGTAGAAACCGGGAGGTGGGCATTTACCTGCCTGCTCTGGCCTGAGCCCAGGGAGAGAGCTGCCAAAAGTGCTTGCAAATCTGTGTCCCACCATCTCTTTGGTGTCTGTGGTTTAGGGAGACCTGCAGATGCCCAGCTCTATCAACCCTGAGCTGGGTGATTTAGGAGCCAAACCCCTGGGTGGGAAGCATAAAGGTCAGGGTACTATATGTGTGGTCCAAACCCTTCACTCCTCAGGGAGAAGCTAGGAGTTGGGACTTCCTTACCAATTAATTGTAAGGTGTTATGTCTGGGATAGGGATTGTGCGGGGAGTGTGTCTCAGCTCTTCCCACCTGTTTTCACATGAATATTTTCTCAGTTGCTTGATGTGTAGTAGTCTTTCAATTAGTCCATGGTTTTCTCTCAGAAAGAACCGATCTGTGTGTTGATATTTCTTTGGTATATCCGTGGAAGGAAGGAAAGGCTGGAGCCTCTTAGTCCACCATCTTGCAGATATCAGTCTGGCACACCCTTGATTACTGTGTAGTTGAGCGTTTTTTCTTTTGTTTATTGATCATTTTTTCTCTTCTGTAAAATTTAATAGTTTTACTGGGTTACTACTTTATTCTCTTTTTTTTTTTTTTTTTTGAGACAGAGTTTCACCCTTGTTGCCCAGGCTGGAGTGCAATGGTGCGATTTTGGCTCACCACCACCTCCACCTCCCGGGTTCAAGCGATTCTCCCAGGTTCAAGCAATTCTCCTGCCTCAGCCTTCCTAAGTAGCTGGGATTACAGGTGTCTACCACCATGCCCGGCTAATTTTGTATTTTTAGTAGAGACGAGGTTTCTCCATGTTGATCAGGCTGGTCTCAAACTCCCGACCTCAGGTGATCTGTCCGCGTCGGCCTCCCGAAGTGCTGGAATTACAGGCGTGAGCCACCGCGCCCGGCCAGGTTACCGCTTTATTCTTATCCATGTACATGTGCTCCTTTTATATCTAACCTTACATATTCTTTCCTCCATCAATTATCTTCCCTTTCTCTGGAATGCCTCCTGCTTAAACCCCAGTTATCCTTGAAATATCCTCTCATTATCTTTCAACCATAATTTTCATGCTTTTCCCTTTTGTTCTCTACTTTGCAGATATTTATTTTTATATCTGTAGAGCCCTTCTATTTTTTTTTTTTTTTTTTACTATTTTTGGATTTTGAAGTTCAGTTATTAGATTTTTAATTATTTTTAAATAGTCTTATATTTGCAAATAGTCCCTTTCTTTCTCAACGTGTGACTTTCTCATGGGATCTAATTCTCATTTTGCTGACCACAGTTTCTCAAATCTCATTAGGAATAAATACATATTGATTGTTTTAAAACTGCATTTTTCCATTGAAATCGCACATATTCCAGTTCAGTTAAGTCTCTTCCAGTTTCTAAAAGTGCTGACTTCACTTCTGCTAGTTTTACACTGACCGCTAACATCTGCTTGCTCATGCAGACCAGCTGTGCAGGATTGCTTTGGTAGGGTAAGCAAGCGAGTGAGAGGTGGCAAAGAGTGAATGTGGGTAGAATCTGCTGTTTGTCTTAAACTTTTCTGTAGGGTATCTCTACTTAAAAGAAGTTTCATGGATGTCTTTAATAAATAAATAGGGAAGAAATAATGATATTTGCCTAATCTGTCCATAAAATCTTCATCAGTGATCATTATTTTAGGCTCAAGTTAATTAATAATAAACTGCACATCACAAAACTTTGAGCTCATTATTCTCTTTGCAGCTTTCTTTAATCCCCATAAATTAAAACTTCCTGCAAATATTGTTATGTATTAGATTGCTACAAAAGTAATTGTGGTTTTTGCCATTGAAAATAACGGTCAAAACCGCAATTACTTTTGCACCAACCTAAATATAAGCATCTGGGTAAGAATCAGGATCCTGGGGCTCAGCATAGGAAAGAAACTAGGTACACAGAGCCCTTTACAGAATGCCACCTTTCCAGGCTTTTTTTCTGAACAAAGATGTTCCTTAATCAACTTATGTATGGGCACACTCACACGGGGCTGATACCCACGGATAATGAAGGTATATGAAACTAGTCCTCACATACAAAACCAGAAGCACTGGTAACTTAAATAACCTCTTTGTAAAGCAATCTTAATATGTATGTAAGATATAAAATACTCGTTCTCATTGTTTCAGTTATTCTGCTCAGAAATTATCCTGGGAAATAAAAAAATACTTTGAGAAACCAAAAAAAACTCTAAAAAGTTCAAAATGGAGCACTATATTAGCAAACTACAATAAATCTACTCAGAGATATTACATATTCCTTAGGTATAATAAATATAACACAGTGAAAAACCATCAAAATGCATAACATTTTCAAAATACTTACATGTCCTAAAAATTATGATACCAATGTTCACATATTTGATATAAAATTAACTGTGAAAAGTATGCTTAAAAACAATAAAGTTTCTAATGTTAAAATTATTGGTGATTTTTAGATATTTGCACCTTTAAAAATACCATCAAGTTATTGCATTACTCTTAAATGTTAAATATACATTTGTAAGAACAAAATTAATGTGCCTAAAAATAAACATATATATGTATATACAAAGATATCACTTAATTATAAGCAAAGACATTCTGTTGTAGACTTAAGTTGCATCCAGAAACTCACAGAGTTAACATAAGAAAGCGCTTCCTGGGCAGTAAGATGATAAGACTCCTTGTTTGCATAGCGGTGAGTAAAAATAAATAAAAATTTTATAAAAAGATGATATGACATTTAAAGCATGTTACCCAGGGAGACTTTGGAGCCTACCTGGGATTCATAAAAAACAGGTAGAAACTGATTTTTTTTTCCTCTCATTCTTTGATATTATAATATTTGCAGTGCTGGGTTGTGGACAAGGGGAGGGAGAGCATTAGGACAAATACTTAATGTATGTGGGGCTTAGAATATAGATGACGGGTTGATGGGTGCAGAAAACCACCATGGCACATGCATATCTATGTAACAAACCTGCACGTTCTGCACATGTATCCCAGAACTTAAAGTAAAATAAAATAAAAATAAATAAAAATTACAGACGTTAAAAAAACAAATGTGCCATCCTGCTTGGAGACAACTGAATAAATATAATGGGTTCTCAAGGTCAGTCCTGAGCCACCAATTCCGTTAGTTATGCATTCTTTGTTCTCACAGCAGCTTTTTAGTACAGGCCCCTGAGCCCTGATGAGGTTTTATGGCCACCAGTTTTACGCAGTGGGAAGAGGTCCTTAGACAGAAGCTTGCTGGAGGCTGTCTCAGAACGCACTGCAGCACACCTGACTGCCTTGTATTCCACTCTGCACGCCCACCTTCCGCGCAGCATCCTTCCCTCCCCTGCACCCCAGCAGCTTTTCCCGGGATTTGATCCTTCTGACTCATCCATTGCTCAGAGAGTCCCCATCATCAGGAAGCCTGTCTTCTCTTCAATGCCTGAGGTTTGCGGGGCAAGGAACAGGTGGGCAGGCTCAGTCAATTCCACCCCATTGCACCTCGTGTGACATAAATAATGGGCGCTTCTAATCTTTTCTTCCTGTCCCTACATGTGGTCGTCACCGCAACTCTGCAGGCTTGACCTGCTCTCACCTGGCTTATTTTTACCTCTTTGGGTCATGGGAAATGACCTTCTGCACCCAGGGAATCTCCCTTAGTTGATAAGACCAAAATGGAAATAAATAATAAGACCAAAATGGAAAGTTAGTATGCCTTCATAAAGAGAGATTAAATTCATGAACACAAACCCTGCCTCTTTCTTGAAAACCCAAAATACATAAATAAATAAAACCTCCGGAGCAAGAGGAGTAACATTAGCATTGTCCATGAGGATAAAAAAGTGGGGAGAAACCCCAGCTGACTTTTTCATCATCCCAAAAGGAGACACCAGTAAGCAGCCACTGGATTTGCCAGCTGTGCACATTTCATATATATGGAATCATACAATATGTGGTATTTTGTGCCTAGCTTATTTTACTTAATGTGAGATTTTCAAAGTTCCTCCATGTTGGAGAATGTGGCATTACTTCTTTTCCTTTTGTGACTAAATAATATTGCATTGTATGGATGCGCCACACTTTGCTTATACATTCATCAACTGATGCACATTTGCATTGCTTCCACCGTTGACACTTGTGACTAATTCTGCTATGAACACTACACTCATGTACAGGTTGCTGTTTGAACACCTATTTTCACCGCTTGTATGTATACACCTAGGAGTTGAATTGCTAGGCCATATTGGTAACTCATATTGTTTAACTTTCTGAGGAACTGCCAGACTTTTCCACAGCAGCTGCACCACTGTACATTCCCAGCAGCAACATATGAAGGTTACAATGTCTCCACATTCTCACCAACACTTGCTGTTTTCAAAAATTTTGTTTTGTTTTGTTTCATTTTGAGACAGAGTCTCGCTCTGGCGCCCAGGCTGGAGTGCAGTGGCCCGATCTCAGCTCACTGCAACTTCCGCCTCCCGGGTTCAAGCGATTCTCCTGCCTCAGCCTCCTGAGTAGCTGGGATTACAGGCACCCACCAGCATGCCTAGCTAATTGCCCGGCTAATTTTTGTATTTTTAGTAGAGATGGGGTTTCACCATATTGGCCAGGCTGGTCTCGAACTCCTGACCTTGTGATCCACCCGCCTTGGCCTCCCAAAGTGCTGGGATTACAGGTGTGAGCCACTGCTTCTGAAGTTTTATTTTTTTTATGACTGTCCTAGTAGATGTGAAGTGATATTTCATTGTGGTTTTGATTTGCATGTTTCTAATGACTAATGATATTGAGCATCTTTCGTGTGCTTGCTGGTCATTTGAATTTCTTCTTTGGAAAAATCTATTTAAGTCCTTTGTCCATTTTTAAGTGTGTTGTTTGTCTTTTTGTTGTTGAATTGTATCAATATTTTTTAAAATATAGAAACATTTTTTCTACTATCAAATGTTTGCAAACCCAAAGTTATCTTTCCTCTCTTCTCCTTACACTCTTCTTTTCCATTCATGAGTATGATGCACATCAGAATAATTAGCTTGTGTGTTGGCACAAATTGAACTCTATTTCCTTTCAACTCTGCAATTATATGAACCTATGAACCTATAACCAGATATTAACAAAATTAGCCAATAAGCGTGATTTTCTAGTTTGATTTCTTTGAAATGATATGCCTTATTCTTCAGAATTATCCACAAAATAGTTCCGTGGGGATTGCTTTCTGGGTCTGTGATTTGGAAATGGATTCAAGTCTGGAGGAGAAGGTACATGATAAAATTTAATACTATTAATTTATTTCTCCCCCAAATGAATTTATTTTCCAACATAGTTTATTGTTTCCAAACTATACAGAAATTTTCTAAACTATAATTTCACAATGATTTGATTAGTAACTGTACTGCTAGAAAAAATATGCCATCCACATTTACCTTGGATCCTTTCCAAATAACGTGTAGTATAAATAGAAAGAATGAATGTAAAGTATAAAATATGCATTTTATTGTTTTATCTATAAGTCATCTTAGTGACTTTTAAAAAATGACTCAAATTTTTGAATATCCACACTCAGTGTTTTTATCAAACAATGGTTCATGTATCGTACAGCCACTTTGTCCATGCACAGGATACATTCAGAATTGTCATTATTCCTTGGGACCCTTGAACTTAGGGTATCATCTTGGTGTGGAAGCCAATTTCCCTAAGGGGCAAATGAAATTGCTTTTCTTTCTTTCTTTCTTTTTTTTTTTTTTTTTGAGAGATTTCAGAGATGTCTTCAGAACAAATGCTCCACAGAGAAAGAATTTCACATTTTAATCGATTTCTTAAAGTACTGAGTTGGACCCTCACAAATATTCATAACTATTTTACAATTACTTAGTACATAGCTAACATTTAAGGTAACTTTTTTTTTTCTCTCTTTTTTTTTGGTGGAGGGTCAAAAGCAGCTTGGAGTGCCCAATTTTCCCTAAAGTCTTAACTTCAAAGGTGATTTTGCAAGGTACAGAAAGGTCTGTGAGTCAGAGAGTCCCTGCCAGGGCACATTGTCCTGCTTAATCTCTCCAGAGGTGGAAAGTTCAAAATGAACACCCAGCCCCTGCCTCTTTGAGATGCTCACACTGTTCACCCATGCAGAAAGTCCAAGACCACTGCTTGATGTCTCTTTTTCAAAATCCATGTCTAGGTAAGACTCATGGTGAGATATGGTTGTTGTAGACTGGTTAAATAACGCAGAAGACAGCTTGAAGAAAATATGATGTGTCTAATCTGAAGAATAACAAGGCTCTGCAAGCTATAACAAGTAATATAGGCAAGTCCAGAATGATATCTAGAGTCTGCTATTGCTTACATAAAAATGGGGTATGGATTCATCTCTGCTTCCATACACATGGGACACCTCTGGAAGGATTAATAAGAAGCTAACAGCAATTGTTATGAAGCCCAGGGGGATAGGAGAGAAGACATCCTTCTCACTTGCCCCTTTTGCTTAAGAGAATTTTAAGGGAAATAAATCTAAGTGATCCTGGGACTAAAATCAAATAGGGGCAAAATGTGCAGATTTATCCACTGTGTGTTTTAATACCACACATTATATAAACCCACACACAAAAATATCGTGTCCTTGCAGATTCTGTTTTCACAACTCCCAGCACCCCAGAGCCCACAAACCTCCCTCCAGCCCAGGATGACACAGCCCTGTGGTTGCCGGGGGCTCTCTGCATCCCTCACTAGACTGTCACCTCCGACAGCGGATAACTTCATCAAATGAGAGAAGAGCATGTCCTCTTCCTCCAAAGTAGACAATATCCTGGCTCTTCATAAATAGGTGAATTTTGCCAAATTTTTGGAATAATGTGGTACGTTGTCTCTGTTTTTTTTTTTCTTTCAGCATAGCGTTTGTGAGGTTCATCCACGTTGTTGTACACATCTTCTTGTTTTTCTATTCTTGTTGTGGTGTGGAAATACATTGTGTTTTGTTGTTGTCATAATACACTATTTGGTTGCATTCTCTTGGCTGCAAGGAAATGTGCTACAATGAACGTTCGTGCACATGTCTCCTAATGCACGTGGGCCTATGTTTCTGTTGGTAGATGGGAGTCATGTTGCTGGGAAATAAGCTAATTATCTGCTCAACTGTGGTGGACACCGCAGCTTTCTGAAGGCAGAAAATATATCTTTACACAACCATGTCTCTAGCACCTAGCACAGGGCTTGGCACTAAGTAGCCACACCTCAATGTTGGTTCACTTTCCTCTTCAATATCCGTATATGGAATTATTGGTTGATCCCTGCTTCTCTGAATATCAGGAAGCCAGTCTATTTTTAGGCAGAAAGGGAAGAGTAGTCAGTAACCTTCTGCCCACAGCCTTACTCAGTAGAGCAGATAAATATGCTCATGCTGATCAGTATTCCCAAAAACCTATAAATGTCCCATTTTGTGCCTTCTCCGCTCCATTTCATTCCATCATTCATCATATTTGTGCTCCTTCACGGGAGGGCAGGGAGGTTCAACGGACCTTAAAACATGAAGGTCTTTTTTCTGTTTGCTGTTCTCTTTTGTTTGGTCCAAACAAACTCAGGTAAATGTCTCCTGGTTAGCCCTGGGGAAGGTAGTGCAGGAATTCCATTTATGTGTGTGTCTGTATGGACAGTGTGTAGATGTGTCTGTATGTTGTTAGTGGATGCAGGTGGGCCACTGTGGGGCTCAGTCTTGGACAATTTTGATCTCCCCTGTGAAGTTTTTTAAAAGCTAAATAAGTGTTATAAAGGTCTTGACACAAGACAAAGGGGTATGCTTGCTCTGATACAAGTGGCAAGCACTCACTGCAGTCTGAGAAAAGTTTTCAGAAGGAAGTTATAGTCATATGAATGTCAGAGCTGGAAGGGAATCAGAGATTGTCTATAGCAGCCCCATGCTCTACAAAAAGAAAACCAAAGTCCAGAGAAAGTGTTAATTTACCATGGTGCAATGAATCTTTATGGTCATAGTAGGTCTTCAAACTTATAATATTCCCCCTGCTTGCACATAGAACACATTTTACAGATGGGCAAGCTGAAGTGTAACCAGTTAAATGAGTTGTCTAAGGAGACATAATGAGATATTGGAAGAAGTAAGACCAGAATCCAGGTCTCCACGCTTCCAGGCTGGGGGCTCTTCTGTCTTGACTAAAGGTGGACCCCCCACCTTCTTCACTTTGCTGTCTCCTCCAAGCTGTGACAGGGCTGAGATGATACAGAATCAGGGATTAGACCCCGTTTGGAGGTTGGATGTTGTGCAAGAGTGTTTTCCTAATCACGCAAGACCAACACTGTGCTGTTGTTGTTGCTGCTGTTGTTGCTGCTGTTTAAAGTCATCGTACGTAGCATTTGCAGATCTGACATAAGTAAGATCTTTCTTTCAACCATCTCTTGCCCAATGTCCTGTTGTTATAAAAATTTAGGTGGTCATTTGTGACTTACAAGCCCACAGGTCCTGGTGAGGAGAGAGGTTTTATTTTCTCCTTTTCGTTGTAGGACATAAAACTAAAAATTGGGCCATAAGTTGAGAATGGGTTAATACCTTTAATTTCCTTAGAGACCAAGACCTGTCCTATTCTGGACCACTTCTGTTTTCCAAAACTCCCTTTGTTTCCTTCTAGTGCACATCTCTCACCGGGAGGCTCGAGGACCCTCATTTAGGATCTGTGTGGACTTTTTAGGGCCTAGATGGGCCAGGTGAGCATTCATAAAACACACCCTATCATCCTCCTGGCAACATTTCAGATATAAATTATCGTTCCTGTTTTAAAGCTAAGAGGCCAAAGTTCGGTTAAACTGGGGCTTGTCCAAAAGTACTTAGCCTTGTCAGAATATATAACCCTTGGCAGCGGGCTGGGGTCATCTTCTATTCTCTGCACTATATGAGTTAAATGTCAACTCTCTTCTGTTGTATCCATAGGGGATGTTCCACCGGGAATTAGAAATACCATCTGCCATATGCAGCAAGGGATCTGCAGACTTTTTTTCTGCCATTCTGGTGAGAAAAAGCGTGACATTTGCTCTGATCCCTGGAATAGGTGTTGCGTATCAAATACAGATGAAGAAGGAAAAGAGAAACCAGAGATGGATGGCAGATCTGGGATCTAAAATATAAGCTCCCGGAAGGCAGGGATGTTGAAGTATCCCAAGGGCTTAAAGGAATGTGTGGCTTATAGTAGGTGTTCAATAAATATTTGTTGAATGAATTTAGCACCAAAGGTGAAGAGCTGATAAAAGACATTTTTTTAACTTCCTTACTTCTCCATGTACTGCCTTTTCAAAGGGGTCTCAGAATTTTGTGATATTCCACTTTCCTTTCCTAGTCAAGGGAATATCTCTTAAGTATCTGGAGATGGGAACTGACTAGAAACCGAGCTCCAAACTGATTTTCAGAGAGACATAAATGCAACCAATCTGCTGCTCTGTTTTCCTTCTGATGACATCTTTCTTACCACACCCAGCACTAGCCTTCTCCTGCTTATTCACCCAGATGGTAATGCACCTTATCCCTTTTCCCTTTATGCCTCCTCAAGCAATAACACCAACAGGTCACATTTCAGTAGGATAGTGTTGTTTTCAAGCATTTACTCTTACGCTATTTCAATTTATTAATACAACAAGCTGATAGTGTGTATAATAGGGGGTAAGCAGGTCCATTTTAGGAATGAAAGAAAAATGAAAATCATCAGGTGAAGCACATTTCCCCCAGGCTAGCAATTCATAAATGGCATTCTCAGTATGCCTATCAGTCAGCATTCATTCTTCTATGATCCTTCTAAAAAACATATTTCTGTGCAATTGGAGCAAGGCAGGGCCCCTGTTCATGGAGATTCCTGAATGCTTAGCTGCCTTTTGCCTTTCTCTGGATCCTGCTTGAATTTGTTGAATACTAATTCCAATAGTAGTGAACACCAATTACAAGTAAGGAATTTAAAAAATAATAAAAACAAACGTGCTGAGAGATAGAGACCACATGCCAAGCTTTTTCCTGACTGACAGGTGGCTTGGGAAGATGCTCTGTGTTCCTGTTTCTGTCGCTGCCTGAGTCCAGTGTGCTTCTGAATGAGCTGAGGTGCTGTAAAGAGCCCACTAGAATGTACACTTTGGGGCTACAGTCTCAATTCCCAGCTCAAGTTGCAATGAATATTTGTCATCTTGCCTTTGGCCTCTCGCAACCTCTTCTAAACTCACTCTTGTTTTTTTTCTTTTCTAAATGCAATCAGACAGACCTCTGGAAGTGCACAGAGTAAGTCTCTCTTAGGCACAGGCACCTCTGCAGGGCTCTCTGTCATGCCTCTAGAGGGGAGAGCCATTGTTCCATCCCTGAAGGGAATGACTTCCTGAAGGGCATTGGCCCCTATTAGCCTTGGCTCAGAGTGAAACGCAGCAAACGTGCATGCCTCAGAACTGGCAGACACGTTCTCAGCCAGGAGTGCCACCAACCCACACCAGCAGATCTGTGTACCAGAAACACAAAATAACATGAAGGGCCACTGGGGGGCTGGAGCCTGGTTCCATAAGGATGGGACTTCTGGGCAGGTGCCGTTAGACAGCAGCACCTTCTTTTGGCCTCATGTTCCTCAGAAATGAAATGAAGGAGGTGGGCTCGATCTCAGACTCCATCAGAGCACAGCAGCCTGGGGGTGTGGAAGCAGAGCCTCACCCAAGGACCAAGGGGTCTCCACCAGGTGAGATGGGGAGGATGGGAACCCCGTCCCTCCCTGCCAGGGTGCTGCAGGTGAGAACCCCCAGGGAGCCCTCTGCAGAGTCCAGGGCCGGCCAGCAGGGCACTCGCGTGGGCCCTAGGCTGTATTATTTAATATTTTTAAGGTGGACCCTGGGCCTGGGCTGATCTAAATTGTGGAAAATGTCATCTCCCTCTTATGTAAAATTTCTCCAAAGGAAGTGTTTGTCCACCTGTAAGGCATGGTAAAAAACTAGTACCTATGGCGTTGCCCAGCACAAAACAGGCTGTCTGGGAGTGTTTGCTGAGGCTTCCGGGAAGCAAACATGGAAGGGAAGGGAAGGGAAGGGGAGGAGAGGGGAAGGGAAGGGACGGGAGGGAAGGCGGTGCAGGCTCCTGGAGTCCTCAGTGGTGAGCTCTGGAGTTGCTCTGTTCCCTTTTTAATTTTTGTTTACTTTTTGGCTGTTTTTTCTTTTTCTTTTTTTCAATGTAAAGTGTCTCTGTAAGGCCTGAGAATGAATCTGACTGGATCAGCCCAGAGACCAAGTGAGAGCCCCCAAAACTGGGGCTTACTTTCTTGTTCCGCCCCTCTGGGATATTGGGCAGATCTCCATAGCATCCCTGTCCCCATCTGTAAAGTGACAGGATTGAACTCAGTCCTAAAATGTCCTGGCGTGGTTCTAAGACAGAATCCCCAAAACGCTCTTTTTCAAAGCCTGAAAGGCTTGGGTCAGGCAGGCATCCCGGCAATACCAACACCTACCACGCGAGGGCGCGCTGCCCTTCCGGCGCCTGCAGATGGGATTTTTTTTTTTTTTTTTTTTTTTTTTTTTTGACCACTTGTTCTGAAGCTGGGCACTGGGCTAAGGACAGGAGCAGCTGGGGTCACCGCAGGGGAGAGCCAGGGGGCCCAGGTTACCAAAGCTTCTGGCCTGAATCTCTTGGCACTGATTACAGTGCCTCATTCGTCTCTGCCCTGCACAGGGTACCATTCACGCCGGGGGTGCGGAAATGAATTAAGTTCAGACTGAATCAGCAGGGATATTTATTGAGGCATTGTCAGGCATCTGCTCTTATTTGGGAACAGGGACAGGCCAGCAGCACAGACAACGCTGTGGATAAGGAGAGTAGAGACTTCCTCTTCCTGCCTCCTGTCTTCTGGAGTTGTGACCTCAGGGTGGCCCAGGTGGATCGGCTTCAGAGGCCAGGAGGCAGCTCTCTGCAGCCGAAGAGCAGGAGCCTCACCCAGGGTCTGTGGCTCTGACTAAGCCTGGACTGCCTCTCGGCTGTGCTCCATGGACTGGCTCCCCAGGGATCCATGTGAGAGACCGGAGTATGATCCTCAGTGCGAGGACAAATAAAAGTAGTGATTATGTCCACCCCATCCTGCCCTCCGTCCAGATCTGTTTTCAACTTGAGGATTCATCTGCCTTGTCCTTGCTAAGACACCTTCAGCCTGTGGTCAGGGGAAGCTGGGAAGAGGTGCTGGGAGACCCAGGACATCGCAAGTTGCTTCTCTGGCTGGCACTCAGAGGTGCGTGAACCCTCTGCCAACCCTAAGAGGGGCAGGAGGGTGCCTGGTGATGGGCCGGAGCTCCAGCCAGCCAGCAGGGGCAGAAGGACTAGGCCTGGTCCAATGGGGGCCCAGGATGTTTTTCTTGGCAAATCCTCATACTTTTCACATAGCTCTTTCTTCTGAGATAAGTGTGATCATCTCCACTGTATCTCTAAGGAATCAGCTTCCTGAGATGACACAGTAACCAGGAATGACAGAGCTGTTCCCTCCTAGTACTCAAATTGGCTCAAATTTCAACCCCACTCTGAAGCTTTCCTGGCCCTCTCCCCGCATTCCTGCCTGGCATTATCAATTGCTCTACGTCTCTGCCCCTCAGACACTTCGGTGCATCCTATCATAGGGTCTTGTCACTCTGTTGCCATCATTTATTTACATATTTATAGTCCTCCCACTAGACCTTGAGCTCCTCAAGGACAGGGCCTGGTACATAAATACTCATATTTACATCTTTAGTAACCACTGAAGAACAATAAATATGAAATAGAGGAAGGAATGAGTGAATTAACCTAAGCCTCAACCACTGGTCTTCTTCAGTGCACCACTACTGTCCTTTTTAATCCAAGCACTGGGGCAGATTTCACCAGGGGATGCTGGGAAACCCCACTGTGATCGCGGCCACATCCTAGTCACAGCCTGAAGCCCGCATCCTTGTCTTATCTCTCACAATCCCCTGGTTTCACCGCCTTCTTCCTCTCCTCATTCCAACCACTCCCCGTCCCATTGGGGTACTCATCTCTACAATCCGGTCAGAAGGTGGGGCGAAGCCTTTATTAGCTCTCCTTTATTATAGGGCCTCACAACAGAACTTGTAACCCCTTCATTTTCAGGGGCTTAACACTTACCCCACGGGAGGCGGCAGAGCTAACAGGGAGGCTCGACGTGTTGGGGCTGGAGAAGTGAAAAGTCCCCTGGCCCCTGAGTCTCCACACTGAGCATCTGCCTCTGACAGCATGACATGTGCACCTTCTGTCCCTCCCTCATGGAATCATAGACAGAAAAGGGACCCAGGATGTCACTAAATTGAAGCCATGCCCCAATGAGCCTCATGGCATCCTGGAAAAAGCCCTGAACTAGGAATGAAAATGCCTGCGTCCTTGTCCTATGTCTGCCGTCCTTGACCTCACTGAGCTTTGGCCCTTCCTTGATAATTTGAACACACGTTGTTTGCTCTTTGATTTTGAAAACAAAGATTACATGAAATTCCTATGAACCATACAGTATTGGGACTGTACAGGTGATTCATTTTATTAACTAATAATTGAATCTTCTTGATTCAAATAAGATACAGCAAATGTGATTTGAGATAGTTGTCAACCTGGAAAGAATACATATTGCATTTTAACATCATACAGGTGGAGTAATTTAGTGACTAAAACACACACATGCAGATACATGTATAATTTACACATAGTGTCTCACTATGCAATTATAGCCAGAATGGATTTTTTTTTTTTTTTTTAGACTGAGTCTCACTCCATCACCCAGGCTGGAGTGCAGTGGTGCAATCTTGGCTCACCGCAACCTCCGCCTCCCAGGTTCAAGGGATACTCCTGCCTCAACCTTCCCAAATAGCTGGAATTACAGATGTGCACACCTGAACCTGGCTAGTTTTTATATTTTTAGTAGAGACGGGGTTTCACCATGTTGGCCAGCTGGTCTCGAACTCCTGACCTCAGGTGATCCACCCTCCTTGGCCTCCCAAAGTGCTGGGATTACAGGCATCACCCACCGCGACCGGCCTAGAATGGATTTTTAAACCACCCATGCATGAGCCAATCTCCCACACAAGCTCAAAGTCTAAACCTTTTAGAGTTGGTCTGGGCTCTTCAGATCAAGGCAGTCAGGTCTGTCTTGCCACCTCTTGGAACACTTGATGCAAATAATCGTCACAGAAAGGTGAGGCTCTTGTCCTGCCACCCATCTCCGAAGGTGATTTATTATCACCAAATCCCACCCCCATGACAATCCTTGCTGGGCGATATGAGCAGGTCCATCCCACCGAAACTCCTCCAAGCCCCTATCCTTCCTCACATGAGGCAGAGACGGGCAGCATAGCTCTCCCAGGCTGATTATCAACCAACTGAAAATGGCTGTCTGTTAACCTACTGCAACAATAAAGGGATAAGATGGATTTTTAACAAAACAAAGAAGAAAACCTTTCAAAATCCTACTCTTGCAGTACCATAGGCTATGTGCTTTAACAATAACACTGCAATACCTCAGAATACTAAAATTCCTCTTTTGGAATTGCCTTCCACATACCCCTCTATGCACACAAATAATGTCATCTGTTCGGAATGAATTAAGAAATTCACCCAAAATTATAAAAGAAATTCACCCAGGGTCCTCGGCTTCCTCCCTCACTCTGCAGAGAAGCAAGGGTCCGCCACACTCAGAAGACCATAAATGGCATCTCTAAAATCCTGATGGTCCTCGGGATGGCAGGATGCCAGAGGTTCAAGCTGTTTCCAGGATTCCTCCCCATGGGATGCCACGGGTGTGTTAGATCACCTGCAGGTTGTTCTACAGGTGACTCCACTGGAAGCTTAGTCACAGGTCTCGCCTGCAGGGAAACATGTGCCTGTCCTGACTAAATCTGAGAATGCACACAAAGGAGTAGCCCACCCTATAGACAGGCTAGCAAGGGCTTCGTGGTCACTGTGGTTACCCAGAGGGAGGCCCCTGGGATGGGACACAAGCACCGGCACAGACAAGGCCCAGGCAGATGCAGAGCTCAGACCAGATCTGTCCAGCATACAGGTATAGAAGAACTCTGTTGCTAAACTCCCAGGGGCCCAAGCACCTCCTGCAGGTAGACCTAGCAACACCACCTCTCCCAGCTCGTTGGAGCTTACTGAATGCTTTCTCCACTCCAGCTTCTGTGCCGAGCACCGCCCATGCATTGATCCCAGGTCATCTATGGAGTGGCATGAATATGCCTACACTGCAGATGAGATACTTAAGACTCAGAAATGTGAACTCACTTACCCAGAGCCACACAGCCAGGAGCCAGCAGACTTTTACCATGTCTATTTTAAGGTTCAAGAGGCATGTCTGCATGAAGCAAGTTAATGGTGGAAACTGATGGGCCCCCAACCTGGTGCACTTTCCCTTATGCCACATGGTTCCTATGCCGTAGAATATAGGAGACATGCTGTTCACCCACAACGTCACTTCTAGCTCTCCCTCTCTTAATAAATAGTGCTTGTGACAATCACTGTGGTCATAACAAGGATAACAGAAGACCATGCATTAAGAATTGCTTTTTATGTTTTACACTTGATCTGCAATGAAGTGGTTATTATTACTTGGACATGAAGAAGTGGAAACTCACCCAAGTTAAGAAACTTGCCCAAGAGCACACAGCTGGTAAAGTGGAAGAAAGGGGCGGAGTCTCCTATTCTCACTGTGGTGGGAATGTGTGAAAGGAGTTGGGGTTTCTGCCAAATGCATGTGTTCCTGGATTTGGGCAGGGTGGAAAATGACTTGTGAGCTTTGCTCCATGCCACTCTGGGAAGCCATCTCAAGGTATTTCACAGCTCACCTCAAGACTAAGAGATAAGGGACCCCTGCCCTGTCTCAGGAGAAGGAAGCAGACAGGAGCCTGGCAAGATGGTCCTGGAAGGAGGGAGATTTGTGTCTGTCCCAGCAGTGGGTATTGGGAGAAGCCGGTGGATGATTTTACACTCAAAAGTCTCCATCCCTTTGATCCATGTTAGCATAGCAGGCTTCTCCTCCTGTCATTTGAACTTCCAAGGAGAGGTTTGAATCCACTGTTCATATTTCCCACTCAAAAATATAAATGGAACTAGAGGCACAGTTCCATGCCTCTAGACACTGGCTTAAGCCTGTTGTCAGGCCTTGAATTGCCAGCTTCTCGTGTCCTGGGACTCCAATGCAGGGCTGCAGGGAGAGAGAAGGGTCAGGCTCAGACATGAGACCCATCACTACAGGAGGCTCCCCTGGTCCCCGAGTGGGTCTGCATGGTGCAGAAAAGCAAGAGAGAAGCATAAATTCAATGTAGCAGAGCGAACTGGCTTCCTTCCTATGGTAGGATCCTGGGTACAGCATGGAAACTGAAAATGACAAGTGGGAAAGACTCGATGAGCAAGCACAGGGAGGCCAGCAGAGAGCAAAGCCAGGTCCCAGGCCCTGGGCATGGATTCAGCCACCGGTTTTGGTCTAAAAGCAAGACGGAGACATCCAAACCAAAGCCAGGTGGCCCGTAAAGGGGCGATGGGCACCAGACAGGAAGGAGGTCAAGAGCCTCCCTGACGCTGAGCCTGGTGCTCCCAGGCCTCCCTAGGTACCAGGCTGACTGTCCTGAAGCCTAGTCTGACCCCCGCATTGACTGCCTAAACCCCATCACAAGCTGCTCACTGTCCTCCTGGTTAGCCCCAAACTTCCCAATAGGGTCCCCAAGACCCCTTGTACAGAAGCCCCCGCTAAACTCCCCAGCCAGAACTGCTGCCTTGTTCATCTCCAACCAGCCCAAAGTATTTTTTCTTGTTGTTGTTTTTTGAAACAGGGACTCACTCTGTTGCTCAGGCTGGAGTGCAGTGGCACTGTTACCGCTTATTGCAGCCTCTACCTCCTGGGCTCAAGTGCTCCTCCCACCTTAGCCTCCCAAATACCTGGGACCACCGGCATGCACCATTGCACACTGCTAGTTTTTTTAGGTGTTGAGCCACCACTTCCAGCCCCAAGGTATTTTAAATTCCTGAACTCACATGCTTTTTATTTTCCAGTTTTGTACCCTCTGGTTCCTACACCTGGGGCATTGCTCACATTTTCCCCTGTTCACCCTTTAGCTTGCAGCTCTGACTACACTTTCTCCGGGAAGCTGACACTCAGGCCCGAATGTGGCTGGCTGCCGCTCCTGTGACTCCTCCACTGCTGGGCCCACCTGGAGCTGGAGTCTGTCACCATGCAACTGCCTCCTGTGTCTGCTGTCCTCTACAGACTCCTGTGCCACCCAGAGCCTGTGACCTGTGCACCATTTATTTTCCTGAATATTTAGCTCGATGCCTATGTTTGTGGAAAGAAGGAGGAAACGGAGGGAGGAATGAAAGTGGGAGGAAGGAAGGAAGAAATGAAGGAAGGAAGTTAAGAACTAGCCCAGTGGCTGGCACCCGGAAGAGTGACAGATCAGCCCCACCAGAATGTGGGGAGAGTCAAAGGGACTCTGTCCTCCCTTCCTGCCTCCCAGTTGACTCAGCGCCTAGATCCTGGGTGGGGGAGCCCATGGAGGGAAGCATCAGCTGCCAGGCCGGGTAGAGGGGCAGCAATGGGGGGACCAGGTGACAAAGAGACTCTCAGCCTCTCTGTAGGATTGACCAGGCATGTGGTAGTGCCTGGAAGTGGGGAAAGTTGCTACAGCTGAAGAAGTCTTGGAAGGCAGCATTTCGGCATCATTGTGCTTCTCCATCCTTCTTCCTCTAAAGGGGGGTGTCTTTCTATCCAATTCCTCCCACAAGACTCACGTGTCCTCCTCCAGCTGAGGAAAGCCTGGCAGACTCTAGCATGACTGGGAGTAAAGGTGGCTGGGCAATCTCAGCACCAGGAATGCACATTCACACCACGAGACAGGGCAAAGGCTAGGTCCCTTCCCGGCAGGGGGATGCGCCAGCCTCGGGCTTCCTGGAATTCTCATCTGCCTGACCAGCTGATGGCAGAGTCACGGTGACTCAGGACTGAATATTCAGCTGCGATGTTCGATGCTAGGTGTGGTGCACGTCACAGGTGAGCAAAACCAAAGGAACTGGAAAAGCTTCACATTTGAGTTTACCATTGTCACTGAGTTGTTTTACAGGGAGGAGCCTGAGGTGCAGACGGTATCAGCTACAGGCCAGGTTGTGTCTCTAAGCCAGATGAGTGTCCTCATCCTTAAGGAGTCATCTTCCTCTAATCCTCTGGTTCTCATCCCCATCTCAGCTGCTTTTGAAAACTAAATATTATGCCAAGGCACCTCCTGCAGTGATGTGACTTCCTTGTCTGGGGTGGATCTTTAGCTGTTATTATTAAGATACCTCATTGTGTTCATTCTGCATCCAGAGCTCAGAACCATTGCTTGAAGTACAGAGTTGTGGTTCTTCCTGAACAAAGTGTTTCTGGGTCCTCCTATGTGTTGTGAGCGTTGCCTGGAACCGAGGCCCTGCTGGGGGTCATGGTCTTCTGCTGTGGTCACCTCCATGTAAAAGATGATGCCCTCTCTCCAGGAGCACACAGGAGGGTTGCAGTGGACCACAGTCACCCTCCCCTGACCAAAAGTTCCCTCAAACTCCCTTACACTTTTGTACGAGACCTATGCAGTACAAACAGAACATTTTATCAAAGTTTCTGGAGATTTCATCAAAGAAGGGCAACAAATTAAAGTCTGGAAAATTAATGCTTTTCCCAGATTCCAAAAGGGAAGTTTCTTTGCTTAGGTCCTTTAAAAGGCCAGTGGGCTCTTACGTGTTCCAGCCTCAGTCTCTTGACCCCAAGTTGTCCTCCTCCTTCATTCACCCTCGTTCTCTCCTTCACTGCTTGGGAGTGCAGTCTTGCTTCACTGCTCTCCTTCACTCCCTCCCTCCCACCTGCCAGCAGTGAGGACACCACTTGATTGTTCCAGCACCTCTTTCCCTTCGCTTAAACAGGCTGGAGCAGTCACTGAGAAAAGCAGCAGGAATATCATGGGTATCTAGTGACACCCAAGCTCCAGAGAACATTAAGCCTGAGGGGCTGAGTTCTCTAAAATGCCTTGTCTGCTGGGTACTGGTCGAACCCTCAGGCTGTCTCCATGCATGCCCACCAGGGTGAGTGCAAACAAACTTATTTCTTAGCTCATGAACCTGTTAGATAGAACATCTGTACAACTCCCCAGGACAAATGTTAGGTTCTGAGGACAGTACAGTCTCAACCCCAAGTGAAGAAAGAAATATTTCCCTGATTACTGAGATGCTTCTCACTTCCCCAAGAGCTAGGATCTCATTGTTCACCAAAGTAGCATTTGATTTCTTTCCTGCTCCACCTCATGCCTTCTTGGATCATTAAGGTACACTGTCACCCTCTTTTTGTATCTCAGGAGGTGTTGAACCTGGATTCTTCAAGTTAGGATCAAATTAAATATTTTTTTTCTTCCTGGAAAAAAGGAAAAAAAGGTAAGAAGAAGTTGGAACCTTGAAAAAAGAACAAATAGATTGCAGGGTAGGGAAAGAAACAGCTACCTCATTTATTTGGCTGAGTAGCCTTTATGGAAATAAAAATAGAGAAAAAGACTTCCTTTTCAAAGAAGCTGTCCCCAGGAAATGGAGAAATGCCAAAAACCACCTCTGTGCACATGCTTGTATCAGAGAGGAATAGAGAACAGGAGGGTACTGATTTCCACTCCTATAATCTTCCGTCTCCAAAAACTAGATAAAGAGATTTCAATGTGTTTTTGAGAAAAACTAAAACACATTTTTGGTTTGCCATTGCACAGAATGGCATGAGGAACTCATAGCATGACTTAAAGAAGATGCCCAGTTTTGAGATTGAATTAATGGGCAACTGCTCAAAGATGTGATATTCTTAAATATACTCTGAGATCTGAAGTTAACAAAGAGAAAAAAAATAGTGCATTGATTTTATAAGCAAAGGAACTACAAACACTAAAGAAAAACAATTAACAACATGACAATAGTAAGTCATTACCTATCACTTTGAATGTAAATGGATTAAATTTTCTAATCAAAACATGTAAAGTGGTTGAATGTATCAAAAAGCAAGGTCCAACTATATGCTGTCTACAAGAGACTCACTTTAGCTAGAAGGACTCACACAGGCTGAAAGTAAAGGGATGGGAAAAATATTCCATGGAAGTGGTAACCAAAAAGAGCAAGAGTGGCTGTTCCTACATCAGATAAAAGAGACTTTAAGTCAAAAGCTGTAACAAGAGACAAATAAAGTTATTATATAATGATAAAGTGGTCAATTCATCAAGAAAATAAAACAATTATAAATATATAAAGCAAAGATTTAGAGAACTGAAAGGAGTAACAGCAATTCAGTAATATCAGAGACTTCAACACCCCACTTTCAACATTGGATAGGTCATCTAGAAAGAAACACAACAAAGAAACAGTGGACTTGAACAACACTAAAGACCAAATGGACCTGACAGACATATACTGAACATTCTATTCAACAGAAGAATACACGTTCTTCTCAAGGGCACGTAGAATATTCTCCAGAGTAGATAACATGTGAGGCCACAAAACAAGTTAATAAATTTAAGAAGATTAACATCATATGAAGTATGTTTTACCAACCACAATGGTGTGAAACTAGAAATGTGTGTGTGTATGTAGAAGTGTGTGTCTTTTTCTGTAAAGAGGGAGGGATAAGATGTATTCTAGATGTGAGGAAGAGAGAGAAGAACATAAGAGCTCTAATGTTCTAATGTAAGAATATGTGGCTCTGATCTGGGATTTCCCTGAAGTTTGTGTGAGCGGGACTTGTGGATCTAGATGTTATGACATCACAGAACTTCGCAAAGGCCATATTGAAATAAAAATTGGCCAGTGTCCTGGACCCAAGATACAAGCAGATGGTAAAAGAACATAATTTCTCTGTTTTAGGGAAGATCTCAAAATAAGCATCATTCAAGTGGTTCTCCAAAGACCATCAGAGCCAGGCCAGTGAGAGATAGTAAGGAATTGGGTACTGCAGTGCATTGGAGCACTCATATTCTATGTAAGGAAGCTGTCCCCAACCTTTTTGGCACCAGGGACTAGCTTTGTAGAAGACAATTTTTCCATGGACCAAGGTGGGGGAGATGGTTTTGGAATGATTCAAGTGCATTACATTTATTGTGCACTTTATTTCTATTATTACATTGTAACATACAGTGAAATAATTATACAACTTATCATAGTGTAGAATCAGTGGGAGCCCTGAGCTTGTTTTCCTGCAACTAAAGAGCTCTATCTGGGGGTGATAGGAGAGAGTGACAGATCATCAGGCATTAGATTCTTATAAGAAACATGCAACCTAGATCCCTGGCACGCACAGTTCACAATAGGGTTTGCAGTCCTATGAGAATCTAATGCTGCCACTTATCTTACAGGAGGTGGGGCTCAGGTGGTAATGCAAGTGATGAGGAGCAGCTTTAAATACAGATGAAGCTTCGCTCACTTGCCTGTCACCCACCTCATGCTGTGTGGCATGGTTCCTAACAGTCCAGGGACGGGTACTGGTCCATGGCCCAGAGGTTGGGGACCTGTGATGTAACGGGACAAGAGATTTTTGGATAAATCTCAGTGTTACATGTAGAAACGTGGGCCCTGGTGGTTTAATCATTGAATTTTTCTGAGGAAGTCAGAAAACTGAATTTTTATGCAAAATTTTTAGTGTTTTAAATGTTGACACCTAATATCAAAATACTTCGATGGACTA
This sequence comes from Homo sapiens, assembly GCF_000001405.40. Taxonomy (NCBI): domain Eukaryota; kingdom Metazoa; phylum Chordata; class Mammalia; order Primates; family Hominidae; genus Homo; species Homo sapiens. The sequence continues at coordinate 7,438,143 of NC_000008.11, read as the reverse complement.
TATTTTACTCATGGGCTTCCAATTCAAGACTCTGGTTTAGATGCAGGAATCAGCTTGACAATTCAATGAACCATGAAGACTTAGACCTGTAATGACCTCAGAAATCCATGATTCCTTTCCCTTTTGTAGGCAGAATAAAAAATGGAAGGGCTAGACTTGGTCAACAGTTAGTCTAAATTTACATAGCAAATTTGTAAAAAAACTGGGACTGAAACATAGGTCTCTAAATCTCTTCCATTCTTTGCACTATACCTCACTATATTAGTTATCCATTGCTGCATAACAAATTATCCCAAAACTTAGTGGATGAAGACGAGAAACATTGTTATCTCACACATTCTGTGGATTGTAGAAACTAGGCATGGCCCAGCTGGGTGCTTCTAGATCAAGCTCAGTCATGAAGTCACAGTTAAGCTGTCAGCCAGGGCTGCATTTGTATCTGAAGCCTACACAGGGAAGGATCTACTTCCATAAACTCACTCACATGGTTATTGGAGGGAGTTAGTTCCCTGTGGGCTGGTATATTAAGAGCCTTAGTGACTGACTAGCTGTTGGCCAGAGAAGCCCCTCAGTTCATTGCCTTGTAGGTCTCTCCATAGGGCGACTCAAAACATGGCAGCAGGCTTCCACAAAAGCAAGAAGAGTGAGAAGGCATCCAAAACTGAACCCACAGCCTTTTTATAGCTTACTCTCATGACTTCTGAGATTAGGTTATAATCTATTGCTTCATAGACTTATAATCTATTTATTAGAAATGAGTGAATGAGGCCAGCTCATAATCAAAAGGAGTGGCTTACACCAGAGCATGAATCACAGCATTTCACAAAGACAGGAATCCTTGGCAGCAATCGTAGAGGCTGCCTGCCACACTCAGTGTCTCATAAATTTATGCCAGGGGTCAGAAAACTATGGACTGCTGGCTAAATCCAGTTGCCACCCAGTTTTATAAATAAATTTTTATTGGAACAAAGCCATGGCCATTTGTTTATGTATTGTTTATGACTGCTTCTGTACTATAGCTGCAGAATTAAGTAGTTGCAACAGAAGCCACATGGCCAGCAATGCCTAGAAATATTTACTGTCTAGCCCTTTACAGAAAAGGTTTGCTGGCCCCTAATATATGCAATCATAAAACCTCTTGAAAAATATGGAAGAGGAGATTGAGTCAGAGATGTCAAATTCATCATTTTATTGAATTTTTCTTGGTGCTCTAGCACCATAAATACCATGCTATGTAATTTTATAAGGCAGTTAGCTGGAAATTCTCAAAACAGGAGTAGCCCTGTGGTCTGAGCCAAGTGGGTGAGGTGTGGCTTCCATTCCCCAAGCCCTCTCTCATTTATTCTCCACCATATATAATCATTTCCCTTTCCACTGGGAAACCCCACACCAAAAACCTTTGACAGAAACATGGATATAAAATATAACTACAATAACCTGAATAATAAAGCAAGTAGTTAGCATAATCTGTGAGCCTGATGGTCCTGGGCTTCAAATTTTAGAAAGTTATTTCGTTTGTCTTAGCCTTAGTTTCCTTAATCTTTTTTTTTTTTTTTTTTGGAAACAGAGTTTTGCTGTCACCCAGGCTGGAGTGCAATGGCGTGATCTGGGCTCACTGCAACCTCAACCTCCCAGGTTCAAGCAACTTTTCTGCCTCAGCCTCCCAAGTAGCTACGATTACAGGTGCCCGCCACCACTTCTAGATAATTTTTGTATTTTCAATAGACACTGGGTTTCACCATGTTGGCCAGGCTTGTCTCAAACTCTTGACCTCAGGAGATCCGCCCACCTTGACCTCCCAAAGTGCTAGGATTACAGGTGTGAGCCACTGTGCCTCCTCCTTATCCTTAAGTAAAAATTCTGATACCTACTTTATGCCTTTTTTTGTCAGAGAAATGCATTAAAGCACCATTGCCATGCCAGGTACGTAATAACAGCTCCATAGATACTAGCCACCATGTGCAAATCATTTAATAGTCATCCATGGCCTATTACCACATCAGTCAATAGGCTCATTTCAATTACCAGTTCTGAAGAAAGGATAGTGGCAGACGACCTGTTTTAACAAAAAGTCCCCTGGGTCACACCTTTTGCCTTGGATGCATCACTTCCCCACCTCAGCTGCCAGCCCATTGATGAGTTGAGCTCATGATTGCTTTGTAAGAGCCACCTGTCCCCTAAAAGTCCTCCCTGAGGAAGCAGCCATCAGAACTGTGTAGGCTGGTGGCCAGAGGTAGTATAGGGTGTGTTTTTACTGGGACAGGGCCATGATTAAATAGAAAGAACCCGGTTGGAGTTACCCAGTGTAAACAGAAGGTGAGGTAGTATTATGCACTTCATTCTATTTGTGGTGAAAATATTGCTGCCAAATGGGTAGAAAAATGTCTTTAGGGTAGCTTTATATGAATTTCTCATACACTTATCCCCTCCTTGATTTTGCCTATAGGAATTAGGAGAGTCAGTCCCCATCTTGTCAGGCATGATTTTAGAAACTCTGGGAAAGGCATGCAACCCCACATCACTGCTAAGCCTGTAAATTCCTAAACTAGTTTGAGCCTGTTTTAAAAAGATGCCATATGTTAAGCCTGGCTCTCTCTCCATAGCATGTCTCCCTCAGTGCCTGCTGGCATCACCACTTTAATTCTAATTGATGGGACCGCCACCTACCCTGTCCCCTGAACAGTATCCCTAGGCTGCCTCCTCTCTTAATTCCTTCTCTCATGCTCAACCATTGTATTAACTCTTGATTGCTTCTTCTAGATGGCTCTGGCACTCAGGTCTGCCTCTTTCTCCCACTGGCATCCGAAACACAGCAGACCTGAGTTCAGCTCTTGGTCTTCTGGCCTTCTGTCTCGTAAGCCTCTGCTCCACCCTCCATATCATATCTGCACCAAAGCACGATACCAGCATTCCCTAAAGGCAAGGGTTACTGGGGGCCATTGCAGTGGCTGCCTGCCACACTCAGTATCTCACGAATTTATTTATATTTTGTTAAACCATAAGTGTGTTCAGATTGTTCTCATGTTGTAAATCATTTGTTGTCTTTGCATTAGCTGCTACTGTTCTCTCCCTATTTCCTTGCTCTTCTGGAAGTATTTCTTCTTTGTGATATTCATCCTGAGCATCCTAGGAGATACTCTAGGATTTGAAAATAATTCTTATTATCTAAAGGGTGAAAGCAACATAGGACTTGAGTATGTACTTTCTCATTAATATAAGGACATAAATGAAAAGACACCATCTATTAAAGATAATAAGAAATGTTCACAAATAGTATATGGCATTCATTATGGAAGTTGGTAGAAGCTCCAAGTGTCATGCAAAATGTGCTCTGCAGAACTGCAGAGGAGGGAGGGATCTCTTTCAACTGGGGTGATTGTGATCATGAGGAACTGGTATTTGAGTTGGTCCCTGAAAATTATGCAAACCACTTTGTAGAAAGAATTGGCTGATGGCTGTAAACCCAGCACTTTGGGAGCGCGAGGAGGGCAGGTCCCTGGAGATCAGGAGTTCAAGACCAGCCTGGCCAAAGTGGTGAAACCCTGTCTCTACTAAAAATACAAAAATTAGCTGGGCATGGTGGTGCAAACTTATAGTCTCAGCTATTTGGGAGGCTGAGGTGGGAGAATCGCTTGAACCCGGGAGGTGAAAGTTGCAGTGACCCAAGATTGTGCCACTTCACTCCAGCCTGGGAGACAGGGTGAGATTCTGTCCCCCCCTCCAAAAAAAGAAAGAAGAGTCAGAAAGAACCTAGTTTCCAACATCTATCACCAAGCAATTTGGAGAATGAAGTTGATATTTACAGAAAAAGTGATGTAAAGATTGGTTGAGAACATTGGGGAAATGGTCCAGACTAGAGATGAAGATGGAAGGTAGCTGCATGCAGGCATAGATAACCACATCCCAAAGATCATATGAAGCCAGCAGAGGCCCACGAGTAAGCATCTGGAATACAGTTAGGAGCATGGGAGCATCAACTGGCCTTTCCCCATTTGGGAAATGCAGATAAGTGTATCAACATTATTAAATTACTGCATGATTCAAATGAAATAAATGCAAGTAAATTGCTTAGCACAGTGTCTAGAACATAATATGTGCTCAATAGATCTGTTACAATGACGTGACAATGATGATAAGGAGGAGGATCATTATCATCATCATCATTATGATTGCCATGAAAATGTTAAATTCTTGAAGATGTTCCCTTTTGGGGACTTCAGGGACAGGAGAAGGAGGAAAACTTCCATGATGAATCAAAGGCAGTAATGGGAAGGATAGGAGGAGACAATGGAAAGCGGATGTCTGTTATATCGTGTTACTGTCAGCTTGTATCTTTTTCCATTAGACTGGGAAATAGTGAAAATTCAGAGCCTAGAGAGTAAATATTGTTTATCTTTCTTTCCTGCACAGCACCAGGTCCTAAGACCCTAATACAGAGCAGATGTCCATGAAGTTCTCTGGACGTTGAATTGAAATTGAGGAATAGGTTTCTGAAAGTGGCCTTACGAGGCACATGTTGCAAAACGGTCAGGTAGGAAGATTACAGACAAAAAACTCATTGAGCTGGGGATGTAAAAGGCTTGGCTGGACTTAGGAAGAGTAGTTTGGACAGATTTCTTGAGATGCTAGGATGCAAAGAATTTAGGGACAATGGGGTGATGGAAAAGGGTACACACCTAAGTATAGACCACTACACATGAGTGTAGATCACCAATAGTCAAGGGATGACTCTGAGAGCAGGCAGAGAAATGACTGGACATGCTGGCTTCAGGTCACAATGCTGCAATTCACTACAGCATGTCATTCAACCTCTCTGAGCCTCAGTGTCTTCATCTATAAAATTGGAAAAATGTCTGCCTTTATTTGTATAACTTATATAATGGTGGTTGTGACAAGATTAATGGCTGCAAAGGAGAATGGCTGAGCCAACCTTCATCTTAGACTATGTCAAGATGAAGAGGAGTTGACACCCTGGATTCCCGTGCTGGGAGCCCATGCCAGAGTCTTGATATTGTTAACCGAGGGTCACGTGGGTGATACTTGGGTGATACATGGGTCACATGGTGATTTGCAATGTACAAGTCAATTTCACACCATTAACTCATAGGGCTTTCACTGTGACCTAAACAGGAAATGTACTGCTCTCTGTGCTTTGTTGCTGAGTTACAGATGCTCACAGAGCTTAGGTAATTTATTCAGGTAAACCCACGCCATACACGGTAGGGCTGAGTGATGGCCCAATGACGCCTCACTTCAGACCTGGTGTTTGTCTTCTACATAGCTCTGCCCTTCTGCCACAAACTTGGACCAATCACATCTCAGCTCCACATTTTAAGAACAGGATTTAAAAAATAATAATTAAAGGAAAGTCTGACATGAACAAAGGTGATAAATAACTAAAGTTTCTCTTCCTTGCTCAACCTAATCAAAATGTCAAAATGCTGGCTGTGAGAGCTACAAGGAAACCAAGCACATGGGTACAAAAATTTGCAGGATCTGCAGTTCCAAGCGCTGTGACTCAGAGCCCAGGGGCAGGGAGTGACAAGACCCAGCTGTCGTTAGTGTTGTATGGCTTCAGACACATGAATCTATTCACCCAACTATTAGACAGCACACGTGTACTTGTTATCATTTGAGAGGCTAAAAGTATTGAAGACATAAAAAGGATTATAATAAGCCAAAAAGAGGACAATTCACAGTTGTCAGTGGCTCCCTGAAGTAGAGAAGTAAATTACACAGTCTCTCTCTTCTATTGTTTGAAATTTTACCATAAAAATGCATTACTTTTATAATTTTCTTAAAACAGGTAAGTCCCCCTCAAAACGGATTTTGTGTGTCTGGAGTATGTCCAAACTTGAAAAGGCTGATTGTCACAGCCCAATCTCCAATTCCCAGCTCCCAAACTAGTTGACAAGAAAAAGTGGCATTTTTCCTCACCAAGGAACTTTTATGAAATAGTGGTGTTGCCATAAAAATGCCTCCCAGTCTATGAAGGAACAGGTTAGACCAGGGGTTCACCTGTGGAAGTCTATTCTCCATGTGGAAAAGCAAGTCATCTCCAGCGTCTGACTGTCCTCACCCCAGGCTGAGAGCTGGTGCTAACCCTCTACAACGCCCAATGCCATCGTTATGTCTGACATAGTAAGACTGTGAAGTCAGCACCCATCCCACCCACACTCACCTCCTTCCCCCATTTATAAATATCTCCAATTGCTTTGTCTCAAATCATGAACTAAAGAGGAAAGTTAGATTTTAAAAAGTAGCATCTACCTATCTAAAGTCTTAAATCTGCTGATTGAGCTCCACTCTTGGCTCAAAGAGTTATCTTTGAGTTATGATGAGTTATCTTTCTTCTACGTTTCTGCAGCCCTGTGCTTGAAATCTTCCTATGACTCCCATTATAATTCATCCTAAATTTATCATTTGACTGTCTGCCCATCTACCTGGCCCTACATGGAGCTTCTGGAGAGAAAGAACCAAGACTGGTCCCTCTTGGTATCTCATCCACTTCACCCTCACCTATGCTGAAGACATGATACTTGTCCCTTCCTATAGTATGTGTTCAGAGTTTTCTTACTGAATCTGACAGGTGTGGTGCACCCAAATTCTGAACACACACTCCCAGAACTAACACACCCTTGATCCTTAGTGGATCCGTTATAATTGCATTCACACGAAGCAGCAGCTAGGAGACATCACGGTGACTTCAGCTCCCAATTGAATTGTCATTGACTTACTTAGTTCCCAATTGATAGTCAACCAAATACAACCCATCCATTGGATTCCTGAACATTTAAGTTTAATAGCTGTTTTTTTTTTCTTTTTTAGCATTTTTCCCTCTAAACGTTGAATCTATATGCAGGGGAAATCATCTGGCCCCTGGACTGCCTTGAATGCTCCTGAGCCAAGAGTAACTTGAGGTCTTAAATGTCTATTCTGAAGCCCCTCTTTTGCACAGGGACAGTCATTGACTAGGAGGAGATGCCAGTCTATTAAATCTATCATCCCAGCATCCTCTTTCTCTGATGAAGTAAAATTAAACACCTTCTTTACTCATAAATTTGGTAGGTTTTAGACAATGATGAAGAATCGGACATGGGCCGCACACAGTGGCTCATACCAGTAATCCCAGCAATTTAGGAGGCTGAAGCAGGAGGATTGCTTGAGCCCAGGAGTTCACATCTGGGCTCGAAACCAGTCTGGGCAGCATAGTGAGACCCCATTTTATTTTCTACAGAAAATTTAAAATTTAGCCATGTGTGGAGGTATGCGTTTGTGGTCCCAGCTACTCAGGGGGCTGAAGTGGGAGGACCTCTTGAGCCTGACAGCTCAAGCTGTTGTGAGCTGTAATCATGCCACTGCACTCCAGCCTGCACAAAAAAGTGAGACTCTGTCTCTCAAAAAAAAAAAAAAAAAATGAAAGAATGAGACATGTTTCACTCAAATTATAGCACCCCATCATAGGCCAAGGGCCAGGTGGTCAGCTAACCTTGAATGTAGCCCATTTTCCTCCCTTACCTCACTACCAAAAAGCCAGTCCTATTGCCAGATATTGAATATGTCCAGGGCTGGATTTATTTGGTCCCCAGGAGGGTCTTAGACTCTCCCAGCATTTTAGGAAGAGAAAAAAAGCTCCAAAGCAGCAAAGTACGGACAAGTCAGCCCCCAGCCACATGCCCTGAGACTATTCCCCAAAGGGGGCATACTTGCTCATGCCAGCCCTATCTGTACCCACAACCCAATCTGACCCACACCCAGACAAGCCCCTGGAGTCCAGAGAGCACCCGGACAGCCACAAATCCATAGGGAGCTCTGCCTTACCATTGGGTTCCTAATTAACTGAGTGAGTGGGTGTGTTCTGCATGGTGAGAGGCATTGGAATGATGCATCAGAAAACATGTCATAATGTCATCACTGTAATATGACAAGAATTGCAGCTGTGGCTGGAACCTTTATAAAGTGACCAAGCACACCTTTTCATCCAGTCTCAGCGTGGGGTGAAGCCTAGCAGCTATGAGGATCCATTATCTTCTGTTTGCTTTGCTCTTCCTGTTTTTGGTGCCTGTTCCAGGTAAGATGGGCTGGGAAATCTAAGGATTGATCTAATTGAGAATATATAATTCAGAGTCAGTATTTCTCCATCCTTCAGAGTGCTTTGGACCAAGCAGGTTTGTTGTATGGGAACTAGGCATCACCACTTTTTTTTCAGACAAGAATCATTAAGAGGCCAGGTGCGGTGGCTCATGCCTGTAATCTCAACACTTTGGGAGGCCGAGGTGGGCGGATCACGAGGTCAGGAGTTCAAGACCAGCCTGGCCAAGATGGTGAAACCCCATCTCTACTAAAAATACAAAAATTATCTGGGCACAGTGGCGGGCACCTGTAATCCCAGCTACTCGGGAGGCTGAGGCAGAGAATTGCTTAAACCTGGCAGGCGGAGGTTGCAGTAAGCCGAGATCACGCCACTGTCCTCCAGACTGGGTGACAGGGTGAGAGTACACCTCAAAAAAAAAAAAAAAGAAAAGAATCATTAAGAAACTAAATAGCTCCCCAAAGCTATCTCTTTCCCCAACTCTTCAAGGGAAGATTATTATACCAGCTGATGAGACATGAATCAGACATAAAAGTTTAATGTAGCAGGAAAGATTGATTTACTCTGAGAATAGAAGCACAGGCTCCTGTTCTACTAAGTGCAATGGTTGGAGGTGGAGTGTTGGGGCTACCTCTGAGGACACCACAGCCTCAGCACCCCCACTGTTCCTGCGGCAGTCACAGGGTCACGCCACTTCCCCGGTGCCACTGTGGGTCCACAGCTGAGCTGCAGCCTTAGAAACATTGTCTATGGGTTGTGTAGTCATACCTTCATCTTCCTCCTGATTTTATAGAAAAAGGAAAAAGAAACAAAAGAATACAAGAAAAGCAAGGGATGAGTTATTTGAGGAATTCCACAAGCCTTGTACGTGTACCAAAAGCCTTCCTAAAACCTTTCCGTGTGTGCTGTTTTGTCATTGCAGGTCATGGAGGAATCATAAACACATTACAGAAATATTATTGCAGAGTCAGAGGCGGCCGGTGTGCTGTGCTCAGCTGCCTTCCAAAGGAGGAACAGATCGGCAAGTGCTCGACGCGTGGCCGAAAATGCTGCCGAAGAAAGAAATAAAAACCCTGAAACATGACGAGAGTGTTGTAAAGTGTGGAAATGCCTTCTTAAAGTTTATAAAAGTAAAATCAAATTACATTTTTTTTTCAAAAAAAATTAGGAGCTTGATTTTTTTTTTTAAATCTGATTATTTTGGTACTTGTTTCCAAACAGACAACTCAGAAAATCTTAAGGACTCACCTTTCGTTCAAAGAAAGTAGAATCTCTGGAGAAATCTATAAGGGAGCCCAACCTTATTATCCAAGGGTTATCAGGTTCTATTCCTACTTTGTGAACGTTATGCCCCAGTGAAGTTGGACTCTTCACTCTCTTGGAATATGCCCTTTGCTTTCATGTCATCCAAGCCTTGGGCCTTTTCAGTCCCTCTACCCCAAATGGCATCTCTCCACCAAATCTATCTCTAAGGTTTTCATGCATCCCTCAGGGGCTATCCCAATTCCTTCCAAAAACTTTGTCTTCAGAGAAATAAGGAAACTGGCTCTTCCTCAGATATTCACTTTGCTTTCTCTCACCCATGCCTCTGCTCTGGTTGACCTCATGTCTGCCTCACTCCTCCAACTTCATCTCTAAACTTTAACCTGTCCTTCAGGGACCGTCTCACATTTTATCTCCACCTTAAAAACACAGGTGATTTCCCAAATGCTTACAGTCTTTCCTCTGGTTCACCACAGGGTTCTGACTTGAGTCCTCCATCTACAACCCTTGCTTGGTTTTTACATTGCGTACAGTGACATATTGCCAATCTCCATATTAGACTTTGTGAGCCTTAAAAGCAAGGAGTTTGTCTTAATTCTTCCTGTACTGCTTGTAAAGTGCCCTGAGCATGAAGGCTGCTCAACAAGTATTTATGAATTGAAGTACATTCAAACGATTTATTGATTGAATTATCTTTAATCATTCAAATGATTTGGAGGTACTGCAGTTTAACTATCTAGTGCTCTCTCAACGTTGATGCAGTAGGATTCCAGCAAATGGAGTGTGTGGTTTTTCATACCTGACACCAGACCCCACTCATGGCTCCACGTATGGAGAAAAGACAATACAACAAGGCTCTTAGGAAGAAAGGCTCAAGGGCTCAAAAAGATGAGACTGCTCCTCACTTTCCATCCAAAATGGACTCACTGCTATGGGAATCTCCCTCTGACAGCAGACAAAAGGGAACCTGTCAAGATGTGTGACAGCTGTGTTCAGACATTGGATAATAAGCAGTGCAACAGACCAATGAAGTGAGACTTTCGATTGCCCCCAGCTCACTACAGCAGCAGGGTCCAGACCACAGCACACAGAGGAAGACTCAAACGAAGTCCAGCAATCCTGAAGCATTGAAGAGACTGAAATCAAACTTCCCAAAGCACAAGACACCCCCACTTCCAGGGCAGAATAGCAGAGAGAGGGTGCCTAGAAGGAAGCAAGGCCCCGAAGTGTTGGTGGTGGGGGCAGGGACACATGGTAAATCTTCAGTCCTGGGCTGTGTTTTCATGTGAGCACGCTTGGGGTAAGACTTCACAAGGCTAGAGGCAAAGAAAAACACCCAAAAGGGATTGGATAACAATTTTAGGAGCACTAAAGGCTGGAAAAATTTTCATTCCCACTAGCAAAGTGGAGAGACTGCAGAGTCCTTGGGCAACTAACACATTAGTAGTAGTGCTATTTGGCTCTAGATTAAATTGTTCTGCAACCACTCTAACAAATTTTTTTCTAAACCATTCTTGAAAGGACCAGACTGATCTATGAGAAACTTAAATGTGGGACAGAATAAAGCCTAACGTTCTTCAAAGAAAAACAACTAAATCCATCACTCAACAGTTTGTGCTTTATAGCACACTGAATCTAATAAAAAATTAGCTGCTATGCAGGAAAATATGGTCATAATCAAGAGAAAAATCATTCAGTAAAAACAGATCCAGAAATGACAAGGATACTAGGATCAGCAAAAAAAGATTTAAATGAGCTATTATAAATGTTATAAATATGTCCGAGTTTGAAGAGAAAAACTGTTCATGATGAGTGAGAGATATAAAGAGACAAATGGAATTTCCAGAGATTAAAAATAAACATCTGAGTAAAAGATACTATGAGTTGGATTGTGGCATATATTCCAAAATAAAGATCAGTAAACCTGAGTTTATATTACTACAAATGAATGAAGAAATAGTACAAAGAGAGGAGAAAAGGGCTGGAAAATAATAAGCAGTGACCTGTGCAGAAACATCAAGCAATCTAGCAACTATGTGTGTTTAGACAGCCAGGCGTGGTGGCTCACACCTGTAATCCCAACACTTTGAGAGGCTGAGGAGGGTGGATCACAAGGTCAGGAGTTCAAGACCAGCCTGGCCAATATGGTGAAACCCCATCTCTACTAAAAATACAAAAATTAGCTGGGTGTGGTGGCGTGCACCTGTAATCCCAGCTACTCTGGAGGCTGAGGCAGGAGAATCGCTTAAACCTGGGAGGCAGAGGTTGCAAGTAAGCCGAGATCACACCACTGCACTCCAGCCTGGGCGACAGAGCAAGACTCCATCTCGAATAAAAGAAGAAAAGTTTTGAGAGAGAGGATAGAGCTAAGGAAGGAATGGCCTATTGTTTTCCAAATTTGGTGAGACTATAAACACACAAATTTACCACATGAAGACATCCAAGTTGAAATATGAAACATGAAGAAAACCACATGAAACATATCATAATCAAAGTATTTTAAATCAGTAATAAAAAGAAAATTTTAAAAGCAGCCTGAGGGCGGGCACAGCGGCTCATGCCTGTAATCCCAGCACTTTGGGAGGCCAAGGTGAGCGGATCACCTGAGGTCAGCAGTTTGAGACCAGCCTGGCCAACATGGTAAAACCCTGTCTCTACTAAAAAAAAAATACAAAAATTAGCCAGGCATGGTGGCACGCACCTATAATCCTAGGTTACTCAAGAAGCTGAGGCAGGAGAATCTCTTGAACCCAGGAGGCGGAGATGGCAGTGAGCCGAGATCACCCTACTGCACTCCAGCCTGAGCAACAGAGAGAGACTGCGTCTCAAAAACAAAAATAAAACTAAAAAGCAGTCTGAAAGGAGACATATTACTTACAGAAGAACAAAACGTTAAGTGTTATCTTCAAATGCCGAAAGAAAAAAAATGTTCTCTTAGAAATCCACCCCAGCAAAAGTATATTTCTAAAAAAAGGGTAAACACATAATCAAATAATAAGTAAAGGCATTTTCCAGTAACAACAATAAAAGCTAAGAGAATTCCTCACCAGCCAGTCTGTACTATAAAATGCAAAGATAAGTTTTTTGGCAGAAAGGGAAGATGCTAGGTAGAAATTTGATTCCATATGATGAAAAGAGCATGCTGTGAACATTCTAGAAGCTCCTTAAAGAGAGAGATTGTCAGTTCAGTAAAAAGCAAGACCCAACTACATGCTGTCTATAAAAACCCACTTTATATATAAACTTTAAGAACAAACTTAGAGTAAAAATAAAAGGATGGAAAGAGATATAATATGAAAACATTAGTATAAAGAAAATAGGATTGGCTATACTGGCTCATTGACATAAATTAGGGTAGATTTTAGAGCAAGGGGTATTATCAGTAATAGGGAGAGATATTTTTCCTAATGATAAAGTGGTTACATCACCAAGAACAGATATTAATATTAAATCAGTGTGTGCCCCTAATAACAGAATTTTGAAATTCTTAAAGAAAAATCAATAGACATTAAAGAAATAGACAAATTAGCAATTGCAATTAGACAATTCAACCCTTCTCTTCCTGTAAGAGATTTTTTAAAGCAGACAAAATATTAGTAAAGGTAGAGAAGTCTTGAGCAACGCTACCGTCCAGCACAACCTATTTGAGATTTATAGAACACTCTACCAAATAACAGCAGAATGCATTAAAATATTACCCAATAGAGCTCATACTAACCTATGAAACGTCTCAAAAAATCAACATAGTTTAAAATTATACAAAAGACAGTGTCTATCTCCAGTGGAATTTACAAAACTATCAATACAGAGAGTCATCTGGAAAAATCTCCATATATTGGGACATCAATGAACATGTATCTAAATGGTCCAGAGGAGAAATCACAAGATACTTTAGAAAATATGGTCAACTGATAGAAAATGAAACCATAACATATCAAAATTTGCGGAAGTGCCACTAAAGTGGCTCTTGGAGACAAATTTATAATTAAATGCTATTATGATAGAAAGCAGAAAAGCTCACAAATAGACAATTTAAGTTTCCACTGTAAGAAACGGTAAGGGAAAAGGGAACAAACTAAACCCAAAGTAAATAAGAAAAAGAAAAAAAAAGAGAAAAAGAAAAAGTGAATAAAAAGAAACTGGACACAAAAAAACATTAAAAATTAGTAAATAAAAGCTGATTCCTTGAGAGGATCCATACAATTGTGAGAACTCTCAATAGGTTCATTAAGGGGTAAAGAAATTACTGTAAGTCTCAGGTGCACACCCAGGCTTCAGGCAGGCAGGAAACAGATTACATCTGCGTTTTAGGGTCATATAGACGAGCCGCCACGAGGTGGCAGTAACTGCGCACTCATTCCCTCACCTCCTGCAAGACCAGGCCAGCCCAGGCTCTGGACTCACCACTCAGCTCAGAAGATGGAAGAGGGTGACAGTAGCTCCATGGACTTTGGCTTTAGGCAGAGCGTTACTGTAGCTTTGGGGTTGTAGGAGGATGAAGAGGGGAGGTTATCAGGACACCATGATGATTGTGTGGCGCTGGTTAGGAACATGGGCTTTGAAGAGAGGGGGATTTTATTTCAAATTGCATCTTTGCCACTTAGTAGCCAGGTGACCTTGAACGTGTCCTCCAACCTTTCCATGCCCCAGGACCTGCCTCTGTAAACTTGCGTAATACCTACCTGGCAGGCTTGTTTCTGAGGATTTAATAAGATAACTAATATAAAAATGGCCATAGCAGGGCTGGCCGCAAAATTCCTAAGTTTCAGTGCGAAATGGAAATGCAGGGTACCATGGTTTAAAGAGCAGAAAAAGAAAGTGTAATGAAAGGCAGTAGGATATTAAGCTTTTTCAAACAAATATTTTTCATTGTTTGAAAAATGTAATAGTTATACAGGAGTAATGACAGAATCTTACAAATCTCCACCAGAAATTAATTTCATAGTTTTAATAGAATAAAAATACTACTCTATTAATTGGATTTAGATGAATCATACAATTTTTCTGGCCCACTTTTCTGTCAAATAATATATTAGGACAACAAACTTTATACCTTGAGCAACTTCATTTTATCTTTTGGGAAGAATCTGCTGAAGCCACTGTTTCTGGAATATATTCCAAGCTGTGACAACATGAGGATAAATTATTTTGAAACAGATTTTAGTATATCTGGAGCTGGTGATTCTTGTGAAACAATTTGTCTCAAAAGATTTAACTCTTTAAACAAATCAGTTTCATGTAAATTTGAATCTAATTTTAAGTGTCAATTTCTCCAGCGGAATTTTGATGCATCTTCTGACATGTTCTGTAAGTTGCAGAGGCCCACAGCAGACCAATATGGCATCATGATTTGTAACTTATTCAAAACCCCTGTTTATGAATTCTATTGCTATGTATTTATTAACAAGAAAAACTTAATTTTTAAAATTGCCCTCCTTGTTCATAATTGATTAATCAGAAGGTTTTTGTTTGTTTGTTTGTTTGTTTTTTGTTTTTTGACAAGGTCTGTATTTTTCAGGCTGGAGTGCAGTGCTACGATCATTGCTCACTACAGCCTCAAACTCCTGGACTCATGTAATCCTCATACCTCAGCCTCCCAAGAAGCTAAGGCTACGATCATGTGACACTATGGCCAGCTAATCTTTATTATCTTTATTATCATTATTTGTAGAGATGGTGTCTAGTTATACTGCCCAAGCTAGTATCCAACACCTGGCCTCAAGGAATCCTCTGACCTGAACCTCACAACGTGCTGGGATAACAGGCGTGAACCACCATGCCTGGCCCATCAGAAGTTTTATACAAATATAGCATCCTTCTCTGTTGAATGTGACTACTATTACATGTTTAATTTCCATTTCTGAGTCTTGGATAATGCCTTAAAGAATTCTAAACTCTCTGAAGAATTCCAAGAACTTCCTGGTATACTTTATTGCAATGTCCATGGGCACACTTTTGTTTTGTGCTTCTCTCCTCCCAGTTTGCTATCTGAGCACCTATGGTTCCTGTCCTGGTGCTCAGGTCAGGGGGTAAATCTTTGTGCAGAAGCTCCAAGGATGACTCTGAGAATGCACAGGCACAGAGGTGTCAGTGCTGCCTCCACACAGAGACACTCCATTCACCCCAGGGCTGAGGACACCTGCTGCTGCTGCTGCTGCTGCCACCTCCCATCCCAGTCCAGATGTGCCTGGGCTGCTCCAAGAATGCCTATGCTCAGGGCAGCAAAGCTCTAGAACGTCCCTGGGCCTGAGCCTGCCCAACTTGTCTCCCCTCATAGCCACTCTTCCCATGTGCCTGCTCCATTGTCCTCAGTAAGCTTCACTTACAAAACACAAGTTCAAAGAAAAAACTAAGAAAGTCAGGGAGCTATCAGCAGAGCCTGACACCAGGTACCGGCCCTTCTCAGAGCAGATTCGTGTGTCACTGCCCTGCCTTCAAGCCCATGAAGCTGGCTCTGCCTCCAGAATTGAGAACCAGTAAAACTGCTTCTGTTACTTAACATTGAGGACATAATGCAGAGAAACTTTGTTTTCTAAATCATAGAGATGAGAGAGTTTGCTTTCTGGGAGCCTATCTATAAGAATGAGGCTTCCCACTCTTGCCTGGGGAACTGAACCATTTTGCCACAAAGAAACAGCCTGAAATTCTCTCCCCAGTTATAGAGATAGGTTTGGGGACACAGCACAGGTAATGTTTCATTAAAAGACAGCATAGTGAGTCTATTTGTCAGTTAGACTTGATGGTTCCCATTTTACACACAACCTGGCTTTGCTTTTAGCTCATTAAGAAAAAGAAAAGTCATGTATATTTTACCAAATCTTGACATGTCCCCAAATCCTAGAATTGCTGCATCTCTGGTTTTGGTGAAGAGCCCCATGGTTCTGCCAGTGGATGGTCTTCCTTGCTGAAGCAAGATCATAACCCTACCTTTAAAACAAAGATGCCCCTCTATTGGTCCTTATCAAACACACTTCATCACTAGGATGAACACAGCTGTGAAGGAGTCACACTGGGCTGTGCCAGGAGAAAAGAAGCAGCTGCAACCGTAGGAATCTTCATGGGAACAGTCAGCCCAGCTGTCCTTGAGCAACCAGGCACATATTCCCTAAGCCTTGGTGGCTTCTTCCCCAGGGACACAGGTGCTGCATTTCACAGTGACTTTCCTATTTCAGAGTAATTTCACCTCCTTCTCTAACAAGGCCTCACAAATGTACTGAGAGCTAGAGAGGACAACAAGTGAAAAACCACAGTGCTATCGGTGGTTCCTGGGATTGGAACAGGTTTGTAGGAAAAATTCACTCTCTTTTATGGGTGAGTTTTTAAATGTGAGTGTATTACTTTTATAATAATAATGTTAAGCATGGTAGTCATTAAGAATGTATCGATCAGGAATGAAGTCTCACGTGAAAAAGATGGCAACCAGGCCCTTAATTCAAACTCTAAGCCCCAATAAGGTTCTTCTCATAGTACCATGACATTTCCTTAAGAATATTTACTCAACAAATTAAGAGACATGACAACCTGATTTGATGTGCAAATCTAGATTAAACATGTATCCAGAAACATCAACAGCCATGAAGCCATGGTTGGAACAATTGGAGAAATGTGAAATATTGACAAGATAATAAATAACATTGAGGAACTAGTTTTCTTAATGTGTGTAAATTGTATTGTGTTTGATGTGGAAATGTCCCCTCATATGTAAGAGATTCTGCTGAGATAATTACAGTGAAGTGTCATGATGTTTGCGTCTTTCTTTTTTAACTTTAAACACATTTTTAGTACACAAAGGTTGTCACATAATTGGAAGTTTCTCTACTTTGTACACAATTATTCTCACTCTGCACAGAAAGGCTGCTTAACTTCTCATTTGGTGGTTGCAAGCACTAAAATCCTGATTTTAACAGAATAGACTACTATTCATTTTTACTAAAAAATGCCTCAGTGATTTAAGTTGAAAACAGTACATCAGTACATGGCTCTTGTACCCAGTGTCAGGAATGTACAAGATCTTTCTATTCAAAAATACAAACTAAATTATCTGTAGGCATGGATGACAGCTGTAAACCATTATATATTTTGTCAGTTGAAACCAGTAACTGATGGTTATAGTGGTTTCTTAAACATCAGCCAGCCTTTTCTTCATTTTCTCCAACTGACTTCTCTGAAGTTATTGGTGAGGAACACTGCCTTGGGCTTCCTATCACAATTCATTAATAAAGGTAAAGCACTATTCTAGGAATTAGAACAGGCCACCTCCCATTCCACACATTGCACCCATTCCAGGGCTGTTCCCTTCTTTAGGAATTTCTGTGACTACAACAGCTGCTGTAGTTAATAGAGAGGCCATGCCAGCAGCATCCAATGAAGCAGTTCTCACAACCTTTGTTGGGTCAATAATGTCTTTTTCCACCATATTCACGACATCTCCTAACATAGTATCATAACCAACTTCTGAGGAACTTTACATAATTTTCTCAACTATCAAAAATCCATCAACACCTGCATTCTTAGCAATTGTCATTGCTGGAATTTTGAGTGTTCTTTTAATAATTTCTATACCAATTATTTTATCTTCATTAGCTGGAGTGAATGAGTCCAAGGCTGGAATGCATCGAAGCAGGGCACAACCCCCTCCCTAAACAATGCCTTCTTCAACAGCAGCTCTTGTAGCATTAAGTGCACCTATAACTCTGTCTTTCTCTTCATTCACTTCAACATCACTTGTCCCACCAACCTTCAGCACAGCTACTCCATCTGAAAGTTTCTCCACTCACTTTTTCCTTTTCGTATTCACTAGTTGTGACATCTGACTGGTCAATGATTTCTTGAACACATTTTTCAATTTGAGACTTGTTACCTTTTCCTTTTAAGAGCATGGCATAATCTTTGATCACAGTGACCTCTCCAACTTCTCCTACGTCACGAGGCTGAACGTCTTCAAGATTTAGTGTCAGCCCTCTTCTCCAAACACTGTACCACCAGTAGCAATAACCGTATCTTTAAGCTGGTTCTTTCTATTGTCACCAAACCCTGGAGCTTTGACTGCCACAACCTGAAGACCAACCTTTAGCCTATTCAGGATGAGTGTAGTTAGAGCTTCTCCATCAATGTCTCCAGCAATTATGACCAAAGGCTTACAGTAAGCATTGGCAATTTCAAGAGCAGTTACAATGGACTGGACACTAGAAATTTTCTTTTCATGCAACAGAACATAGGCATCCTGGAATTCACATTTCTCACCTTTTGATGTATTAATAAAGTATGGAGAAATATATCCTCGATCAAATTTTCATGCCTTCAATAATTTCTAATTCATCAGTCAGTGTTTTTCCATCCTTTACTGTGATGATGCCCTTTCTTCCAAACTTTTTCATTGCATCAGAGATGATGTTACCAATTTCTTTGTCTCCATTTGCAGAAATTGTAGCAACCTGTGCAATTTCTTCAGGTTTGGTCACAGGTTTAGACTGCTTTTTAAGTTCAGCAATTACAGCATCAACAGCTAACATCACACCTCTCTTGATTTCCACTGGATTAGCACCTTTGCTAACCTTCTGGAAGCCTTATTTGGAAATAGAGCATACCAGTACAGCAGCAGTGATAGTGCCATCCCCCAGTCTCTTCATCTGTGTTATTGGCAACATCTTGGACAAGTTTAGCTCCAATGCTTTTATATTTATCCTTTAAGTCAATTGACTTTGCATCAGTCACACCATCTTTTGTTACTTTGGGACTTCCCCAGCTATGTTCAATAATTACTGTTCTTCCCTTTGGCCCCATTGTAATGGCTACAGCCTCGACAAAAAGTCTACACTTTGAAGCATTAAGGCTCGGACATCATCACCAAATTTTACATCTTTACCATCACTTCAAGTGAGGTGAGGAGCCAGTAGCCTGGACACTGGTCTCATCTGGTGAAAGACTGTGGGTAATGGAAGCATTTCTGTGGGGTGCTGGCAGGACATGTGCATGGCGAGGCAGGTCATCAGCAGCAAGTGAGAGCTGCCTCTTACTTTCTAAAGGTGACATAGCAAATATACAAAAAAAAATAAATAAATTATTAATTTAGGTAGAGCACATAAAGGCTTTATTTCATATTCCATTTCTCTGTATGCTTTCTTCACCAGGAAGAAATAGTTTTAGTGTCAGGAATGAATGAGTCTGCCCCTCAATTCCAGCCTGCTCAACACACAAGGAAACAAAGCCCTGACAATCAGAGTGACTCCCTGGTGACTAAGCTCCAGTCCTGGATGCATATTTGTTTAGCAGTTCTGACAGCATCTGACCCAGCCCTCTCTTTGCATACCCCATCAGAACCTTCTTTTTTTTTTTTTTCTTTGAGACTGAGTCTTGCTCTGTCGGAAGCGACTCCCGTGCCTCAGCCTCCCAAATACCTGGAATTATAGGCGTAAGCCATCATGCCTGGCTAATTTTTGTATTTTTCATGGAGATGGGGTTTTGCCATGTTGGTCAAATTGGTCTCACACTCCTGACCTCATGTGATCCACCTGCCTCAGCCTCCCAAACTGCTGGGATGACAGGTGTAAGCCACCATGCTAGGCTCAGAAATTTCCTTTTATAAAAATGTCATTAAGGATCTTGGCTGCACAATATCATTACCAGCTTCCTTTAAATCCACCTCTGGCCTGCCAGGAATCAGGGTTCTTCAGAACCTGACATTTTAAATGAAGAGGTCAGGCAGGTCATGAGGAAAGCCTCATTGTCCCCATGTCTCTGTCACTGCTGCACCCCTGAGACATCACAGACATGGACACTGGGGCCTGCTTGTTTCTCAAACTGCCCTTAGATCGAAAGAGGGAGGAACCAGGATGAATGCCACTCATTTTCCCAAGAAAGGCCCTCTCCTGAGTGCCCGGGATGGGGCTCTGTCCATTGCCTGGGGCCGCCAATTGCTACTCTGGGTTACGGAGGAAGGACAGGGTCCTGAGAGACACCAGAGACCTCACACAGCCCTGAAAACATGGGGCTCCTTCATAAGTGTTTCCCATCACCAACAGGGAGACCACGTGGAGGCCTTGCAGCCCCACTCGGTGCTTCTCCACCAAATCCCAAGGGCAGTGACGCTGACGTCTGTGGAAAGCAGAGAAAGCCCTGGCTCCCAAAGCCCTGAAGTCCTGTGGAGCTGACATTCCCTGAGTGACGGTGTGAATGGAAGGAACTCAAGTGCGGGTGGTAGGCCACCTCCTGGCCCAGGCCTGGGTGAACTCTGAGGGGACACATGTAGTCACAATCCCATCCTCCCATTCTCCTTCTCAGAGGAAGGAAGTGGGCATCCATCTGCCTCATCTCTCTCCCGTGGGGAAGATGGGGAGTTTCAGGGGAACTTTCACATAAATTTCACCAGCTCAGATCTCCTGTGAGGATGGGGCCCACCATGCTCCCGGTGCTGCCAGAGGCCCTGAGCCCCTCCCAGGGTCCCTGGGTTTGAGCCAGCCCTGTATCATCCCCAGGAGCTGAATGTCCGAGCAATGGATAGAATTAGATGGAAAGAGCTCTCAATTTGGCCTGAGACTGTCCCCAGATACTCAGGAAAAACAGGACGTCGCACAGAGTGGGCAGCAGGTGAGTGGCAGGTTATAGGTCCTGAGTTTGAGTTTGTTCTCACGTGAGACAGACCCAGCCCCTCACTCCATTCACACACTGGGTTTTAAATGGTGCAAGATAGGAGGAATTTTCTGGTCCCAAGAGCAGGAGGAAGGGATTTTCTGGGGTTTCCTGAGTCCAGATTTGCATAAGATCTCCTGAGTGTGCATTGTTCTTTGAGGACCATTCTCTGACTCACCAGGTAAGTGGCTGAATTCTAACCTCTGTAATGAGCATTGCACCCAATACCAGTTCTGAACTCTACCTGGTGACCAGGGACCAGGACCTTTATAAGGTGGAAGGCTTGATGTCCTCCCCAGACTCAGCTCCTGGTGAAGCTCCCAGCCATCAGCCATGAGGGTCTTGTATCTCCTCTTCTCGTTCCTCTTCATATTTCTGATGCCTCTTCCAGGTGAGATGGGCCAGGGAAATAGGAGGGTTGGCCAAATGGAAGAATGGCGTAGAAGTTCTCTGTCTCCTCTCATTCCCCTCCACCTATCTCT
Organism: Homo sapiens; assembly: GCF_000001405.40. Lineage (NCBI taxonomy): Eukaryota > Metazoa > Chordata > Mammalia > Primates > Hominidae > Homo > Homo sapiens. The sequence continues at coordinate 7,416,678 of NC_000008.11, read as the reverse complement.
CCCTCATCCCTCTCTCTCCTTCCTCTCTCTGTGTGTCCCCTCCATCCTTTTCTCCTGCTTCTCTCTCTTCTTCCCTCTCTCTCTTTTTTTCTGTCTTTCTTTTTCCTCTCTCCCTAGAGCATGTCTTTCTTTCTTTCTCTTTCCTTTCTTCTACCCACACTTTTAGACTGAATGCCCTATTTAATTGAACCAAGCATTGCTTCCTTCAATAGAAAAGGAGTTTGAGAACCCAATGGACACCTCACTCGTTCTTCTAAGCCAATATGAAGGAGCCCAGTAGCTTGTAAATATCATCTCTTCACTGCTTTCCATGCTACAACTGCTGAGACTATGGTTGAAACCTGTTAGGTGACTTTTTAAATAAAAGGCAGAAATTTTGATTTTATCTAAAGAAAGTAGTATAGAATGTCATTTTCTAAATTTTTATATTTAAAGGGTAGATACTGCAACCTAGAGAATTCCAGATAATCTTAAGGCCCAGCCTATACTGTGAGAACTACTGCAGCAGACACTCTGCCCCCAGGACTTTTCTGATCAGAGGCCCTGAGAACAGTCCCTGCCACTAGGCCACTGCAGGTTCACAGGACAGGGACAGCCCATTGAAACCAACTTTTAAACCTGGATGCCTAACCTTCATTTTCTCCTTGATATTATGAAAATAAAATAAAAACCATGAAAGGATAAAAGAGGGAGAGTGGAAGGGAAGGATGGAGAAAGGGAAAAAGAAAATTTGAGAGTAAATCCTAAAACAATTAATCTAATAGATATCATCTTGTGAAATCCTCATTTTACCAATCTTATTTATGAGTCCTGGGTTTTGTGAGAACAATGGGGTTCTGAGAGGCACCAGAGACCTCATGTTTTCCAAAACCTAGAACAGTATAATGAAGGAAGGCGGGGAGGCAGGGAGGCAGGGAGGCAGGGAGGCGGGCAGGTGGGGAGGGAGGGAGGGAAGGAGGGAGGGAGGGAGGGAGGGAGGGAGGGAGGGATAAAAAAAGAAGAATGAGGTTGAAACCAGGACTTAGATATTAGAAACAAGCCATTACAAAATTTATTTCTATGGTTAATTGTGGTTTTCAACTGTAAGTTACTTGGTGTTAATTTCCTATTAAACAATTTCAGTAAGTTGCATCTTTTTATCCCATCTCAGATCAAATACTTAACAGACTAAATGATTTGAAAAAGCAAAAGTTTACTGGCTTGTGTGTGTTAAAATGGAGGTATGGTGGCTTTGATATTATCTTCTTGTGGTGGAGCTGAATTCACAAGAGATCGTTGCTGAGCTCCTACCAGACCCCACCTGGAGGCCCCAGTCACTCAGGAGAGATCAGGGTCTTTCACAATCAGGTTCTACAAAAATAAACATCCCCCAAACCACAGCAGTGCCAGTTTCCATGTCAGAAACTTAGATCCAAATGACTGACTCGCGTCTCATTATCATGATGGAAAAGCCCAGGCTTGAGAAAGAAGCCCGCTGCGGATTTACTCAAGGCGATACTGACACAGGGTTTGTGTTTTTCCAACATGAGTTTTGAGTTCTTACACGCTGTTTGCTCTTTTTGTGTGTTTTTTCCCTGTTAGGTGTTTTTGGTGGTATAGGCGATCCTGTTACCTGCCTTAAGAGTGGAGCCATATGTCATCCAGTCTTTTGCCCTAGAAGGTATAAACAAATTGGCACCTGTGGTCTCCCTGGAACAAAATGCTGCAAAAAGCCATGAGGAGGCCAAGAAGCTGCTGTGGCTGATGCGGATTCAGAAAGGGCTCCCTCATCAGAGACGTGCGACATGTAAACCAAATTAAACTATGGTGTCCAAAGATACGCAATCTTTATCCTAGTAATTGTGGTCATTGGGTGATGTTGGTTTGGGCAGGCCATCTCTAATATCCTTGAAACACCTTTTTCTGCTCTCCAGGAAGGGGTCAGGGCTGCCACAGCGGGGCTTGGAGTGCTTTCCAGGGTCACAGGCATCTGTATTCTTTGGATTCCTTGACCTTCCCCATTTATTCCCGGCATTTTCCTAAAACGTGTGCTTTGCTCCTCCTGCATCCTCCCCTTGCATGCCCTCACCTACCCCACATCTTCCCTAAAAAAAGCAAGCCCAACTCAAAGACCAGTTCCCTCATGGAATCATAGTGGATCTGCCAAGGGAGGGGATGCCCAGTCCTCTGTTCTTCACAAGGACTCCCTTCTTCTGGCTAAGGTTTCTTATGCAATTATGCCTCCTACAGAGGTGCGTGAATTTTTAATTCTCCATTTAGCTATGAGATTTCTACTAGTGTGGACTTTGTCTTATTCATTTATGTGCTGGCCATTCATAAACTATTTCATTAATTGGATGGCAAAATGCAGTTGTACAAGGGTTTCCTTACATACAAACATAATAGGATCCAAGTAAATGCTGTTAAAAACAAGTCTCTTTGAGGGCACAATTAAATGAGGACAATATGGCATGGGACACAAGCAGAGGGGAGCAAACCTCAAGAAGAAAGACTCATCGACTCTAAGGGGGAGCATCAAGATAGCTCCCTGGCCCTGCTCTCTCTCCTTGGGAGGGTTTGGTCCTTAAATCATGAACTCTGTGGGTGTATCCTAGACGCATAAGAAGCTCTCTATTTCTTCACATTAGCTCTGCACTGAATGTGCATATCATCTACGTCTGGGAAAATGCACCTTAGTTCCAAAATAATCCATTGTCTTTCCTAATCTCAAGATTGAAAAAAGTAACCAGACCTTGTTAGAGTAAAAGCATTTTTATCTGGATATAGATTTTATCCAGACGTGATGACAGAGCCAGGACTAGGGCGAAGCGAGGGAGGCTCTGGCCTCAGGTATAAAATGTAAGCACTAAGATATCCTGTACTTAAGATAGATGATCTTATAATGCGATAGATTTTTAAAAAATAATATTCATGAAAAAATCACCATAATTAACAAACTCTCCAAAATTTAAACCAAGACAGGGTCTAATCCTGTGATTGTCCAACTCAGTCGCACTCACCTACCTTGATGCCAGGATAGTCAGACCCTGCCTTTATTTAGTCATTTAATATTCATCGTATATACGTTGTTATTTTGAATAAATTAGTGGATTTCTTGATTCCTGGAAGCATATATCATTTGACTGTATAAAAGAAGTGAAGCTTCACACACACACAAAAAGTAAAAGTCACCATGACAATGACATTCATTCCTATGTTCTAGGGGAAACAGCACAACTCTCTTAGGAAGAAACTCTCCTTTTATTTAAGAAGGCCCTTTAATGGCTGTTTAGGTCTTGGAAGATAGGACACCTGACTGCATCTGTGAAATAGAGATACAATCCATAAGCGCTAAATCATTCTACAATTCTAAAAATAAAATGTTAAAGGTTTCTTGGCCCTCAGAGATTAACAATGAAAGGAGTTCTGGGTTCCAAAAGGAGCAGGTATACCTGTAACATCAGGGCACAAAGTAGCCTGTAGAGGTTATTGCCAAGAGTGGCTGAACTCTTTAGCTAGAATGCACTCTGATTTCTATTCTTATTTTTAACAGTTCTGTGCATTAACCACCCGTCATTATCCTTATGTTTTTGCAAAACTGTGTCTCAATCAATTGCTGTGTATTTGAAAATTCTTGGAAAAGGGGGAAAGCCTCAGTAATTCTTAATGCAAAGCTACAAAGAAAATGGGTAGTTGGTTGCAGGAGTGAGGTGGAGGTGGCCAGAGAATGTCACACAGAAGACAGAAATAAGAATTTGCACAAGATATTAGGAGCATAAGCACCTGTAGGGAGTTCTGAGAAACATTTGGCTGTCTACACTAATGAGGAATGGGAGCTGGAGCTGTTTAATTTGGATGGTCAAAAATAGGATAACTCCGGGAGTTTACAGAATTCACAGAATCCATTCCAACCAAGTGAGCTTGCAAGTCATACTCTAAGTCTCTGAACCTGTGAACTCATGACATAACAGAATAAAATTGTTCCCATTTCATCGTGCCTGAAGACTCATAAGAAAAAAAAAAAGGTATTAATTTTAAACACTGAAGCTCATTCATCATTTTATTGAATTCACCTGGCTACAAAATTAGCAACTGATCTTGTTCCAACTATATTTAAAGCAGATGAAGAAACTCTCCAAAGAACAGGGTTTGTCTGAGACTAGTCTAGGTAGAGTTTACTTTTGACACATCCTCTTGGTGTTTTCAGAGCTTTTTGAATATGTGGAATAATATCATTGCTTTGAGCAGATTTTCAGCCATTAGTTCTTCAGTTATTGCTGCTGTCCCTCGCTCATTTCTCTTCCTGGAAATAGAATTGTCTAGATAGATAGAGAATTGGTCCAAAAGTAATTGTGGTTTTTGCCTTTAAAGGTAATGGCAAAAACTGCAATTACTTTTGCACCAACCATACGTATGTACACAAACACATATGCAATATGTGTGTATTGCATATATACTCAATGCAAACACACAGACACACATATACAAAGCATCCTTTTACTGTGCCTTCACATATATATTTATGCAATTTTTTGTATTTTTCATTATTTTATATCTCTGCACTTCAACCTGAAAATTTTCCACTGACTTGTATTCTTACTTTTTTTTTTTTTTTTTGAAACAGAGCCTTGCTCTGTCACCCAGGCTGGAGTACAGTGGTGTGATCTCGACTCAACTGCAACCTCTGCTTCCCAGGTTCAAGCAATTCTCCTGCCTCAGCCTTCTGAGTAGCTGAGATTACAGGTGCCCTCTACCACATCCAGTTAAATTTTTTTTTTTTTTTTGTATTTTTGGTAGAGATAGAATATCACCATGTTGGCCAGCCTGGTCTTGAACTCCTGGTCTCAAGTGATTCGCCTGCCTTGGCCTCTCAAAGTGTTGGGATTACAGGCGTGAGCCACCGTGCCCAGCCCACTGACCTGTGTTTTAATTCTTGGATCCTCTACTCTGCTCTGGTCACTTTGCTATTAATCCCATCTATTGTGATATTGACTTCACATATTGTATCAAGTACCAGAATTCAATTATTTAATATTTTTACATAAGACAGGAGAGTCTATTCAAAAATGAAAAGGGTCAGACATGTTTCAGATGCCCCAGCCTTCTTGGGATATGGGCTTTTTCATGCTAACATCTGTCTCTTAATGAATCCAAAATGAAGGAGTGTTTGCTTTTAAAAGAATACATTTCAGTGAAGGTCTTGATCAAAGAGAGATAATTAAAAAAACACTAAAGAAACATCAAAAAGATCTAATTGTAGGGTATCTGGGGGATGATAACACATCCAGGAAACTTTTTCTGAGAGACCTGTGATAGAACCTTAAATGTACTTTTCTTTGTTTTGCTCTCATATGTGAGCAACTTAGAAGAAACATGTATTTGTTTGTATTAATCCTACATGACTAGGGTTGACAGATTTAGCAAATAAAAGTATAGGACACTCAGTTAAATGTGAGTTTTAGATAAACAACATCCAGTTTATTGTGGCATTATCTATCTCATACTATTTGGGATTAAATACACTAAAAAGTTCTTCATGGTTTTTCTGAAAGCCAAATTGAACTTGGCCTCCTATATTCATCTAATAACACTATGAATCACTGAAAACATTTTTTCTTTAAAGATATTTTTCTTGGTGAAAGTATTTATTACGTCACTGAATTTTATTTTACTAGGTGTAGTAGGTGTAATAACGGCATCCCAAAGATGTCCATGTCCTTATCCCTAGAACCTGGGATTATGTTACACTTTACGGCAAATAAGAACTAAGACAGCAGATAGAATAGTTGGCTGATATGCTGACTTTAAAACCGGGAGATTAACTTAGATCATGTGAATGAGACCAACGTAATCCAAGAATCCTTAAATGTGGAAAAGAAAGGCAGAACAGTCAGTGTCTGGGTGATGCGATGTGGGAACGACTCAACAGCCATTGCTGGATTTGAAGATGAAGGAAGGATCCACAAACCAAGGAACATGGGCAGCCTCTCAGATTTGAAAAGGCAAAGAAGAAAAAAAAAAAAAAAGGAAAGCAAACTCAGCTTCTTAGAACCTCTGGAAAGGAAAAAGGTCCTAAGGACACTTTGATTTTTCATGTTTGATCCCCAAAACAGCAAGATAATTTGTGTTGGTTTAGGTCACTAAGCTTATGACAATTTGCTTAGAAACAGAACACAAATACAATTGCTCCTCAGTATCCATGGGGGATTGGTTCCAGGACCCCCTGTGTATACCAAATGCCTCAGATGCTCAAGTCCCTGATATAAAAGAGTAGTAATTTCATATAATCTTCACACTCCTTGCATATACTTTAAATCATTCCTAGATTTCTTGTAACACTGAACACAATGTAAATGCTAAGTAAGTAGGAGTTATGCTGTATTTCCTAGAAAATAATGGCAAGAGAAAAAGGCCTGTGCATGCTCAATTCAGACACAATGTTTTTGTAGAACGTTTCCTGATGTGGAACACACGAATAGGAAGGGCCTACTGGTTTCAAATTATAAACTGAGCATAAAATTAGTAACACAAAAAAGCTAAGGCTACATTTCTGTAATGGAGAACAAAGATGAAAACCTACCAACATTTTACGGAATTTTATGTATATCTTTCTCAAATTCTGAAGGCTTATATGAAAAGACAATGAGGCTCTCAGGAAGAAGGGACAAAAACTGAAAAAGTTGAGCCTGTTCCTCAGTTTCCATCCAAACGGACTCACTGCTATGGGAATTGCCCTCCTACAGTAGACAAGATGGAACTAGTCAGCAGGTGTGAGACAGCTGTGTTCATATATTGGATAATAAGCAGTGCAACAAACAAATAAAGTAGGATGTCCTTTTGCCCCTAGCTCTCTATAGGGCCAGGTTACAGGCCACAGCACAGGGAGGAAGACTTACATGAAGACCAGCACCCTGTAGCATTGAGGAGACCAAGGTCAAAGCTCACACAGCACGATACGCCCTGTGTCAGTCTGTGTGTGTTGCTCTAAAGGAATACCTGAGGTGGGATAATACTTCAGGAAAGGAAGTTATTTGGCTCACTATTTTTGGCTGTGTGAGAAGCATGGTGCCTGCATCCGCTCCTTGTTAGGACTCCATAAGCCTTCAGTCATAGTGGAAAGTCAAGTGGGAGCAGGAATATCACGTGGTAAGAGTGGAGCGAGAGGGTGCAAGGAGGTCCCAGACTCTTTTAAACAACTACATGTTGTATGAACTCGGAGCAAGAACTCACTCATTTTTGTGATGAAAGCAGTTAGTCATTCATTAGGGATTCACCCCCACAACCCAAACACTTCCCACCAGATTCCACTTCCAACACTGAGGATTAGATTTCAGCAGGAGGTTTCGAGGGGACAAACATCTGAAAAATATTATTCTTCCTCTGGTCCCTCAAATCTCATGTCCTTCTCACATTGCAAAATGCAATCATCCCTTCCCAATCACTCCCCAAAGTTTTAACTACTTCCAGCATTAACTTAATCAAAAGTCCAAAGTTCAAAATCTCATCCCCTGAGACTCAAATTCCTTCCGCCTTTTAGCCTGTACTATCAAAAACAAGTTATGTACTTTCATGTTACAATGATGGCACAGGCATTGGCTAGACACTACCATTCTAAAAGGCAGAAATTGGCCAATAAAAGGGATTACAGGCCCCACACATGTCAGAAACTCAGCAGGGCAGCTATTAAACCTCAAAGTTTGAAAATAATTCTTGATTCCATGTCCTTTATTCTGCTGTGAGGGTGGGCTCTGAAGACCTTGGGCTGCTCTGCCCCTGTGGCTTTACAGGGTGCAGCCCACATGGCTCCTGTCACAGGTCAGAATCTGATGCCCGTGGCTCTTCCATGCTGAGGGTACAAGCTGTCAACAGTGTTACTATTCTCAGGTCTGGAGGGCAGTGTTCCCCTTCCCTCAGCTCCACTAGGCAATGCCCCACTGGGGACACTGTGTGGGGAATCCAACCCCACGTTTCCCCTTAGCACTGCCCTGGTAGAGTTTTTCTCTTGGTACTCTCCCTCGGCAGCAGTTTTCTGCCTGGAGAACCAGACTTTGCCACACATCCTCTGAAATCTCGGTGGAAGCTGCCAAGCCTCCTTCCTTTTTGCACTCTGCAGACTTGCAGGCTTAGCACCACATGAACGCTGCCAAGACGTTCTGGCTTTCACCCACTGAAGCAGTGGCCAATCTGTACATTAGGCCCTTTGAGCTGAGGCTGGAGGCTGGGCAGCCAGGATGTGTCTTGAAGCTGAGCAGGGCAGCTGTGCCTGGGTCTGGCCACTGAAACCATTCTTTCCTCCTAGGCCTGTGGGCTGTGGTGGGAGGGAATGCCTCAAAGTTTTCAAAAATGCCTTGTAAGCCTTTTCCCCATTGTCTTGGCTATTAGCACTTGGCTCCTTCTCAGTCATGCACATCTCTCTAGCAAGTGGTTTCTCCACAGCCCCTTACAGTCCTCTTCTGAAAATGCTTTTTCTTTCTCTACTAAATTTCTAGGCTGCAAATTTTCCAAATTTTTATGCTTTGCTTCTTTCATGCGCGTCCGTGTGAAGAGACCACCAAACAGGCTTTGTGTGAGCAACATGGCTGTTTATTTCACCTGGGTGCAGGCGGGCTGAGTCTGAAAAGAGAGTCAGCAAAGGGAGATAAGGATGGGGCCGTTTTATAGGATTTGGGTAGGTAAAGGAAAATTACAGTCAAAGGGGTTTTGTTCTCTGGTGGGCAGGAGTGGGGGTCGCAAGGTGCTCAGTGGGGTTGCTTTTTGAGCCAGGATGAGCCAGGAAAAGGACTTTCACAAGGTAATGTCATCACTTAAGGCAAAGACCGGCCATTCACACTTCTTTTGTGGTGGAATGTCATCTGTTAAATTGGGGCAGGGCATATTCACTTCTTTTGTGATTCTTCAGTTACTTCAGGCCATCTGGGCGTATATACGTGGAAGTCACAGGGGATGCGATGGCTTGGCTTGGGCTAAGAGGCCTGATATTCCTGCCTTCTTATATTAATAAGAAAAATAAAACAAAATAGTGTTGAAGTGTTGGGGTGGTGAAAATTTTTGGGGGGTGGTATGGAGAGAGAATGGGCGATGTTTCTCAGGGCTGCTTCAAGCGGGATTAGGGGTGGCGTGGGAATCTAGAGTGGGAGAGATTAAGCTGAAGGGAAGTCTTGTGGTAAGGGGTGATATTGTGGGGATGTTAGAAGAAACATTTGTCATATAGAATGATTGGTGATGGCCTGGATACGCTTTTGGATGAATTGAGAAACTAAATGGAATAACAGAAGGAGAAAAACAGGTATAAAAGGTCTAAGAATTGGGACGACTCAGGATATCTGATTAGAGAGTGCCTAAGGAGACTCATCATAGTCCTGCCAGCAAAGATTATTTATTTACTTCAAGAGTTAAGAGCGGCAGTTTGGGGATAGCACCAGGAGATATCAGCTGTGATGGCTTGGAAAAACTGTGTAAAACGGCCGTGTAAACAAGAGCAGGGCATGTATGAGTAGTTGAGAACAGTGAATAGGAGTATGACTAGACAGAAGATAGTAGGGATGACAAGTTTTTTGGGGCACAGTTTAAGTTGGTCTGGTGTCTGGAATGAGACTGGGGCCTAATAAAAAGGAGCGTCTATACAGGAGCTTAAATGGGCTGTACCCTGTAGCATTCCGAGGACAGGCCTGAATTCTGAGATGGGAGAGTGCTAAAAGTATTGTCCAGTCCTTTTTGGTGGCTGAGCTTGGTGAGGTGTGTTTTTAAAAGACCTTTAGTCCATTCTCCTTTTCTTGAAGATGGAGGACTGTAAGGAATATAAAGGTTTCACTGAATACTAAGAGCCTGAAAAACTGCTTGGCTGATTTGACTAATAAAGGCTCATGTGTTATCAGACTGTATGGAGGTGGGAAGGCTAAACTGAGAAATTATGTCTGACAGAACCAAAGAAATGACTGCGGTGGCCTTCTCAGACCCCGTAGGAAAGGCCTCTACCTATCCAGTGAAAGTATCTACCTAGACTAAGAGGTATTTTAGTTATCTGACTCAGGGCATGTTGAGTAAAGCTAACTTGCCAGTCCTGGGTGGGGCAAATCCTTGACTTGATGTGTAGGGAAGGGAGGGGGCCTGAATAATCCCTGAGGAGTAGTAGAATAGCAGATGGAACACTGAGAAGTTATTTCCTTCCTTGAGGATAGATTTCCACGATGGAAAGGAAATAAGAGGTTCTAAGAGGCGGGCTAGTGGCTTGTACTATAGTATAACCTGCTTTTGCTGGTGTGTGGCAATTAGGCCTGGTGGAACTGCCATCAATAAATCAAGCGTGATCAGGGTGAGGAACAGGAAAGAAGCAAATATGGGGAAATGGGGTGAATATCAGGTGGATCAGAGAGATACAGTCATGGGGGTCAGGTGTGGTATCAGGAATAATGTGGGAGGCCAGATTGAAGTCCGGGCCAGGAACAATGGTAATTGTGGGACTTAAAGAGTGAGTACAGCTGAAGGAGCCGGGGAGCAGAAAGTATATAAGTCAAGTATGAGGAAGAAAATAGATTTTGGAAGTTATGAGAACTGTAGAGAGGGAGTTGAGCATAGTTTGTGATTTTGAGGGCCTCTAAAAGTATTAAAGCAGCGGCAGCCACTGCACGCAGACATGAGGGCTAGGCTAAAACAGTAAGGTCAAGTTGTTTGCACAGAAAGGCTACAGGGTGCTGTCCTGGCTCTTGTGTAAGAATTCTGACTGCACTAACTATGCCTAGGAAGGAAAGGAGTTGTTTTGTAAGGGATTGTGGTTTGGGAGATTAATCGGACATGATCAGCAGGGAAAGCACATATGTTTTCATGAGAACTATGCTGAGATAGGTAACAGATGAGGATGACATTTGGGCTTGACTGAAGTAATAGGGGCTGTCTATGAAGCCTTGCGGCAGTACAGCCTAGGTAATTTGCTGAGCCTGATGGGTGTCAGGGTCAGTCTAAGTGGAAGCGAAGAGAGGCTGGGACAAGGGGTGCAGGGGAATAGTGAAAAAGCATCTTTAAGATCAAGCACAGAATAGTGAGTTGTGGAGGAAGGTATTGAGGACAAAAGAGTGTACGGGTTGGACACCACAGGGGGGATAGGCAAAACAATTTGGTTGATAAGGTGCAGATCATGAACTAACTTGTAAGGCTTGTCTGGTTTTAGGACAGGTAAAATGGGGGAATTGTAAGGAGAGTTTATAGGATTTAAAAGGCCATGCTGTAGCAGACGAGTGATAACAGGCTTTAATCTTTTTAAAGCATGCTGCGGGATGGGATATTGGTGTTGAGTGGGGTAAGGGTGATTAGGTTTTAATGAGATGGTAAGGGGTGCATGATCGGTCACCAAGGAGGGAGTAGAGGTATCTTATACTTGTGGGTTAAGGTCGGGGGATACAAGAGGACGCAAAGGAGACTTTGGATTGGGAAGAAGGGTGGCAATGAGATATAGCTGTAGTCCAGGAATAGTCAGGGAAGCAGATAATTTAGTTAAATTGTCTCGGCCTAATAAGGGAACTGGGCAGGTGGGGACAACTAAAAAGGAGTGCTTAAAAGAGTATTGTCTAAGTTGGCACCAGAGTTGGGGAGTTTTAAGAGGTTTAGAAGCCTGGCCATCAATACCCACAACAGTTATGGAATCAAGGGAAACAGGCCCTTGAAAAGAAGGTAATGTGGAGTGGGTAGCCACCGTAATGATTAAGAAGGGGACGGAATTACCCGCCACTGTGAGAGTTACTCGAAGTTCAGCGTCCGTGATGGTCTAGGGGGCTTCTGAGGCGATCGGGCAGTGTCAGTCTTCAGCCACTAAGCGGAGAAGATCTCTGAAGGAGTCAGTCAGAGAGCCTTGGGCCAGAGTTCCAGGGGCTGTGGGAATGGCTGCCAGGTGAGTTGAACAGTCCGGTTTTCAGTGGGGTCCCACACAGATGGGACGCGGCTTAGGAGGAATCCCAGGCTGTGGGCATTCCTTGGCCCAGTGGCCAGATTTTGCATATGTAGCAAGCTCCTGGGGGAGGAGGTTCTGGAGGACTGCCTGGCTGCTGTGGTTCAGGCATTTGGAAGTTCTTGTGTGCTGGAGATGTGGCTGGGGTTTGTCTCACAGTGGAGGCAAAGAATTGCAACTTTTTTCTGTTATTGTACGCCTTGAAGGTGAGGTTAATTAAGTCCTGTTGTGGGGTTTGAGGGCCAGATTCCAATTTTTGGAGTTTTATTTAATGTTGGGAGCAGATTGGGTAATAAAATGTATATTGAGAATAAGACGGCCTTTTGACCTTTTAGGGTCTAGGGCTGTAAAGTGTCTCAGGGTTGCTGCCAAATGAGCCATGAACTGGGCTGGGTTTTTATATTTGATGAAAAGGAGCCTAAACACTTCTGATTTGGGATAAAGAAAAAGGAGCATTAACCTTGACTATATCTTTGGCTCCGGCCACCTTTTTAAGAGTAAATTGCTGGGCAGGTGGAGGAGGGCTAGTCACGGAAGGAAACTGTAAGCCGGACCAGGTGTGAGGAGGGGAGGTGATAAAAAGATTATAGGGTAGAGGAGCAGAGGCTGAGGAAGAATTGGGACGTAGCTTGGCCTGGTGAGGAGCAGCCTGGGGAGGAAGGGAGATGTCAGATTGGTCTGTAGAAAAGGAAGATTAGAAAGACTCAGCGACACTTGGGGTTGGTACTGAGGGGACAGGCGGGAGGGAAAGAAGGAAGATTTGGGATGAGTTGCACTGGGCACAGAGACTAGGAAGGGACTGATGTGTAAAAGAATGCCTGGACGTCAGGCACCTGAGACCATTTGCCTGTTTTACAACAAGAATTATTTAGATCTTGTAGGATGGAAAAATTCAAAGTGCCATTTTCTGGCTATTTGGAACTACTGTCGAGTTTGTATTGGGGTCAAGTGGCATTGCAGAAGAACATAAGGCATTTAGGTTTTAGGTCAGGTGTGACTTGAAGAGGTTTTAAGTTTTTGAGAACACAGGCCAAGGGAGTAGAAGGAAGAATGGAGCATGGAAGGTTGCCCATAGTGAAGGAAGCAAGCCTAGAGAAAAGAGAGAGTAGAGAAATGGAAGGAAGGGGTTTGGGGGTTCTTACCTTCCAGAAAAGTGGGAAAAGGGGTTGGGGCACAGAGATAAGAGGTCAGGGCATGGAAATAAGGGATTGGGGTGCAGAGATATGAGGTTGAGGCACTGAAATAAGGGATTGGGGCACAGAGATAAGAGGTCGGAGTGCAGAAATAAGGGATTGGGGTGTAGAGATAAGAGGTTGGGGCATGGAAATAAGGGATTGGGGTGTAGAGATAAGAGGTTGGGGCATGGAAATAAGGGATTGGGGTGCAGAGATAAGAGGCTGGGGCGTGGAAATAAGGGATTGGGTGTTCTTGCCCCATAGAAAAGCGGGACTTGCCGCTAAGGGTGAAGGAGAAGGGGTTGAAGGGTACTTGCCCCTCTCCCAGAAAAGCAGAGAAGGGGTAGAGACAAGGCGAGAAGGAGTTGAGGTACTTGCCCCTTCCCCAGAAAAGCGGGAATTGCCGCTAAGGGTGAATGACCAAGGCAGGTGTTCCTGCATGGTCAGACACCCTTGAAACGTGGGTGTATAATCAGAGAGGCATCCCTGCAATGATTAAACACCAAGGGAAGGCTGCCTTCCCAGTCCGTGACCAGTGCCGGAGTTTTGGGTCCATGGAAAAAACGTGTCTCCTTTGTCTCTTCCAGAAAATGAAAGGAATTGAAATTAAGAGAAGGGAGAGATTGAAGAGTGGAAAGGAGAAAGTGGTTGAGGGACAGTGAGAGAGGTTGCAGAAGAGAGTAAGAAGAGGCCGCTTACCTGATTTAAAATTGGTGAGATGTTCCTTGGGCTGGTCGGTCTGATGACCTGAGGTCATAGGTGGATCTTCTCACGGAGCAAAAAACAGGAGTACAGGGGATTGATCTCCCAAGGGAGGTCCCCCGATCCAAGTCACGGCACCAAATTTCATGTGCGTCCGTGTGAAGAGACCACCAAACAGGCTTTGTGTGAGCAACATGGCTGTTTATTTCACCTGAGTGCAGGTGGGCTGAATCCAAAAAGGGAGTCAGTGAAGGGAGAAAAGTGTGGGGCTGTTTTATAGGATTTGGGTAGGTAAAGGAAAAATACAGTCAAAAGGGGTTTGTTCTCTGGCGGGCAGGAGTAGGGGTTGCAAGGTGCTCAGTGGGGGTGCTTTTTGAGACAGGATGAGCCAGGAAAAGGACTTTCACAAGGTAATGTCGTCACTTAAGGCAAGGACCGGCCATTTACACTTCTTTTGTGGTGGAATGTCATCTGTTAAGGTGGGGCAGGGCATATTCACTTCTTTTGTGATTCTTCAGTTACTTCAGGCCATCTGGGCGTATACATGCAAGTCACAGGGGATGCGATGGCTTGGCTTGGGCTGAGACGCCTGACAGCTTCTCCTTTAAGTTCCAAATTGAAAGCATTTCTTTGCTCCTGTATCTGATTGCAAGCTTGTAGAAGCAGCTACATATCTTGAATACTTTGCTCCTTGGAAATTACTTAGACCAGATGCTCTAGCTAATCACTCTAAAGTTCAACTTTCCACAAATCCCTAGGACGTGAACACAATGCAGCCAAGCTCTTGACTGGGGTGTAACAATGGGGACCCTTGCTCTAATTCCCAGTAACTTCCACTTTTCCATCTAACAACTTGATAGTGTGGACTCCACTGTCCATATCTCTGTGAGCATTTTGGTCACGTACATTTAACAAGTTTCTAAAGAGTTCCAAACTTTCCCTCATCTTCCTATCTTTTGCTGGGCCCTACAAACTCTTTCAACCTCTGCCAGTACCCAGTGACAAAGCCACTTCCATATTTTCAGCTGTCTTTACAGCAATGCCCCCTGCACAGTATCAATTTTCTGTGTCAGTTTGTTTTTACTCCTATAAAGGAATACCTAATGCTGGGTAATTCATAAGGAAAAGAAGTTTATTTTGGCTCCCTATTCTGTAGGCTGTATGAGTAGCATGGTGACATCATCTGCTCCTTTTGAGGCCTCAGAAGGCTTCCTTTTGTGTAGGAAGGGGAAGGGGGAGCAGGAGTATCACAAGCCAGGAGAAGGAGCCAGAGTTGGGGAGGTGCCACACTGTGTGAAACAACCAGATCTCCCATGACTCAAAGAAGGAGCTCACAGATTATCTCCAGGACAGCACCAAGCCATTCATGAGGGATCCACCCCAATGACCCCAACACCTCCTGCCAGGTCCCACCTCCAAGACTGGGAATTACATTTCAACATAGTATTTGGAGAGTACAAACATCCAACCTGTATCAGACCCCAATTTCCAGTGCACATATCAGAGAGTGGGCTACTGAAAGGAAGCATTGATCTTGAGTGTTGGAGAAGAGAAGAATGCCTTCACTCTTAGGCTATGTTATGATGTGTGCACACTTGGGCTAAGACTTCCCCAGGCCAGAAAAAAGTAAAAACTCCATAAGGGAGTGAACGGCATTTTCAGGAGGACAGACAAGTCTTGAAAACTTTGTATCCCCACAGCAAAGTGGAGAGAACTCAGAACCTCAGAAAGCCATCAGCAAGTAGTGGTGCTAGTTAGCTCTAGATTAAACTGCTCTGCAACTGCTTCAAGAAATTTTCAAGCCATTCTTGAAAAAACCAAATGAATGTATAGAACCCCCAAAATGAACCAGATGATGTCTAGCATTCTTTGGGGAAAACAACCAAAACTGTTACTCAACAATTCAAGCTGTCCAGGCCTGGCGGTTCATGACTGTAATCTCAGCACTTTCGGAAGCCAAGACAGGTGAATCACTTGAGGGCATGAGCTCGAGACCAGCCAGGCCAACCTATGCCTACTAAAAATAGAAAAATTATCTGGGCGTGGTGGCACAGGCCTGTAGTCCCAGGTACTCAGGAGGCTGAGGCAAGAGAATTGCTTAAACCAGGGAGGCAGAGGTTGCAGTGATCTGAGATTGCACCACTGCATTCCAGCCTGGGCAACAGAGCAAGACCCTGTTTCCAAATTAAAAAAAAAAAAGGCTTTATAATATACTGAATCCAATAAAAAATTTCCAAGCATGAAAAGAAGTAGGAAAATATAGCCCATAACTAGGAGAAAAGTCATTCAGTAAAAACAGACCCAATAATGACAAAGGTACTAGGATCAGAAAAGGGAATGTAAAGGAGCTATTATAAAAGTTATAAATATGTCAAAGGCTGAAGAGAAAACCTTTTTGATGAGGAGGAACACATAAAAAGAACCAAATGGGCCTTCCAGCAGTAAAACAAAATGATGAGAACAAAAAAATTTCTGAATTGGATTAATGACACATGACAGTATAGAAGAAAGGATCAGTAAGCCTGAGTCTACATTAACACAAACAAATGAGAAAATGAAGCAAAGGGAGAAAAAAACTCTGGATGAAAAATAAACAGTGCACTTCACAGAAATATCAAGCAATCTAGCACCTATGTGTGTTTGAAGGCAGAAAGAAATTCCAGGAGAAAGCATAAAGTTAGTGAAATAATAGCCTATTTTTATAAATTTGGTGAGACTGGAAACATACAAATTTGGTATTGAAAGACATCCAAGAAGAATAATTATTTAAAAAAAAAAGAACAAGAATATCATAATTATACAAGTTCATTTTCACACTGCTATAAAGAACTACCTGAGACTGGATAATTATAAATAAAAGAGGTTTCTTTGACTCCCAGTTATGCTGGATTAACAGAAAGCATGGCTAGGAGGCCTCAGGAATCTCACAATCGTGATGGAAGGTGAAGCAGAAGCAAGCAAGTCTTCCACAGTGTCAGACGAAAGAGAGAGGGAGAGAGAGAGAGGAAGAGAGACAGAGCACAAGAGTAAGCACAGAAGGAAACTGCCATTTATAAAACCATCACATCTCTTGAGAATTCACTCACTATCATGAGAACAGCAAGGCAGAATTCACCTCCCCATGATCCAATCACCTCCCACCAGGTCCTGCCCCCCAACACTGGGGATTATGGGATTATAATTCCAGATGAGATTTGAGTAGGGACACAGAGCCAAACCATATCAATAATCAAATTGTTTTGAATCAAAAATAATGAGAAAATCTTAAAAGCATGCTGAGAGAAGACACTGCTTACAGAAGTAGAAAAAATAAAGTGACATATTTAAGTACCAAAAGAAGAAAAATAAGTCAACATAGGACCCTGACAAGCAAAAATACATTTCTAGATTAATGCTAAACACATATTCCAGTAATAAGTAAAGGCATTTTCTTTTCCTTTTTTTTTTTTTTTTTTGAGACGGAGTCTCGCTGTCACGCAGACTGGAGTGCGATGGTGCGATCTCGGCTCACTGCAAGCTCCGCCTCCCGGGTTCACGCCATTCTCCTGCCTCAGCCTCCCCAGTAGCTGGGACTACAGGCGCCCGCCACCATGCCCGGTTAATTTTTTTGTATTTGTAGTAGAGATAGGATTTCACCGTATTAGCCAGGATGGTCTGGATCTCCTGACCTCGAGATCCGCCCACCTCGGCCTCCCAAAGTGCTGGGATTACAGGCGTGACCCACCGCGTAAAGGCATTTTCTAATGACAATAACAAAAACTAAGAGAATTCCTCACTAGCAAACTTGTAGTATAAAACAAGACCCAAATACACGCTGTCTATAAAAACCCAATGTCTTTATCAAATATAAGGACAAAGATAGGTTGATAGTAAAGGGACAGAAAGAGTTATAGTATGGAAACATTAATCTAATGAAAACAGAATTAGCTGTATCGGCTAACTGACTATAAATCAAAGTAGATTTTACAGCAAGGTGTATTATTACTGATAAAGAGCCTATGTTTTCCAGTGATAAAGTTGTTAAATCACCAAGAACACATATCATTATTATTAAATTAGTATGCACCTAATAAGAGAATCTCAAAATTTTTAAAAAGAAATTGATAGAACTAAGAGAAGAAATTGAAAAATTAAGAATTACCATTGAATATTTCAACACTTTTTTCTTTGAAATAGTTTTTTTAGCAGCAAAGTATAAATAAAGATAGAGAGAACTTGAACAACAGTATCATCCATTATGACCTATATAAGCTTTACAGGACACTCCTCCCAATAACAGTAAAATGCATTGAAATATTACCTAAGAGAGCTCATATTGGACTAAGAAACAAAAAAATCAAAACAATTTAAAATCATATGTAGCGTAATGTCTATCCACAGTGGAATGTATGAAGCTGTGACTAAAGGAAAATAGCTGGAAAATTCCTCACATATTTGGACATTACTCAACATATTTCTAATGAGTCAAAGGAGAAATTTAAAAATATTTTCACATGACAGCAAATGGAAACATAACATACCAAAATTTGTGGCAATACAACAAAAGCAGTGCTTGGAGGGAAATTGATAACATTAACTGCTATTATGATGCGAAGTCGAAAGCTCAGAAATAGACAATCTAATATTCCATTGTAAAAAACCTGGGGAAAAAAGAACTAATTAAGCTGAAAGTAAATAGGAAAACGAGTGAATAAAAAAGAATGTGGACACAAAAGAGAATATTAAAAATAAATAAACGAAAGCTACTTGCTTGAGAGAATGCATAAAATTGTGAGAACTCTCGATAGGTTCCTTAAGGGGAAAAAGGAAATTACTAGAAGTCTCAGGTGCACACCCAGGCTTCAGGCAGGCAGGAAACAGATTAGGTCTGCGTTTCAGGGTCATGTAGTCAGGCCGCCACGAGGTGGCAGTAACTGCGCGCTCATTCCCTCACCTCCTGCAAGGCCGGGCCAGGCTGTGGACTCACCGCTCAGCTCAGGAGATGGGAGAGGGTGACAGTAGCCGCGTGGACTCTGGCCTTACGCAGAGCGTTACTGTAGCTTTGGGGTTGTAGGAGGATGAAGAGGGGGAGGTTATCAGGACACCATGGTGATTGTGTGGTGCTGGTTAGGAACATGGGCTTTGAAGAGAGAGGGATTTTATTTCAAATTCCATCTCTGCCACTTAGTAGTCAGATGACATTGAACATGTCCTCTAACCTTTCTAGGCCCCAGGACCTGCCTCTGTAAACTTGGGTAATAACCCCCTGGCATGTTTGCTTCTGAGGATTAAATGAGATAACTTGTATAAAAATGGCCACGGCAAGGCCGGCTGCAAAATTCCCAAGGCTCAGTGCAAAGTGGAAATGCAGGGCGCCTTGTTCAAAGAGCAGCAGAAGAAAGTGTCGTGAAAGGCAGGAGGGTATTCAGCTTTCTCAAGCCAGTATGTTTCATCATTTGAAAAGTGTAATAGGGATAATACTTCTAGAAGAGTAAGAACAGAATCATATAAATCCCCACCAGAAACCAGTGTCACAGTTTTAATAGAATAAATAATAATACTTTATTAATTGGATCTAGATGAATCAAACAATTTTTCTGGCCAACTTTTCTGCAATTAATTTATTAGGTCATCAAACTTTATACCTTGAGCAACTTCATTTTTTCTTCTGAAAAGAATCTGCTGAAGCAACTGTTTCTGGAATATTATCTAAACTCTGACAATATTGGGATAAACTATTTTGACACAAATTTTAGTATATCTGTAGCTGGTGGTTCTTGTGGAGCTATTTTTTTCAAAGCATATAACTGTTTAAGCAAATCAGTTTTATGGAAGTTTGAATTTAATTTTAAGTGTAAATTTCTCCAATGGAATTTTGATGCATCTTCTGACATGTTCTGTAAGTTGCAGAGGCCCACAGCAGACCAAATGTGGCGTCATGATTTGTAACTTACTCAAAACTCCTGTTTTTGAATTCTATTGTTGTATCTTTAACAAGAAGAACTGAATTTTTAAAATTGCTCTACTTGTTAATAATTGATTGATCAGAAGTGTTATTTTCTTTTCTTTTCTTTTCTTTTTGAGGTAGGGTCTCCATCTGTTGACATGATCATGGCTCACTGCAGCCTCAGACTCCTGAACTCGTATGATCTTCCTACCTCAGCCTCCCAAGTAGCTAAGACTACGGGCATGTGCCACTGTGCTCAGCTAATCTTTTTTTTTTTTTTTTAATGTTGGGGTCTAACTATACTGCCCACTATACTGCCTATGGTGGTCTCCAACAACTGGCTTCAAACAGTCCTCTAACCAGAGCTTCACAATGTGCTGGGATAACAGGTGTGACCCACCATGCCTGTCCCATCAGAAGTTTTGTGACTATCATTATATATTTAATTTATATTTCTGAGCCTTGGATAACTCCTTGAAGAACTCTAAACTCTCTGAGGAATTCCAAGAACTCCCTGGCATACTCTTTCACAATGTCCATGGGCACACTTTTGTTTTGTGCTTCTCTCCTCCCAATTTGCTATCTGAGCCCTATGATTCCTGTCCTGGTGCTCAGGTCAGGGGGTAGATATTCGTGCAGAAGCTCCAAGGATGACTCTGAGAATGCACAGGCACAGAGGTGTCAGTGCTGCGTCCACACAGAGACCCTCCTTTCACCCCAGGGCTGAGGACACCTGCTGCTGCGGCTGCCACCTCCCATCCTGGTCCGTTGCCATCTTCCTTCCCAGTCGAGATGTGCCTGGGCCGCTCCAAAGCACCCGTGCTCAGGGCAGCAAGCTCCAACATGTGGCCTTCATGTCCCTGGGCCTGAGCCTGCCCACCTTGTCCCCCCTCATAGCCACTCTGCTCATGTGCCTGCTCCATTGTCTCAGTGGGCTTCACTTACAAAATGAAGTTCAAAGAAAAAAAACTAAGGTCAAGAGGGTGTCGGCAGAGCCTGCTACCAGGCACTGGCCCTTCTGAGGGCAGGTCCCTGTGTCACTGCCCAGCCCTCAAGCCCGTGAAGCTGGTCCTGGCTCCAGAATTGAGAGCCAGTAAAACTGCTTCTGTTATTTATCATTGAGGACACAGTGCAGAGAAACTTTGCTTTCTAAAATTATAGATATGAGAGACTTTGCTTTCTGGGAGCCTATCTAAAGGAATGCCCACTCTTGCCTGGGGAACTGAGCCACTTTGCCACAGAAAACAGCCTGTGGTTTGGGAAAAAACCCATATCTGTGCTGGTGGATAGTCTTCCTTGCTGAAGCAAGATAATAACCCTACCTTTAAGACAAAAGTGCTCCTCCCTTGATCTTTATCAAACACACTGTATCACCAGGATGAACACTGCTCTGAAGGAGTCACATCGGGCTGTGCCAGGAAAAAAGAATAGCTGCAACCATAGGAATCTTCATGGGAACAGTCAGCCCAGCTGTCCTTGAGCAACCAGGCCCATGGTCCCTAAGCCTTGGTGGCTTCTTCCCCAGGGACACAGGTGCTGCATTTCACAGTGACTTTCCTATTTCAGAGCAATTTCACCTCCTTCTCTAACAAGGCCTCACAAATGTACTGAGAGCTAGAGAGGACAACAAGTGTAAAACCACAGTGCTGTCAGTGGTTCCTGGGATTGCAACGGGATTATAGGAGAAATTCACACTCTTCTATGGGTGAGTTTTTAAATGCAAGTGTATTACTTTTATAATAATCATGTTAAGTACAGCAGTCATTAAGGACGTATCAATCAGGAGTGATGCCACACATGAAAAAGATGGGAACCACTCTCTTAACTCAAACTCTTATTTACATATAAGAGTTACGTAATAACTCCAGTAAGGCCCCTTGCCACATACCATGGCATTTCCTTAAGAATGTTTACTCAACAAGGAAAGAGGCGTGACAACCTAATTCGATGTGTGAATCTGGATTGAACATGTACCCAGAAAACTCAACAGCCACGAAGCTATTCTTGGAACAATTTCAATGTCTATGCACTGACTTCTGTTTTGCAATAATTTACTGACACTTTGCTTCCTGAGCACCTACAGCTGCTGTCCCAGTGTTCAGGCCAGGGAAATTTTCTTGTTAATGTGCATAAATGGTAGTGTGATTGATGCGGGAATTTTTTTCTTATTTATAAGAGATACATGCTGAGATAATTAGGGTGAAGTGTCATGACATTTTCCTGCTACTTTCAAAAGGTGACAGCGACATAGAAAGTATATTTTTTAAATTATTTATTAATTTAGACAGAGCACATATGTGCTTTTTTTTTTTTTTCATTCAGTTTTTCTATTTGGCTTCCTTGGCCAGGAATAGTTTTAGTGTCAGGAAATGAATGAGTCTGCCCCTCAATTCCAGCCTGCTCAGCACAGAGGAAAACAAAGTTCTGACAAAGGGAGTGACTCCCTGCTGAGTCAGCTGTAGCCCTGGATTCAGATTCCTTTAGCAGTTGTGAGGGCACCCAACCCAGCCCTCTCTTTGCCTACCCCATCGGAAACTTCCTTTCATGATAAGAAAGACATTAAAGATCTTGTTCATAGAATCCATTGCAGCTTTCTTTAAAAACACCCCTGGCCTGCCTCAAACTGTGAATTCTTAAAGTGTGACATTTAAAATGTAGACCATGGCTCAAGGCTCATTGTCCCCATGGCTGTCACCGCTACACCTTGGTGTCATCGCTACACCTGACACTGGGGCCTGCTTGTCTCTCAAGCTTCCCTTGGATCCAAAGAGGGAGGAACCAGGATGAATGCCACTTATTTTCCCTTGAAAAGCCCCACCCCTGAGCATCTGACACCAGGGGCTCTGTCCATTGCCTGTGGCCACCGATTGCTACTCTGGGTTATGGAGGAAGGACAGGGTCCTGAGGGTCCCCAGAGACCTTGCACAGCTCTGAAAACACAGGGCTTCTGCAGAAGTGGGTCCCATCACCAATAGGGAGACTGTCAGACCTCTGAGCCCAAGCTAAGCCATCATATCCCCTGTGACCTGCACGTATACATCCAGATGGCCTGAAGTAACTGAAGAATCACAAAAGAAGTGAAAATGGACTGTTCATGCCTTAACTGATGACATTACCTTGTGAAATTCCTTGGCCTGGCTCATCCTGGCTCAAAAGCTCCCTCACTGAGCAACTTGTGACCTCCACCCCTGCCAGCCAGAGAACAACCCCCTTTGACTGTAATTTTCCATTACCTACTCAAATCCTGTAAAACGGCCCCACCCCTATCTCCCTACGCTGACTCAGCCCACCTGCACCCAGGTGATTAAAAAGCTTTATTGCTCACATAAAGCCTGTTTGGTGGTCTCTTCACACGGATGCACGTGAAAGACACCACGTGGAGGCCTTGCACCCCCACTCCGTGCTTCTCTACCAAATCCCAACGGTATTGAGCTCACTTAGCACTGACGTCTGTGGAAAGCAGGGAAAGCCCTGGCTCCCAAAGCCCTGAAGTCCTGTGGAGCTGACATTCCCTGAGTGTCGGTGTGAATGGAGGGAACTCAAGTGTGGGTGGTAGGCCACCTCCTGGCCTGGGCCTGGGTGGACTCTGAGGGGACACATGTAGTCACAATCCCACCCTCCCATTCTCCTTCTCAGAGGAAGGAAGTGGGCACCCATCTGCCTCATCTCTGTCCCATGGTGATGACGGAGAATTTCAGGGCACCTTTCACATGAATTTCACCAGCTCAGATCTGTGAGGACGGGGCCCACCATGCTCCTGGAGCTGCCAGAAGCCGTGAGCCCCTCCCAGGTCCCTGGGTTTGAGCCAGCCCTGTATCATCCCCAGGAGCTGAATGTCCCAGCAATGGATAGAACTAGATGGAACCGGCTCCCAGTTTGGCCTGAGACTGTCCCTAGACATTCAGGAAAAACAGGACATCCCACAGAGCAGGCAGGTGATCTCCAGTTCACAGACCCTGAGTCTGTTCCCCTGTAAGAAAGACCTTGCCCCTCACTCCATTCACATCCCAGGTCCCAAATGATACAAGACAGAAAGAAGCCCTGGTCATATGAGCAGAACGAGGGGATGTTCTGGGGTTTCTTGTGTCCAAATTTGCATAAGAGCTCCTGGGTATACTTTTCTCTCAGAGGGCCATTTGTCTGATGCCCCCAGTAAGGTGGTCAGTTTCAATCACTGTAATTACTGATGTGGTAGGCAATACCTGTTCCAAATTCTGCCCAGTGACCAGGGGCCAAGACCTGTTTAGATGGAAGGCTCGGTGTCCTCCCCAGCCTCAGCTCATGGTGAAGCTCCCAGCCATCACCCATAAGGGTCCTTATCTTCTCTTCTTATTCCGCTTCATATTCCTGATGCCTCTTCCACATGAGATGAGTCAGGGAAATAGGAGGCTTGGAAAAGTGGAAAAATGGGGTAGAGGCTCTCTCTTGCCTCTCTCTCACCTCTTTCTCTCTCATCCAAGTACTAGTTAGGCCCACTCCTGCTTAGCTTACAAGATCAGAGGAGATCAAACATGTTCAAGGTGCTATGGCCGTAGACACTCTCTCTCTTTTTCTCTGTCTCTCATGTCTATATCTCTCCTTTGTCTCCTTTCTCTGCCTCTTGTATTTCTCTCAGTGTCAGGGCACTCCCTCTCTCCCTGTCTCCCCTACAGCTTGACTCCCTTTGTCCCTTTCTCTCTTTCTTCTACTATCACTTCTAGACTGAGTAGATTGCATGCCTTGCTTTGTTGAACCAAACTCCATTTCCTTCAATATGAAAGGAGTTTAAGAGCTTCATGGCCGCCTCACTCCCTCTTCTAAGCCAGAGGGGCCCAGTAGCCTGTAAATCTCATCTCCTCCCTGATCTTCACTCTATGACTGCTAAGACTATGGTTGAAAACTGTCAGGTGACTTTTATTTTTCAATAAAAGTGAGAAATTTTGATTTTATCCAAAGAAGTAAGTACAGAATGTCATTTTCTAAATTTTTATATTTAAAGTGTAGATTTGAGTGACCTAGAGAATTTCAGGTAGTGATAAGGCGCAGCCTGTACTTTGGGAAGTTGTGTTTGGGACACTGGCCCTTCGTCTTTTCAGATGGAAGGCCCTGGAGAACACTTGCCCTCTGTGGCTGCTCTAGGTTCACAGAACAAAAATGCCTATTGAAAGCCACTTTTAAAATGGAATGCCTAATTTTATTTTCTCCTTGATGTTATAAGAATAAAATAAAAGGGTGAAGGAAGAAAAGGAGAGTGGAAGGGAGGAAGGGAGAGAGAAAGATAATTTGAGACTAAGACCTGAGATGTCTAATCTGATAGAAATTACATAGAAAAAGCCTCATTTTATCCATATTGTTTATGGATTTTGGGTTACAGAGGAGCAGCAGGGCTCCTGGAGGCACAGACATTGGGCGATATTCCACCACTTAGGAGAGTATGAAGGAAGAGACAAAAGGGAGGAAAGGAGGAAAGGAAGGAGGGAGGACAAATGGAAGGGTGAGATTGAGAAGAGAATTTAGAGATTAGAAACAATTCATTACAAAGGTTTACTTCTACTGTTAATTATTGTTTTTAATTGTAATCTACTTTCTTTTATTTGTCTTTTTTCATTCCCAGCTCCCCTCCCCCTGCCCCTCCTTGCCCCTCCTTCTTTTTTTTTTTTTTTCTTTTTTTTTCTGAGACAGAGGCTTGCTCTGTCACCCAGGCTGGAGTGCAATGGCATGATCTCGGCTCACTGCAACCTCCGCCTCTTGGGTTCAAGTGATTCTCCTGCCTCAGCCTCCTGCGTAGCTGGGATTACAGGTACCCACCACCATGCCCAGTTAATTTTTGTATTTTTAGTAGAGACAGGGTTTCACCAGGTTGGCCAGGCTGGTCTCAAACTCCTGACCTCAGGTGATCCACCCACCTAGGCCTCCCAAAGTACTGGGATTAGAGGCGTGAGCCCCTGGGCCCGGCCCTAAGTTACTTTCATATTAAATTCACATTAAACAATTTCTGCCATTTGAGCCACATCTTTTTCTTGCATCTCATTTTAAAAACTTAACGGACTTCATGATTTGGAAAGCAGAGGTTACTGGCCTGTGTGTGTAAATGGAGGTAGGGTAGCTTTGAGGTTATTTTTGTGTGGTGGAGCTGAATTCTCAAGAAATCCTTGTTGAGCTGCTACCTGAGCCCATCTGGAGGCCCCAGTCACTTAGCAGAGATCGGTCTTTCACATTCTGGTTCCAGGAACTAAACATTCCCAAACCACGTCAGGGCCAGCCTCCTTTTAAGAAACTTAGGTTCACGTCATCATTCACTCATGTCTCATGATCATGATGAAAATCCCAGGCTTGGAAAAGAAACTCACCAGAGATTTATTCAAGTCAACACCGACACAGGCTTTGTGCTTTTCTGACATGGGGTTTTGAATTCTAACACCCTATCACTCCTATTGTCCTTTGATTTGCTTATTGTTTATTGCTTCTCGGTTTTTTTTCTTTTTTTTCTTTTCCTTTCTTTAGGTTTTTCTAAAGATATAAGAAATCCTGCTAGCTGACACAGGAATAAAGGTGTGTGTGTGTTCTGAATGTTTGCTCTACAAGCTTGAAACAGATTGGCACCTATGGCCATGACAGAATAAAATGCTGCAAAAAGTAACGAGGAGTCCAAGAAGCTTCTGTGACTAATGTGGATTCAGAAAGGGCTCACTCAGCAGAGACGTGCCGCATTTAAACCAAATTAAGCTACGGTGTTCGAAGACATGGAATCTTTATCCTAGTAATTGCAATTGTGATTGTGTAATGTTGGTTTCGGACAAGCGAATCTCTGACATCCTTGGAATGTCCTTCCCAGCTCTCCAGACCAGGGGTCAGGGATGGCACAGGAGGAGTTTTTTGGGTTGCTCCTCCAGCAACCCAAAACCAACAGGAGCAACGGGATGTTAGAATTCAAAACCCCATGTCAGAAAGACACAAAGTCTGTGTCAGTATCATCTTGAATAAATCCACGGTGAGTTTCTTTTCCAAACCTGAGCTTTTCCATCATGATCATGAGATGTGAGTGAATAATTATGAGTCATAAGTTTCTGACAAGGAGACTGGCACTGCTGTGATTTGGGGGAGGCTTAGTGACATCTGTTCCCTTTAGGTCCCTTGACCTTCCCCAATTATTCCCATTGTTTTCCTATAACTGTGCTTTGCTCCTCCTACTTCCTCTCTTTGCGTGCCCTCACCTACCCCACATCTTCCTGGAAGACTGTGCCTCATTAATGTCCCAACTCAAAGGCCTCTTTCCTCCTGGAATCAGGGTGATCCACTAAGGAGGGAACGCCCTATCCTCCTGTTCTTCACAAGCACTCCCTCCTTCTGGTTTAGCCTACTTATGCAATTGTGCTTCCTGCTCATGTGGTTAATTTTTTACTTCTCCAATAGTCTATGAGCTCTCTACAGGTATGGACTTTCTCTTATTCATGTATGTAGTGGTCATTGAGGAAGAGTTGTTACTTCATAAATTATTATACATTTAATGGCAAAGTTGAGTTGCACAAAGCATTTCCTCACATCTAGACATAATTTTGATTCATGTAAAAGCTCTTAAAAACAGGTCCTTTTTGAAGGTACAGTTAAATGAGGGCAATATAGCGCAGAACACAATGAGAGGAGAGCAAACCTCAAGAAGAAAGACAGTATAGACTCTGAGGGGAAGCATCAAGATGCCTGCCTAGCCCTGCCCTCTCTCGTTGGGCAGTTTAACTCGTTTGATAGTTAAATCGTGAACTCTGCAGGTATACCCTACATGTCTATGAAGCTCTCTGTTTCTTGATATTAACTTTTCTCTTAATGTGCCTACCATCAACCTCTAGCTAAATGCATTTTTGTCTAAAATAATCCATTGGATTTCCTAGAGTATCAAGATTGGAAAAAAAAAATCAGACCTAGAGATTTTTTGTAGATCCTTTAACCAGGCCAAGAGGTGAGGGAGGCACTGGATGCAGGTGCAGAATTTGGGGATCAAAAAATTCTGCACTCAAGATAAGTGATCTTATAATGTATGTGTTTTTTTTTTTTTTTTTTTGTAAAAAAAAAAATTGATTCAAAAGTAACACATGATCTACAAAATATTCAAGTTTTAAATAAGGACAGAATCTAATCCTGCTATTGTCCAACTCAAACTTACCCACCTCACCTTGGTCCCAGGCCTGTCCGATAGTCTTATTTATTTAATCATTTAATTTTTATAATATGTGACATTTTTAGTTTGAATGAATTTGTTGCTCTCCTGGTGCCTGGAAGTTTAGGTAGAGTTTACATTATATATCCCATGATATTTGCAATGTCCATATACTAAAAAGTTATTCACAGACATTTTTCTCCTTAAAGACAATTTTTGTGGCCAAAGTATTTATTTGCTACACCGAGTTTTATTTTACTAGGTGTAGTAGGCATAATAATGGCCTCCCAAAGATGTCCATGTCCCAATTCCTAGAACCTATGATTATGCTTCTTTACATAGCAGATAAGAATTAATGTCAGCAGACAGAATTAAAGTTGCTAATCAGCTGACTTTCAAATAGGGAGATTATCTTAGATTAGGTGAACGAGACCAATGTAATCAAAAGGATCATTAAATTTGGAAAGAGACAGAACAGTCAGTGTCTTCATGATGTGATGTTAGAATGACTTGACAGGCATTGCTGGCTTTGAGATGAAGAAGCCACAGGCCAAGGAAGTTGGGCAGCTTCTAAAGCTTGAAAATGCAAAACAAAACAAAAAAGCAAACAAAGATTCTCACTTAGAGACTCTAGGAAGGAACACAGTCTTGCTGACACCTTGATTTTGGATATTTTATTCCCCCAAACTGTAAGATAATTAATTAGCATTGTTTAAAGTCACTAAGGTTAATGACAATTTACTACTTCAGCAGTAATTAACAAATATAGTTGCTGCTTGGTATCCGGGGGGGATTGGTTTCAGGTCCTCTGTGGATATAAAATTCCTCAGATGCTGAAGTCCTTGATGTAAAATGGCATGGGTATTGTCATATAACCTTTGCATTTCCTCCTATGTACTTTACATCATCTCTAGATTACCTGTAAATCCTAAATCGATGTAAATGCTAAGTAAATGGGTGTTAACTTATATTGTTTAGGGAATAATGACCAAAAAAAGCCTGTATATGTTCAGACCAGACACATTTCTTTTTTCCTGAGTATTTTCAGATCAACACAGAGGGTCGACTATATCCTAGTTTCAAATCATGAATTGAGCATAAAATTAGTAACACAAATGACCTAAGCCTACATTTGTTTAATGGAGAAAAAATGATGAAAAACTCGCAACAAGTTACTGAACTTTCTATGTTTTTTTCCTAGAAATGAGCAAGGCTCATATGATAACTCTTCCTCCCTCAGAAGGCACTCTGAGCTCAGTATTACATGAATAGCCCATTTATTTCAGATCTGTAGCTTGGAATTTATTGTGAACAGATTCAGTCTTAGGTGAGGGTGGAAGACATATGTATCCATTCCATGATTTCATATCTCCAGGATATTCCTACACCAAAAGCACTTCCTCCATAGAATTTGCAAAGAGTAAATATGTACTGTCAGAGATTTATTCTTCTGGTTCAAGGTCTAATTCTTTATTAATCAATCACACACCTCCAAAGTGCTATTCTTAAAAAAAAAAAAACCAAAAAAAAAAAAAAAACCCCAAAAAACAGCAAATTGCTGCCTTGCAAAACATCAGGCTGCCTTTAATGCCTTCAACCCTCATCTGAGTTCCAGAAGTGAAAGATCATAATCCATAAAAACCTGAGGTCAAAAATGTACGTTCTTAGAATCTGCATTTGTGTAGAAAGTGTCAGACTCTTAAGAAGGTAGCAATCTTGGCTTGTCACTTGGCTGGTCAGCCACCAGCTATGAATGTCGGTTACCTGCTCTTCACTTTGCCATTTTTGTCCTTGTTGCCTGCTCCAGATAAGAGGGAGCTGAGAAACAAGAGGGTTGACATAAATTGAGGTTAGATTGTAGTTTATTACTAATTCTTTCTCTAGACCAGATAGACTATTTGAACAGTTTGTGAAAACTAAGCACCTTCCCTTTAACATTGAAGGTACATATAGCTTTAGAGGAGGTTTCAGAGTTTTATGTTTTCATGGCCCAACCTAACAGACTGAAATTACCTGTGATGATCCCATCGCTTTTTCTTGGCAAGACTGGGGTGCCTATATTTAAGGGATAAGTGCCATTTTAAATGGAAGTAAAATGATTAATTTTATTTCAAGGATAGAAATTCTGGCTATCTCTTTACGAGTATATCCTTTTATAATTAAATGGAAGAGTTTTGGGGCACCTAGAGAAGCTCATAATATATGCCTGGGGCACTTTATACGGTGAACCCTTGCCATAAGTGCCCCATGTGGTCTCTTCACTGTTCTCCATCACAACTTTGGCTTTCAGATGACTTTAGCTTCGCTATTCCTTTATTTTGTCCCGGCATGTATTGAAAGAGAAGTTAAAAAAAAAAAAAAGACAGGGCACTGAAAGAGAGAGAGAGAGAGAAAGAATGGTAAGAAAAGACAGAAGGGATGGAAAAAGGAAGAAGGAAAGGGAGGGGGAAAGGAGAGGGAGGAAAGCAGGGAGGGAGGAATAAAGAAAAGGGAGGGAAGGAAGGAGAGAGGAAAGGAGGGAACAAAGGTGGGAAGGGTAAAGAGGGAAGAAGAGAGAAAGGGTCGTAGATCGCATTTCCTTGCTTACTCATAGACAGGACTCGTATTAGCCCATTTCACACCGCTATAAAGAACTGAGTAATTTATTAAAAAAAAAAAAAGATAGGTTTAATTGACTCACAGTTCCGCAGGGTTGGGGAGGCCTGAGGAAACTTACAATCATGGCAGAAGGCAAAGAGGAAGTAGGCACATCTTACATGGCAGCAGGAGAGAGAGAGAAGAGGGAAGCACCATTTTTAAACCATCAGATTTCATGAGAACTCACTCACTATTACAAGAACAGCATGGGAGAAACTGCCTCCTCGATCTAATCACCTCCCACCAGATCCCTCCCTTGACATGTGGGGATTACAATTAGAGATGAGATTTGGGTGGAGACACAGAGCCAAATCGCATCAGGACTCCAGCAATTCTTTCTCTCACCTAATCTATCTCTTATTCCCCTCTACTGCATCTATACCAACTAAAAGAAAAACACTTATTGGACACACAAGAGCTCTCATCTTTTGCATTTGCCCAGCTTTTCAGGGAAACCCTATGAAAGGGGTGCTACAGAGTCCCCACATCCTACCACCCTTCTTTCCCTCACTGCCACTCAAACCTGACTTCTGTCAATAGGGTCACAATGCCTTCTGCATGACCTCACTAAGCTCTGCCTCTGCCCATTGATATGACCCCTAATTATGTGGTCACTGGAGCTGCTTTCAGGTGTCCTTGTCCCAAGGGACATACAGCACACAGCCTGTGGAGGGTGGAGGAACCAACTGCAAGGTGGGTTTCCAGTAGGGCCAACTGGTTTTAAATAAGGGGTGGGAGGCAATAAAGAGGCTTGCTTTCAGGGTGTAAGTGTAGGAGACAGGAATGTAGACAACAGATTTCAGCCTCCACTTTACTTTCTAGTGGTATTATTATTATTATTATTATCAGTAGTATTATCACCATCATTATTTGCTGTGGTATGAGTGTTTGTGTCTCTCCCCCAAAATTCATGCTGAAATCTAATCCCCAATGCAATAGTATTAAGAAGCGGAACATTTGGGAAGTGATTAAGGAGCACTGACCTTTACCCACTTGGCCCACCATGACCCACCTGATGCAGACTTTCCCCCTTTGTTAGGGAAGTGCAATTCAGACAACCTTTTATGCACGACCCTGTTCATTCTCTGAACCTCAAGCTCTATTGCTGTCAAACACACAGAACTAGTTTATCTCACTAGAGATGTGTTCCTTTATTCAAAAAATATTATCTTTCTTTTTTAGCAAGAAAGACTGTAAAATAAGCAAAAGTTTTGATTGTGGATAGTTCAAATCCCAGCTCAATCACTAGTTGTATAACCTGCATTGACTTGCTCAGAGAAAATATCTATCTCATATAAAAGTTATGTCAACTAAGATACCACTTTCAAGACTCATGGTACGTGATAGGTGTTCAAGAATGTTCATTCTTACTGGAGTGACAGAGGAGTTTCTATATTATTTTATTAAATTATGTAAACTTAAGTTATGCTAACATTTAATAAGTGAAATTCAGTGTGTTCCTACAATTTTAGGCCTTATCTACGACCATCTTTCTCCCACACCCAAAATGGCCAAAGTTTCCCTACCAGCCTCTAATTCCATGGGCCCTAAAAGGCAAAGTTGTCCTTATTAAGTTTTAAATTTTAGGGATTTTTTTGAGACATTCCAGGCTTTATGGAGGAAAGTAGTATCTTGTGTGATTTCAGGTATCCAGAAGTTGACTTAAAAGTTCCTCTTACAGGTTAGGTTCATTTGCATTTCTCTAATGACCAGTGATGATGAGCTTTTTTTCATGTTTGTTGGCTGCATAAATGTCTTTTTTTGAGAAATGTCTGTTCACATCCTTTGCCCACTTTTTGATGGGGTTGAAACTCTTGTGGTGATCCTAGTTAAAACACAACTCTGTGTGGATAGGTATTGGGTAGCAATTGACTCCTCCTAAGATTTTTTTTTTTCCTGAGACAAACAGTAGGAGGTTGACACTATAGCCATCACCAAATAAACAGGAGACACTGGAGCTTTGAAAGGTTGAATTATTTGCACAAGATCACTCAGTTGATGAATGGCAGAGCAAAAGTTTTGAAACCAGGGTTATCTGACTTTAGAGCTCTTTTATTCTTAGGTACAAAAAAAAAATTGTCTCTATTTTTGCAAAGACCACAGCTTACATCAGAGCTTGGCTGATTTCTCTGATGTCTACATCTCATCAACAATCTACCTTTTGGCTTCTCAACACATACTGATTATTAATGTAGGGTGACCACTGTTAGAGAGGTCGAAAGGTATGCATCCCTGAGTTTCCTCCCTGCCTTCCTTCCTTCTTTTCTTCCTTCCTTCCTGCCTTAGTCCATTTGGGATGCTATTAAAAAGTAATATAAACAGGGTGGCTTATAAAGAGCAGAAGTTTACTTCTCACAGTTCTCGAGGTTGGAAGTCCAAGATCAAGACACCGGCATAGGTGTCTGGAGAGAGCTCGCTTCCTTCTCTGTGTTGTTATGTGGTGAAAGGTACAAACGAGCTCCTTCAGGCCTCTTTTATAAGGGCAGCAATCCCATCACAAGGGCTTCAGCTCCACGACTTAATCACCTCCTCAAAGCCCGCACCTTGTAATATCATCACCACTTTGGGGGTTGGCATTTCAACAGATGAATGGGGAGACACAAATATTCAAACATTCAGGCCACAGCACTTCCTTACCTCCTTCCTCCCTCTGTCAATTTATTCATTCATGTATTGATTCTTTCATTCAAGTTTCATTTGTTTAAACAAATACGTGAGTACCTCGTCTCTGCTAGGTACTTCTCAGGGGCTGAGGAAGTAAGGTAATCAGACAGTGCCTGTTACTTTAGAAGCTCACAGTGTAGAGAAGAAGAGAGATG
Source organism: Homo sapiens (assembly GCF_000001405.40). Classification (NCBI taxonomy): domain Eukaryota; kingdom Metazoa; phylum Chordata; class Mammalia; order Primates; family Hominidae; genus Homo; species Homo sapiens. Next base: position 7,383,371 of record NC_000008.11, on the reverse strand, counting down.
TAGAAACAATATAAAGCAACACAGATGTGGAGGGGAAAGAGAGAAGGAGGAATTTCAGTGTTTTACCGTGTATACTTTCTGCTGTTTAATTCCTTTACCATAAAAATGCATTGCACTACATGATTAAGAAACTCTTTGGCCCCTAATGTGTCACCTAGTTGTAATCTATGCAGAAGTTTGACATGGTAAGAGCCTGCCTAGAATTATCGCTTTTAACCAGGTAGCAAAAAAAAAAAAAAAAAAAAATCAAACATTGAACTCAACCAAGGAAAAAATGTAATTTCCATTTACAGAATTTCTTCTCCTTTTTTAGCTTCTAAAATGGGTGGTTTTCCAAAAAACCAAGTGCTCTCATTTATAAGTGGGAGCTAGGGTATGAGTTCAAAAAGGCATACAGAGTGATATGATGGATTTTAGAGACTCAGAAGGCCGCAGGGCTAGGAATACAAAACTACCTATTAGGTACAATGTACTCTACTCAGGTGACAGGTGTACTAAAATCTCAGAATTCACCACTATGTAATTCATCCATGTAACAAAAAACTATCTGTACCCCAAAAACTACTGAAATTTGAAAAGAAGAGAGAGAATTTAACCTCTCCTTAATGATTCATGTAGCACTTTCAGATCTTGAAATAAGGTAATGTCAGTGGTATTAAATGTTGGTTAATTTAATCCATAGATGTGTGGAAAGAGGCAGTTGACAGAAAGTAATCTTGCATGAATTCAAAATGCAATTTTAATCAAAACGCAATTTTAAAATAGCTGCCCTTACATGGTCTGGCATTAAAAATAAACTTTTTTATAGAATGGAAGAAATAAAAAATGTTTAAAGGGTGGTTTTCTTTATATTTCCAAAAGGAAAGTTGATAGATGCAGAGACATGAAATGAATGAGGATAAATGAATAAATGGATGAATCCTCAATATCACTATTTTATAATAATTTATTCTGGGGAAAAAAGGCACCAAACCTCAGAGCCATAAGCAGAAATGAAAATCCACCAGAAAATGCAAAATTATTGTGAAGACTTTCTATTTGAATAGGAGGAGACTTGGATCTGTAATCATGAGTCCATAGATGGAACATTCTCAGGTTACAGCCATGCCATAATTTGAACATTTGAATCAGGAATGCAAGCTTTTTCTCTCTAGATGAATTGTTGTCGTTGTTGTTGTTCTTCTTCTTTTTAAATTTTGCAGTGATTTACTTTGAGTGGAGTCATTTGCTCTTGAGAAGAAGCATCACCACTAAAGGATGCTTTATTTTATTTCTGAAAGGCATTTGCAGGTAGCTCAGCAGATCTGTTTTGCCACTTTTGTATCACGCCCTTGTGTGCTTAGCCACATACATGTAGAAATTGGCTAAAATGAAACAAAAGTGCAATAAACTGCTGCTTCTGGATTTAAGTATTAGTTACCCAAAATTATTTCAAAAAAGATCCATTTACTCTATGTATGTTCATTTTTTTAAAATTTCAACTTATTTTAGATACAGTAGGTACATGCGCAGATTTGTTACATGGGAATATGGTATTATGTGGTGGTTTGGAGTATGGATCTCATTACCCTGGTACTGAACATAGTACCAGATAGGTAGTTTTTTAACCCAACTCCTCCCTCCACCCTCTAGTAGTTCACAGTGTCTATAATTACCATATTTATGTCCATGTCTGCTCAATGCTTAGCTCTTATTTATAAGTGAGAATGTGCAATATTTGGTTTTCTATTCCTGTGTTAGTTTCCCAGCTGAATTCAAACTCATTCCCAGATCACTTGTCCTCCTCAATTGATGTACACTGAAGAAAGAGCCACCTTCAGGCTGTAAGGTCATCGTATAATCCTGACCACTCATTTCCCATCATGACACTGCTGTTCCTTCTCTTTCTCCTTCTTGGATGTCTGATACAAACAGCCTCAGGTAAGCTACAAGTCCACCTGGAGGATGATGAAGTGGATGCCCTTGGAGCTGACGTAGGCCAAATTGATTGATCAGCCAAGGAAGCACTGAAATATGGAATAACTGAACAGCTGCATAGCTGAGAAAAACACAGCATGTACAACAAATTTCATTTTACAAATCAGGAGAGAGAAGCTTAAAGAAATTTAAAATTTTTTCCCAAGATTACATTCATCTAGTTGTTGCAATAGATACCAGACATAACTAACAATTGTGATAGATAACATTAATAGTAGGCATCACAGCTTACAAACCATTTCCATGTGAATCAAAGCAATGGCAACGACAACACTAATACTAATAACAAATAATGCTGACCACTTTCTGTTTACCAGACATCACGGCAAAGATGTGTTGTGTTTTTTTTTTTTTTTTTTTTTTTTTTTGGTGGTGGTTTGAGACAGAGTCTAGCTCTGTAGGCCAGGCTGCAGTGCAGTGGCACAATTTCAACTCACTGCAACTCTGCCTCCTGGGCTCAAGCAATTCTCCTGCCTCAGCCTCCAGAGTAGCTGGGATTACAGGCATGCGCCTCCATGCCCAGCTAATTTTGTCTTTAGTAGAGATGGAGTTTCTCCATGTTGGTCAGGCTGGTCTTGAACTCCCGACCTCGGGTGATCTGCCCCCCTCAGCCTTCCAAAGTGCTAGGATTACAGGCGTGAGTCAGGTGGCTTTCTCAAGTGCCAGCAGTGACAGTGGTGAGCTCGGTAGATAGGCATGCCCTCAAGACCCTGGGAGGCATGTGTAGCATCAGCAATTGCAGTAGTCATAGCAGGTCAACTCTCGTGACCCCAGATGGCATGTGCAGACACCAACAGTCATGGCAACATGATGGACAGAGTAGTCCTCAGGCTTTCACCTGGTGCAAATATGTGGGCACTGGTGACAGCTGTGATGGCAGGCTGGGAAGTCCTATCCTTAAGCTCTCAGGAGACACACAGGTACTTGATGGTGATAGGCATGGTGGATTAATTCCCAGGCTCCCAGACAATGTGCACAGGCACCACCAGGCTGGGTGGGCTCATACTCAGTTCACAAGAAGGCATGCACAGGTGCCAATGACAGACAGCAGTGTGGGTTGATCCCCAGCCTCCTGGACAACGACCTTGGGTAGTGGTAGTGACAGCAATGGGTGGGATGGGCCTGTGCTCTGGCCCTGGAATAGTGCTCAGGCAGGTGAGTCCCCAGGTCCCCTGAGGATGCCTGCAGGTGTGCAGTGGCCCTGCTCCTGGGGGCCAGGATTGCTGTCAGTGTCAGTGGTCCTGGGAAGGTGACTCTCCACTTGAGAAGAGTGCCTGCTTCAGCTCCCTTTGTTCTGGGGGCAGCCTCCCTAGTGAATGGCACTGCCAGTTCCCTGGAGTGTAGGACACTGTGTAGGCTAGAGTGATGGGGACCAAGCTACACTGGTGAGTTCAGCTGGTATTGTGACTCTGCAGGACTCTGGATGGACATGAGGGAATGTCACTGAGGGTCCAGAGATGTGGAGATGCAGGGGCTGTTGGGCCCCAGGGCAGGATGTAGTCTTTTGGGGGCTGGGCTCTCAAATTGGCATTGTGCCACAGCTGCCTGTGTCTGGGGGCAGGTGCAGACGATCCAGTGCCAACTCCTTCTCTGGGACAATGACCATCACCTAGACTCCAGGCAGCTCCCTATAGCAGTCTCAGGGCCTGCGAGGGCTGAGAGACTGTCCCTTGGCTAGGATTGCAGTGTCCACAGTGGGAATATGGACCACTGGGGCTCTCTTTTTTACCTTTTCACCACACTGGAGAGCCTGTCCTGGCTTTAAGCTGATTCTGGCTGGGCAGCTGCTTCATTTTCCTTCCTTCCATACCTCAGAGATTCCTCATCACTTTGCTGCTGAATTCTAGTGCCCTCTTTCATGCCCTCTTCAAGGTATGATTATCTACTTGCTGTCTTGGTCTTTCTTTGGGAGGACACAGTGCCTGGTACCTCTAGTCAGCCATCTTGAAGACCGCCTCCTAGCAATGAGAGGATAATATTCTATGTGACGGCTTTAATATACGTGTCCAAACTGCTTCTTTTCTAAGAAATAAATGTTATATAGTGCAAAAATATATTAAAGGGACAGTTGGTGATGCAGTTTCAAGAGTGCACTGAGGAAAACTTGGCACTTCCATAGGGTTGAGTTGGTTGGAATATATCTCAATCTCCGAGATTTTGAACCCAATGTTTTGAACTTTTTGAGATTTCGAGTAGTCCATGTGACATAACTTAACATTGTTTCTTGGCCAAATCAGGCATAGTGAAAAATAAAATCCAGCTAACATACTTTTAAATATCTTGATTCTATACTCTTTCAATGACCAAGGGGAGGCCCCCCACTACTTTACACAAAAAAGAAAACTCTATGAATGAGAATCTCTTCACACAAAGCCACTAAAGTTGTGTCTAAATGGAGGAAAATTGTGACAGGTGGTAAAAGCACTCAGTGGCTGTTGTAGGCAGAATAATGTCCCCTCTGTCTCCCGCCAAAGCTATCCACATCCTAACTCCTGGGTCCTGTGAATGTGCCACCGTGTAAGCAAAGGGGAATTGAGGTTTCCTGTGAAATTAAGGCTGTTAATCACCTGACCTTAAAATAGGGAGATTATCTTAGATTATCCAGGTGGGCCCAATGTAATCATGAGTCCTAAAAAATGGAAGAGTGGGGAGAAGATGAATTCAGAATGATGGAATGTGAGGACTCAACGCTCCGTTGCTGGCTTTGAAAATGTATGAAGGAAGCTATGGTGCCCAGGAGTAACCTGCCATTGCTGGGATAAAGGTGCAGGAAGAAAACTGCAGAGCTTCCAGAAGAAAGCTCAGCCCTGCTGACACCTTGATGTTGGCCCACTGAGATCCATCTGAAACCTGCAGCCTATAGAACTGTCAGATAATGCATTTGTGTTGCTTTAAGCCACTAAGTTTGTTGTAATTTGTTATAGGAGCCGTAGGAAGCCAATACAGTATTTTAAAAGATGGAAGAAAATGCTGAATGATTATGCCCAGTGAAAGCTGGGAAGCAAAGGAATTCCCTGAATCTTGGCCAGGCATACATGTACAGACCCAGGGAATTGCCTCCGAAAAGGGTGCTGAAAAAATTGCCTTTAATCTGAGTGCAACTCTTTTTATAATTTAGATTTCTGGTGAAGTCTGGTTGACGTGATTGTGCAATTTTCCCATGTGCTGCACCTTTATCAGGGAGAGACAGACCCCCGCAAGGCTGCATGGAATAGGATGGCGCATTTTCCTAGTAAAAAAGGGGAGTGGTCTTCCCACATGCAGGGTGAAGGGTTACAGTGCTAGACAAAAGCAATGGGTATGATTGAAAGTTCCCCCACCCTGCTGTATGTCATTTTCAACTAAGAGCTCATCTAGATGGGATAGAAGGATACTGGAAACCAAACAGTAATCAAGTCATAACATGTAATATAAACTTTTTTTTTTTTTTTTTTTTTTTTTGAGACAGTGTCTTACTCTGTCACCCAGGCTGGAGTGCAGTGTTGGGATCTCGGCTCACTGCAGCCTCCACCTCATGGGTTCAAACGATTCTCCTGCTTCAGCCTCCTGCGTAGCTGGGATTACAGGTGCCCGCCACCATGCCTGGCTAAATTTTTGTATTTTTAAAAGAGACAGGGTTTCACCATGTTGGCCAGAATGGTCTTGATCTCCTGACCTCATGATCCACCCACCTTGGCCTCCCAAAGTGCTAGGATTACAGGCATGAGTCACCGCACCCAGCCAGTAATATAAACTTTTAAAAGAGGTTTTGTGCTGGTTGGTTTTGGTTTATTCTTTTTTGAGGATTCAATAAAAATCCCTGTGAGAAAAATGGAGAGAGGGAACGGGAGACAGGGAGACAGGGAGAGGGAGAGAGAAAAAAGAGAACCTAAAACCTCCAGAAAACAACAGGCTTCAGTCCTTTTTGGGTGTAGTGCTCTCAATTCTTGGTTGATGCCCCAGAGGCAGGCAGCAGGGTCGGCTATTTAAACATCTCCCTACATGGATTTCTGTTTCGAGGCAAAAGTCCCGACAGGAGCCATTTGGACGTTCACAGATCTCCTTGAATTTGCCCTTGGCTACATGCAGAAGGGGTTATTGTAACCATTCATCAGTCTTTCTTTACTTTGTATTGAATTACATGGACGTAGGGGGCAGTGCCTGAAAATAATCTTGTGTGGATTTGTGTGTGTGTCTGTGTGTGTGTGTGTGTGTGTGTGTGTGTTATTTGATTTCTTAAACACTTAAAAATCTGCTGCCACACAAAAATTTGGATTTTTTGGTGTTCTTGAAAAATCTGAGAATATTGGGTGCACCTACATGACAAAAGGCTGGAGGTGAGTAGCCTGCTTCCCTTTACAAGTTCTAGAGCATACAAGTTTCAGTTTATTTCTTCCTTATTGTCTTCTAACACTGATGGGAGATGTCAGCCTTTTAAGAAAATATAATGTCCTGTACTATGGATTTTCCTGGAGTGAAAGAGAAGAAAATCTCTTTTGGATCAGCTGTTTTTATTCCTACACACACACACACACTCTCTCTATATGATAGATTATAATAGATGTATCTTTCAAAAGTAGAACTGAAATATAGACCTAAAAGATAATATACTTCAATTGTTAGAGAGGATATTTTTCCTGTGGAAGGGAACAATATTCCTATGTGTTTAATACATAAATATATCTGTGCCATTACTTGTTACACCCTGAGACTTCACTCACTACTCATATCTCTGGCACTGGTCTTTGAGGTTGCAATTTTTCTCTAGAAACCATTGCATATATTAAGAGTGAAACATTCAAGGTCTTCTTAAAGGCTCAAAAACTATACTTGTTGAAAACATTGAATAGTATTTCATTTATGTCCTAAGATATCACCGCTCTGGGGATAGGCCACACACTCTGAGGTACTGAGTTTGAAAAGTGTTTTAATTCTGAGCAGTCTTTGTATGTAACACAGAGCACCTTTTCCATGATAACTTCTTGGCAGTAAGAGAGGTATAAAAACCAGCACTTTTTTTTTTCTATTCTGGAACACAAAAGCCAATTCTAGAATAGCTTTCAATCAGTACAGCGATTTTAATAAACATTCAATAAATGCCTATTTAATTGACCTGAAATCCAAATGTATTAGATTCCATTTAACTTTTCAATGGTCACAAAGCAGTTAGTGGATTGATGTGAAGACCAAATATATGCAACATCATATTTATATCTGTAATGCAAATTGGGAAATAAAGGTCATGCTTTTCTGAAGACAATGGTAATTGTAAATGTTGACCACTTGGTAGAAACAAGCTGAAATCTGAGTTTTTTGATCCCTGAGCTTTCCATCTCTTCCTTTTATCTGTAAGTAGTCAGCTACTACATATAGTAGTACCCAAGCCCACTGGCCTTGTGCTAAAATTGGCCCTTTGCAGCTGGAAGAGTCATAAGAGATTAGTATAGTGTAGAGGATGAACCACTGACCTGTCTTGTGATATGTGATAAATCACTCTTGAACATCCCTCTGTGGTAGTACTTCTTGCATTCTACTATGGGTGGTGTTTTCCCATCTGACCTCAATTCTTGATAATGAATTTCTTGAGGGCAGGAATAGTATCTTATTCTCCTCTGTATGTATATTCCAGAATCTGATTAAAGTCTTGGCTTATAATAGCTATTCAGTAAATGATTGTGGAATAATTGATTAAAATACAGCTATTTTCTAACTTGCAATATGTTTGTGCAGAAATTTGTTGTTACTCTCGGTTCAGAGGTCTTTGAATCATGTGTACTATTTTACTATACCTGATTCTATTGAGCATTATATTTTCAAACCACTTTTCGAGAAACTTAATACAGAACTAACATTTGACCCAGTAATCTCACTACTGGGTGTATATCCAAAGGAAAATAAATCAGTCTTGTAAAAAGACCTAAATCTGTATGTTCATCACAGTGGTATTCACAGTAGCAAAGGTATGGAATCAAACTAGGTGTTCATCAACAGTGGATTGAATAAAGAAAATGTAGTACATATATGTCACGGAATACTATGCATCCATAAAAAGAACAAAATTGTGTCCTTTTCAGCAACATGGGTGCAGCTGGAGGACTTTATTCTAAGCAAATTAGCTCAAGAACAGGAAGACAAATACCACATATTCTCAGTTATAAGGGGGAGCCGAGCAATGAGTGCACATGGACATAAAAATGGGAACAAGAGAGATTGGGTCTTACCAGGAGGGGAGGGAGAGGGAGTAAAGTCTGAAAAGCTACTCTTTGGGCACACCCTACCTGCGTGACAGAGTTATTCATACCCCAAACCTCAATATCACACAATATACCCATGTAACAAATCTGCACATGCACTCCCTGAATCTAAAATAAAGGTTGAAGTTATTTTTAAAAATTGAAATTACAAAAGACTTTTTAAAATTATGATGTACCATTGTTCATTTGTAAGAATTCAAGTAACATTAGGGATTTTAAAAATCTTTCGTTTTCATTTGTTCTTTCTTGTAAACCTTGTGTATTGCATATTGTGGACACTATGTCTTTTCCGGCCATTTGCTTTAGGAACAAAAGATAGAGTTACAATGAACATAGGCTGTCTTGTCTAGTCACCTACCTTAAAGTTGAGGAAATAAGCTGATGGAAAGGAAGAAACTTGCCCAAGATTACCCAGTGATCGAGTGAAGCAGATGATAGGGACAGCACTAAGGCTTGGTATTCTGAGCCTCATTCTGTTTTCCACTCTTGCCCTCTCTCTGTGTCCTCCTCTCCTCTCTAGCCTTCTACAAAAAGTTGGCAGTTCTGCTTCAATGTCTACCTAAGGACATCCAGAGGAGATGCCACCTTTCATTAGGGTGCATTCTTTAGCACCATCCTGTGTTTTCTTCTCCAGGCTTGTTGCATCCCATTTTTGACTGTGAGTCATGCTTCTGCCTGTGCTGTTCTATCCAATTAGTTGCTTCTATTTTGATTGAGTAACAGTGAAAACAAAACAAAACAAAATGTGTTTATCCAAATTTGGAATTTTTAAACCTTGATTAAAAGCATTGATTTTCTGGGGTTATATATGTAAGACACATATTTTAAAATATTTTTAACTGATTAAAAAAATCAAACCCATGTATTTAGCCAGGATGACTATTTAACAAGTACTAGTGAGATAGGAATTCAGTAATGCCACAAGGATAATAATCTTATGTCAGTCCCCGATGTTGTGTGCTACCGAGTTAATATAATTGGATATGGTATCACCTTTTTTCAGGCTTTAGAAAGTAATACAAAGGAACAGCACAACAGAACTCTAGGGTGGGATGTATAGGGAAAGCCAGGATATTAAAACAAAGTGTTGACTCTGACATTTACCCCACTGTTGGGAAAAACAGTTCAGTTTCCAGGGCCTTAATTTTTTTCTCTATAAAACAGCAAAAATAGAGGCAATAAGTTGCTTATTCGTCCTTGAATACACATGTTCAGGAGTTCCAGAAAATTTTTGAATCTACTTTGGGTATCTGGTAACCACCTTGGGCCAATCCAAGAAGTCCTATACACACTTCTCCAAAGCATGTCTGTGCAAGGGGCCTTATACCTGTGATTAATGTTCGCATGCTGAATGCAGTAGGCTATGCTCTGGTGTGGGATCATCCCTGGTTCCTGTGTTTAAATTCTACATTACAAGACTAGATGCTGAGAAGGAAGAGGGACAGCCAGGGATGGAGATGGAGCCTTAAGGGGAAAAGTCAAGCTCCAGGGACCAACAGTATCGGGGAGCAATAGGTTAAAGATTTCTTAGATTATAGTAATATTTTCAAAGAGACTTCTTCCACCAATCCCTTCTGTCTGAGCCTACCACAGCTTTGGCATAGCTCTTATGCCAGTTCTTAGGATAACTGACTTTTGCCGAAAGAGGAGCTTTGGAGACAAAAATTTAGTAGAATAATGCCTGATTTTTAATTTTTGAGGTCTAGTAACTGCTAGTAAACTTGCCTAATTTGGAGATGGAATAAGAGGGTTTCAAAGACTTGAAACACCATTGACTTCATTTAACTGGGTTGCTATGGAGAATTAACGAATTAGATGGCTGCAGGCCTCTCAGCCAATGAGTCTTCCAGGTTTCCTATGAGACCCCCTTTTCTGGTCATAGGTGATGGTGATTTCTCTTTGAGTACTGAATCCCTGTAAGGTGTTAGGCACTCTACTCTTACCAAGTTTATTTTGTTACCTGGTAGAACTTGGCTCATAAAGAAGAAAATGGTGAAGAAGAGGACAGCAATCCTCATGGCTGAAGAAAGAAAAAAGTTTGGCTTCATTTCCAGGAGGCAGAGAAAACTTCCGTCTGTGGCTCTCTAGCAGCAGTGGAATGTCTCTGTTTGGATAATAAGAGTCTTTCTGTACCTCCTTAGGGATATTCATAGATAGAGGTGTTCTATGCACGCAAAATTGCTTTTATGGGAAGACTGAGAATCCTTTTTTTTTATTGGACAGCCAGTTCATTAGAATGATGTGGGTGCACAGTTTTGGCCAGAAAACCTTGTTAAATGGGGACATAAGCTACATTTTGGCAAAAGATGAAAGTTTATGAACAAACAACCATTTATATTGTTACAATAAATTAGACTGTGTTGAGAAACCAGTTGGTTTCATTAATGACCAGACATTTTGTTAGTGAACACTTCCCAGACTTTACTAGCCCTGCTAAGAATTAATCACCCCACTTGCTCCTGGTCTGAAACTCCAAAGTGCTTTGTTTATGTTACAGTACTTACTGCCTTGTATGTTAGATTAGTGAATGTATATTTGCCTCATCCACTACTGTATGAACTTCTTGCTTGCTAGGACAAGGCTATATTCCTCAGAACTGAGGAGGGAGTTGAATCATGTGGCTATTTATTCTCAAATCCTCTTCACCAAGTGGAACAAAACAACAGCGAAAGACCACCGCACGTGGAGGCAGGAGGTTTGGATTTGGGTTCTAGATCTCTAGATCTATTACTAACTGGAGGTATGGATATAGTCAGGAAAATTGTCTTCCTTAGGTGCTTCCTTGATAGCACCTATAAAGGTCGAGATCTATTGGATCTAGATCAGGGGATTCTCAATCATTACTATGCAGAAAATCAACTGGGAGAGTTACTTTGCAATACAGATGCTTAGTTCCATCTCATGATATTTTTATTTTTTTTTAAATTGGTCAAGTATTTTTCATTAAATAATGTAAACTTTCTTAGTCTACATCTAACAAAACTCCCACCAGCATACAAATACATTGAATGATATTAGCAGCAGAATCTTTAAATAAAGTAACCATACACAACTATGAGGCCACCTTATTTTCATTGCTTATTATTTCATGCTATTTGTCACCATTGTCATCATAATCAGCCTCATCCTACATTGTTGAACACCCATCATGGACCATATGGCATAAACATTTTTCCTACTCATAAAGGAGCATATGTTCTCTATATGTATATAAAATTAATGTCTGAACAAAGTAGCTTAAACAAGGCAGAAGTTTGTTTCTCCCTCACTTAAATCTATAGTTCTACCTACCATGGCTAGTACAGATACCTGCCAAATTCATTAGGGATGCAGGCCCCTTCCAGCACTCTGTTCTGCTATAGTGTAAAAGAGGCTCTAGTTTGGCTGCTAAATCCCCACCTATCATTTTTGAATTCCAGGCAGCAGGTAGGAAAAAAGCCAAGAGAAAAAAACAAGGGAACATCTACCCCTCCTTTTAAGTTTTTTAACCAACCCCCTCTTGTTTTATTTTAACCGACTTTGTTGAGCTATGATTACATTTAAAAAGCTGTACATATTTAAGGTGTACATCTCAGTGAGCTTGGGGATAAGTATACACCATGAACACATCACTACCATCAAGATTATAACCATATCCTTCACCTCCCTAAGTCCCCTCCCCTTTATTATTATTATTTTTTTGGTAAGAAATATTGGTAAGAATACAAAATCTACCCTTTTAGCAAATTTTAAGTATGTAATACAGTATTCTTAGCTGTAAGCACTATGCTGTAAACGAGACCTCCAGAACTTACTTACGTGGTATATCTGAAACTTTGTGCTCTAACCACATCTACCCATTTCCCCAGCACCACGGCCCCTGGCAACCACCATTCTACTCTCTGCTTTTGTGAGTTTGTCGATTTTAGATTTCAAATACAAGTGAAATCATATAGTAATTGTCATTCTGTGGTTGGCCTATTTCATATAACCTAATGCCCTCCAAGTCCATCCATGTTGTCACAAATGACAGGGTTTCGTTATTATGTAACACTGAACAATATTCCATTGCATATATGTATTAGCCATTTATCCTGATACTCTCCCTCCACCTGCCTCCCAACAGGCCCCAGTGTGTGTTGTTCCCCTCCTAATATCCATGTGTTCTCACCGTTCTGCTCCCACTTGTAAGTTAGAACGTGCAGTGCTTGGTTTTCTGTTCGTGGGTTAGTTTGCTGAGAATAATGGCTTCCAGCTCCATTCATGTTCCTGCAAAGAACATGATCTCATTCCTTTTTATGGCTGCATAGTATTCCATGGTGTTTACATACCACATTTTCTTTATCCAGTCTGTCACTGATGGACATTCGGGTTGATTCCATGTCTTTGCTGTTGTGAATAGTGCTGCAATGAACATATGTGTGCATGTATCTTTATAATAGAATGATTTATATTCCTTTGGGTATATACCCAGTAATGGGATTGCTGGGTCAAGCGGTATTTCTGGTTGTAGGTCTTTGAGGAATCACCATACTGTCTTCCGCAATAGTTGAACTAATTTACATTCCCACCAACAGTGTAAAAGTGTTCTTATATCTCAGCAGCCTCATCAGCAGGTAGTTTTATTTAAAAAATTTTTGAGAAACCTTCATACTGTTATCTGAAATGGACATAGTAATTTGTATTTCCACCACAAGTATACAAGGGTTATCTTTTCTCCACAACCTCACTAATACTTGTTATACATCTTTTTGATAATAGCTATTCTATCAGGTGATATTTCATGGTGGTTTTTATTTACATCCCCCTGATGATTAGAGATGGTAAGAATTTTTTTCATATATTTGTTGGCCATTTGTATCTGTTCTTCTGGGAAATGTCTACTCAGATCTTTGCATATTTTTTTTTTTTTGAGATGGAGTCTCGGTGTGTCACACAGGCTGGAGTGCAGTGGCGTGATCTCGGCTTGCTGCAAGCTCCGCCTCCTAGGTTCACGTCATTCTCCTGCCTCAGCCTCCCAAGTAGCTGGGACTACAGGCACCCGGCACCATGCCCAGCTAATTTTTTGTATTTTTTTTTTTCCAGTGGAGACAGGGTTTCACGGTGTTAGCCAGATCTTTGCCCATTTTAAAAAAAAATTCAACTTTTATTTTAGATTCAGGAGATGTATGTGCAGGTTTTTACACTGGCACATTGTGTGATGCTGAGGAGTATGAATGATCTTGTAACCCAGATAGAAAACATAATACCCAATAGATAGTTTTTCAGGCCTTTGTCCCCACCTTCCCTTCCCCCTCTAGTAGTTCCCAGTATCTGTTGTTCTGATCTTTACGTCCATGTGTAACCAATGCTTTGTTCTCACTTATAACTAAGAACATATGGTATTTGGTTTTCTCTTCCTGCATTATTTTAGAATAATGGCCTCCAGCTGCATCCATGTTGGTGCAAAGGACATAAATTTTTTATGGTTGTGTAGTATTCCATGGTGTACATATACTGTATTTTCTCTATCCACTGTAACATTGATGGGCATCTAGGTTGATTCCATGTCTTTGCTATTGCAAATAATGCTATAATAAATATATGAGTGCACACATCTTTATGGTAGAACAATTTATTTTCTTTTGGATACAAGGGTCAGTCCCCATGGCTGCTGTCAAGGGCCAGTGTTGAGTGCCTGCAGCTTTTCCAGGCTCAGGGTGCAAGCTGACAGTGGATCTACCATTCTCGGGTCTGGAGGATGGTGGCTGTCTTCTCAGAGCTCCACTAGGCAGTGCCCCAGTGTGGACTCTGTGGGGGTTCCAACGCCACATTTTCCCTCTGCACTGCTGTAGTAGACATTTGCCATGAAGTCTCCACCCCAGCAGACTTCTATTGGACATACAGGCTTTCCCATACATCTTTAGAAATCCAGGCAAAGGCTTCTGATATGGTTTGGCTCTGTGTCCCCACCCAAATCTCACCTCAAATTTTACTCCCATAATTCCCACATGTTGTGGGGTGACCCAGTGGCGATAACTGAATCATGGGGGCAGTTTCTCCCATGCTGTTCTCGTGGTAGTGAATAAGTCTCACGAGTTGTGATGGTTTGATAAGGGGAAACCAGTTTTGCTTGGCTGTCATTCTCTCACTTGCCTGCTGTGATGTAAGACATGCCTTTTGCCTTCTGCCTCCCCCCAGCCATGTGGAACTGTAAGTCCAATTAAACCTCTTTCTTTTGTAAATTGCCCAGTCTCAGGTATACCTTTATCAGCAGTGTACTCCTGTACCTTGTGCACCTGCAGGTTTAATACCTCATGGAAATTGCCAAGGCTTGTGGCTTGCACCCTCTAAAGCGGTGGCCCAAACAATGTCTGGGGCCCTTTTAGCCATGGCTGGAGCTGGAGTGGCTGAGACCTAGATTGCTGTGAGCACTGTCCTGTGCTTGCACTGGGCCCAGCTCACAAAATGATTCTTCCCTCCTAGGCCTCCAGGCCTTTGAGGAGAGGGGCTGCCACCAGCCAAGGTCTCTAAAATGTCTTTGAGGCCCTTTCTTCATTTTCTTCTATTAGCATCTGCTTTCCTTTTAGTTACCCAAATTTCTGCAGCCTGCTTGAATTTCAGACAATACCAGTGGTCTTACAAGTACTACATGACCCCTATAATACTTCCTGACTTCATTTCTGCAATGTATTTTATTTTTTTACATCATCATGAACATTGAAACTTTTTATATCTATTCGCCTTCCATTTGTTTTCAAGTCCAGTTTACCTCCAAAGAATTTTAGAATATAGAGTCTCCAGAAGACTCTAGTTTGTCTGGTTTCTTGTTGTATCCCTTGACTGCGAATGCTTTCTAGTACATATAATACACTCAAAAGTACTTATGATTAAAAAAAGGAATTAATGTTCATATTTTTCCTTCAAAATAGCCTTAACTCTTTGGTTTCCAACTTTATGTGAGGGTTTTTAGTAGTAGTCTCAAAAATCCAATCAGATTGAACAGGGAGTGTCTCCAGAATGAAGTTTTTGATTAGATTCAGTGTCTGTGCAATCAGGGCATGTCTCTTGGAATGTAGTGGTGATTCGGTTTATTAATTTTTTTTTCATATATAAGGGGAAGCCAATCAGAGGATGCATTTTCCCAGAGAAGGAGCATCTGAAGACTTTAAGACCTTGGGGAAAGAGTCTTGCTGCTTGCTTGTGGGACTTGCCTTGGAAGGTAGATAAGTTCACTGCATCCTCCAACTTTTTATTTTTGGTGAGTTCTCCAAGCACTGAGATGTGAACTGGCCTCATTCCCTTACAATGATACTGTTACCAGTAGAAGAGATTCCAGTTACTGGCAGCATAGCTGCATGGGTCCATAAGCAACTTCAGTCCTTGCCTCCTAGAAGAAAGAATTCGACCGAAGGGCATACAGTGGAAAAAGAGACTGAGCGGTAAGTTTCAGAGCAGGAGTGGAAGTTTATTTAAAAAGGCTTTAGAACAGGAAGGAGAGGAAAATTCTCTTGGAAGAGACCCGAGCAGATGCCTGAAGGTCCAAGAAAGAAAAGAGAAGAGCCTTTAACCTTGATCCTGCGTTGGGTTTTCCTCTTTCCCGTGATTCGTCCTTTAGGGAGAGTTTCCGGCATGCACAGTGCTTTCCTTACCCTTTGAAATTGAGCATGCACGTTGTGTTTAGGGAGTTATATGCATGTCCATCTGAAGCTTTCTTTCCTTTTCCGGTGGAGCGTGCCCCCGGAAGATTATGCTTTGCCATTTTTGTCTCTTAACATGCACGCCCAAGAAGTTGCTTCTTCCTGGGGTCTGCATTTAACTCACATTTTTGATGTTAACAGGTGTAGACCATCAGGAAACGGCCTCTCTCTGGTGCTGCCTAATTATCATTTTTAGAGAGGAAATGTGATAATTGACAGGCCATCACCTGACATTTCTAGTGGGTAGGGGAAGAGCCCTCTCCTGCCCTGCTCATGCTCTTCTACCTGTAACAAGACAAGCCTTGTATATCATTAGACATTTGTCCCATCAAGGCAGCATCTCATTATTACATTTTATTGTGTGAATTGTTACTTCACATTCTCATATTCTGTGTTCACTATTTGTGTGCCTTTTCCATTTTTGTTTTGACCATATCTCATTATTTTAACTGCCTCCTCCAAGATTCTAGATCTGTATTGGCCAAAATAGTAACTACTAGTCACATGTGACTATAAACTGTAAATAAATTATAATTAAATAACTAAATGGCATATCCTTAGTAGTAATAGCCAAAGTCGTGGCCAATCTAGAAATTCTGTAACTACATATGTGTGGTAGTTACTGCATTGGACAATGCAGATATAGAGAATTTCTTTCATCACAGAAAATCGTGTTGGGCATGTTGGCTACCACTTATTTTTAAATTCTATTTGTGTGGTTTATAGTTAAATTATATTCTGCTTCTCTATATTCATCTCCTTTCTCAGATTTTCTCAAGCAATGTTTAAATTTCATTCATTTACCTTATTGAGGTAAGTACTTAGATTATTTTTTAAAAATAACGTACAGCAAATAATTTGTCCATGGATATTGTTTTAGCTTTATTGTATTGGTACTTTTACGTACTATACTCAGGTATTATTATTTTTCATCATGTACTTTAAAAATTGCGCCAAGTTTCTTTAAAATAGATTTCTCCCTTGATTTTCAGATGTTAGATTCTGTCTTCTATTGCTGTATTTTAATTTAATTTTATTTTATTGTATCTAAATATGTTGCATATTCCTTTTTTTAAAATGTGAGATTTTTCCTCTCTCCTGTTACACAAACTTTGTATGCAGTGTTCATTATGCACTTTAAAAATAAATGTTTTGTTTCAGGGCATGGTGCTTTCACACATAAAACCTTAGAATAATTTTAAATTCCATTCCACTTTCACCATTCCTGAACTGCTTTGAATATATTGGATGTTGGAAGCCATGAGAGGCTTGCAATCCTGTCAAGATAATAGGATTTTCCATTTATAGTGTAATCTGACTTGCAATCCCGTCAAGATAATAGGATTTTCCATTTATAGTGTAATCTGATATATATTCGTTTTGGTTTCATACTTTAAAAAAATCTATTCTCTTTTACTCTGTGGTGATCTTTGCTTTTCTATTTGTTCATTGCTAGAATGTCAGCTGCTGTTTCCCTAGCACCTGAGATGTCATTCAACATTGTATAGCACTGGTGTTGAGAAGTGAGAGAATCTACTAAATAATAGCACTTTTCGAGACTGCAGTTCTGAATTAAAGGAAGGGAAAGGACAGGCAAAACAATATAGACATCAGTTATTTTTACTGAAGATCTGTTGGAGAACATGGTTTTGTTGTCCAGGAACTTAAGACCTAATAATGCATTCCTAATACTTCACTAAGTTGTGTCTAAATAGCCGTGAAAGGGCTAGGAAGTCACAAGTCGGCCTCTTAATTTTTACGGGTGTCCTTAAAATATTAAGGTAATATTGAGGATGCAGAATGGTTCCTTCCTCTTGACTTTTTAAGAGATCTGGGCCGGGCACGGTGGCTCACGCCTGTAATCCCAATACTTTGAGAGGCGGAGGCTGGCGGATCACCTGAGGTCAGGAGTTTTAGACCAGCGCGACCAAAATGGAGAAACCACGTCTAGTACAAAATTAGCCGAGCACGATGGCGCAAGCCTGTCATCCCAGCTACTCAGGAGGCTGAGGCTGGAGAATTGCTTGAACCCGGGAGGTGGAGGTTGCGGTGAGCCGAGATCGCGCCACTGCACTCCAGCCTGGGCAACAAGAGTGATACTCCGCCAAAAAAAAAAAAAAAAAAAAAATAGAGAGAGACATCTGGAGGGAGATACTAAGCTGTGCAGGCTCTCATCTTGAAGTCACCAAATACATAAGTTGTTATTTCTGCTCTGGTGAAAAGTTTGTCAATACATTTTTTTCCACGAATTAATGAAAATTTTAGACCCATAACATAAGTTTTTAAGTTTCTCCTAAAGATTGCTTGTGTATGTATGTGTTTTTAAATATATTTAATCTCTACATCTTGAAATAGTTTTTATAGATTCCACACAAGAGTCCTTTATGAAATAAGTATGCTTTAACTTTCTTATAATATTTGTCCTTTCTTTGTCCCTGGCACAGTCTGTATATGACCAGTTAAATGACTTTTCATTCATGTTTGGGTTATAATTACACACAAATATTCTCTAAAGCCCAAATCTTATTTTGATATTCGAGGAAGAGTTTACTTGGTAATAATATTAAGGGTTACAGCTGGTTTCACTGAAGCTTTGTAGGCATTCTCTAATATCTTATTTTTTTGAAGGAATAGCTGTTCTGCTTGAATTATAGACTACATAATACATGTACTGTCAGGTACATTCATGGAAGGGACAGGCAGATGGAGTCATATGTTACTGGAATCTTGATGAACAGATGTAGAAAATAGTCCAAGGAATAAGAAAAAAGTTGATATTGAAAAGTGCTTGTTGAAGTCTGTAAATGTGCATTAAATGTGGCAGTAAAAATAGACACAATGATGTTTGGGACCTGGGGTCTAAATACTGGAGTCCCCAGAATCATAGAGAACGTTGGTTAGGGGAGTAATTTTGTCAAAAAGCAAGAAGAGGCAGCGACACGCAGAATATAATTAAAAGTATTGCTGGGTCATTTTCTAATTTTGTAATTTTGTCATATTTTTCAAACTCTGTTGATCATTTATTAAATTGGTAAATAAACTGTAATCAGCAGGGTTATTATGAGGGTTAAATAAGGAAATATATGTACATCTGTAAGCACAATGTCACAATTAATACAAAGTTACTCTTTTTATTTTTCCTGGACTTCATGTACAAATGGGTCAGTAAATTTTTTGTTTATGACACATAATTATCATTTGTACATAAAATATATTTAATTATTTTTATATTTTTAGCAGGGAAATAATACATGCATGTTTCCCCCTGTCTCAAACACATACATTCATATAAACATATGCACCTATATATCTACATATCTATGTACGAATGTATACATGGACATCGGTATTTCTCAGCAAATATGTATCATGATAATCAGAGATATTGCAACTAACAAAGACTAATATAAACCATGATTGCAAGAATTTTAGATACCACGTTAGTAAAATATCAGATTGAGCTGCTAAATTTCTCCCTCTCCTAAGTCATTTTGTATTTTCTGAGCATCCTAGAGGATTGTGACTGTATACACAGGAGAGAAACACCATGACTCGGGGTACTCCTGCTAATTTCTGATGCAGGAGATTTTAAGGGCTATATTAGCAGGATGGGAGTGTTGACCCTCTAAGTGAAATAAATCCCTCAATTGATTATCCCCATCCTAAAACAGATTTTTTTTTTTGAGACAGAGTCTCGCTCTGTCACCCTCGCTGGAGTGCAGTGGTGGGATCTCGGCTCACTGTAATCTCTGCCTCCTGGGTTCAAGAGATTCTCCTGTTTCAGCCTCCTGAGTAGCTGGGATTACAGGCAAGCACCACCATACCCAGTTAATTTTTGTATTTTTACTACAGACGGGGTTTCACCATGTTGGCCAGGCTAGTCTCGAACACTTGACCTCAGGTGATCCACGTGCCTTGGCCTCCCAAAGTGCTGGGATTACAGGCGTGAGCCACCACACTCCACCCTAAAACAGATTCTTACTTGATTATTTCCAAGTTCCAAGGGGAAATACAAAAGTCAGAGTTGAGTGAAAATAAAAGTGGAGTAAGGCTTCAGAAGGCTGTGGTGGGTGTTGGAGAAACGTTGCTAGGGCATAAAGCTAGGATAATAAAATCTGAGAAATCCCAGTGTTTATCTATAGGTGGAAATCATATTCCACATGTGGATGGAGTCAGGGATCCCTGTGTTTTAAAATCAGTGAGGGAATTGAATATCTGGACTTGTGCCAATTAACATACAAAACTCCGTGCTTTTGATGTTCTCATTCACAAGATATCTGTGTTCCTTCTTTATTAGCAACCATAGTCATAGGCTTCTTAATTTTGACCACGGGAAAAGAGGAGAGGCCTCTGCATGTTTGTGTCTGTTGGTTAGGCTGTGGTGCAGCTGGTGTCACACTTCAGTGAAAGTCTGGCTTTTCATCACAGATTGATCTGAAAATTGTGCACAAGACTGGTGTCTCACATGTTCTTTCTCCAACCTCAGCTTTTCTTAGTGCCTAAAGTGTCTGCAAGTGGAAATCCAGAGGAAGACAGAGAGAAACTGAGTTCCTGACAATGCATTCACTAGTGAGTAGGGGATGCCTCTTTCTACTGAAATTATACCCATATTGCTGGCAAATGGGCAGTTTTCTCCAATTTGCATGGGTGTTTCATTTTTATTCTTTTTTTGTTTGTTTGTTTTTATGATGTAAAATCCACCCTGCCTGGGTGTTCCAAATGCAATCAGGAGGCTTTCAGGTATCTGGCCCCCCATTAAGTTTTCTCAGGACTCTAGGTTGGGTATCGTGTGTCAAAGACTCCGAAATTATCAATATAATTTCTAATATTACACTACTTTATTCCAGCCCCTATTAAGGCTATTTACAAAAAAAGATATGAGAGGTTTCATTTATATATTTCTTTTTCTTCTATCCATCCTATAATCTCATAGGGAAATAATTGACCCATTAACTATACTGTTGCCTGAAATAGACTTAGGATTGTGATTAATGCAGGCGATAGAGATGAGTGAAGAGCAGAACATCACAGCCCAACAATGAGTCTGATGTTCTAGCAGCTGAGTTCAATAAATCCAGTGTGATAGGACTTGGACAAGAGCTGTGCAGTGTTGAGGGAAAAGAAGAGTTTGATAAAATGTATTTGAGCTTTTAAAAACTTTGTGAAAGGACAACTAAAGAAGTCATTATTATTCTTATCCCCATTCACTTTACCTTTTGGTAATTAACCTTTTTGCCTTCTGGTAAGTAAAAGTAACATATAAGAAATATAATTATTTAATTATGGTTGCACACTCAGAAGAAGGAATATAGTAGATAGAGTACAATTTAGGGTTCTGTGGAAATGCTTTATAAGGGCTGGTTAGAAAAAAAACAATGAAGAGGCTTTTTAAATCTTTGAACAAGTGTAGTGAGAAGGTAAATTTAAAAGAGAAACGATGATAACTGATGTTTGGATTGCCGAGAGAAAGTTGAGAACAGAAAGCTTCATATCACAGGAATCATCGGACTAAGATTTCCTCAGTATAGCAGCCTCAGCGGTCTTGTCTTGTGCTGCTAGACTGTCTTTAAGCCTTGTCATGAATACCTGAATTATATAACATTAGAGAGACTATATATATGAATTGAATCCTATATTCTGCATAAAGCTTGTTCAGTTCTGAAGAATGCTGGAGTCTGGGTCATTACTTTCTAACTTTTTAATGAATAAGGGACCAATGACTTATATTTAATAAATATTTGCTAGATAGGAAACACGTTTTCTATTAGTTCATTAGATTATTCAAAACACATCATAGGTCTTTTAACCATTTGATTGGTGAGAAACCTGTGGTTCATCTGGAGAAATAATTTATTTCATCAGAGTCATGCTTAAGAAGTAGTAAATCATGGTTATTTGCCTTGTGACAAATCTGTAATTTACTTGAAATTCATGGTAAATTTCATTTTATTTATGAATGTTCAAGTGAAAATTTTATAATCAGTTATGTAGAGGTGATTAACACATTACTGAAAAATATCTGGGTTATATTATGCCACACCTCATGTGATATTTCTTTATAGTAAACTTTAATGGATTCAGAGTGGGTATATCTCTGTGAGTGAATCTGAAAGGCAGATACCAGCTTAGTACTGAGAATGAACTGGCTGGAACCCAAAACACTGAGTATTCTGCATACCCAGCTGCTAGCTATGTCATCTCAGCCTTCCTCTTCCGGACATTGAAAGGAATTTCTCTGTCTAAACTAAAATGTCTGTGATGTTTTAGAAGAAACTGACTTTTGAAGATGTAGCTATTGACTTCACCCAGGAAGAGTGGGCCATGATGGACACATCCAAGAGAAAGCTGTACAGAGATGTGATGCTGGAAAATATCAGTCACCTGGTGTCCCTCGGTGAGTCCCTGAACATTCATGTACATATGTAGAGACACATTCACTCATTCATTCAATAAGTGTTAAAACAGCTTCCCCATATCTCACTCTAATCTCTTCTCTGATTCTCTCACAGATCTCATCTGAAAAAGGTTTGAACTCTCTAAATCTATCTGAAATAAATATCTTTCTTTTTATTTTATTTTATTTAGTTTGTCACTCAATTAGAATGTAGTCTTGACAAGGATTTCATGGTTTCTTTGGTACTCAGTCTCTAATACTCATAACAGACCTGGGAACTTAATGAATGTTTTCAGTGTATTAAATTAAATATTTTCTAAATAACTCTTCTGCTTTAGTCTATGCTTAGGCTGAGACCAATTAGGGAAAACAATAGCAATATCTTTTCCATATAGAACACCAATTATTTTTGTAAATCGAATGTTTTTTTTTGTTGTGCGTGAGAATAATAGTAAACACACTGTGCAGAGATATAATTACTCTCTTTCTGAAAAGATTGTGTATTATGCATTGCGTCTTGGAACTTAGGCATGGACTCAGCATTCATAGGTCCTGACTGTTTTGAATTTCCTTTTCCTGATGGACCTTTGGTTTGGATTTATTTTGTAGTCTCATATTGGGTCAGAAAAATCCTGGGGAGTTTTCTGTGTTCTAGGTCTTGTGGCCTGAGCTGACCTTCACTGTTTTTATTCTTCCTTGATAGCCTGCATTACACTTGGTGATAATGCACATTTATTGACAGTGAACTCAAAACACATGTATTCTTTCCACTAACAGGGTACCAGATAAGCAAATCCTATATAATTTTGCAGCTGGAGCAAGGAAAAGAGCTGTGGAGGGAAGGAAGAGTATTTCTTCAAGACCAGAATCCAAGTAAGCAACAGGGTCCTGTGCTCTAATAGGAGGAGGTGCTTTGTCAATGAATAATATCAGTTGAATATTAATTAGTGGTTTTATTAAATGAGTGATAATTTCTAAAATGTAGGTTAGGCTACTGGAGCAGAATTCCTTAGATGTTATTATCATTTTGTTCATGTGTCAGATGCTACTCTTGTGTCCTCTTTTTTTTCTTTTCTTTCACTTTTGGGAAAAGGATAATTCATGTACTTGGCTGGGGTTAAACTTTCATATGCTGACTCTTTTCCTGATACCCCTGTGAAGACTATCCCTCTTTTTACCTGCCTGATATCTCATCTCCATTTTAACTCTTTTCACATTTTAATTTTAAAAATATTTTCTAATTGCTGACACTGTACAATCTATTTCTTCTATTCAAGTAGTTTCTTCATTTGACACACTTGCCACATCTACGTGTCAATTTTTGAAAAAAGTACGTGGGCTTTGGGGCTTTTCAAACAATTTTATTACCATA
This sequence comes from Homo sapiens, assembly GCF_000001405.40. Classification (NCBI taxonomy): domain Eukaryota; kingdom Metazoa; phylum Chordata; class Mammalia; order Primates; family Hominidae; genus Homo; species Homo sapiens. Next base: position 7,359,737 of record NC_000008.11, on the reverse strand, counting down.
ATACCAATGTAACAATTTATTTTTCAATTATTTCAGACAGGGAAAGTGCCCTTAAGAAAACACACATGATATCCATGCATCCTATCACCAGAAAAGACGCATCCACCAGTATGACAATGGTAAGTTTTATAGCTGTGTACACCAGTCATCTAAGTTAAAGACATGTTAATGGATTAAGTTAGTAATGAAGCACAATCACCTGAGTGTAATTAAGCTGGCATTAAGTGTTTTCTAAGCAAAAAAAAAAAATTGGATACTTTGAATTTAGTGAATACATTGACCTGTGTTCTAAACCATAACATGAGATCTCTAAAATAGAACAAGTGCATATACATTGCTCATGCCCAGTCATCGAAAGATATTGATATCAACACAATTATGCAATAACGCTGCAGTTGAGATGTTACAGAAGAGAACATATCTGTGTCTGCAGGAGATAATGTGTATGCAATTGTCAATCGAGAAAAATGACAAGACAAGTCTCAATCATTTTAGGAGATTTATTTGCCAAAGTTAAGGACATGCACCCAGGGGACAGGTGTATGCCTTTCTCCAAAGATGATTTTGAAGGCTCCAAATTTAAAGGGGAAAGGGTGGGATATTGAGAAGTACACAATTTTCATGTAAAAGGTGGGTAGAAAAAATAGTCATTCATGCATTTTTCTGGCTCAGTGAATCTGGATTTTTTTACATAAGATGACATAAACAAATGAGGCAGAGGAATAATGCAGGAAAGCTGCATTTTACATAAGACAACATAGGCAAAATGGGGCAGGGAGACAATCAATATGCATTTGTGCCTGGTGAACTGGGGATGACTGCACTTGTAAAGAAAAGTTATCAGTTTGCATTGCCATGGTGCAATTTTAACAGCTCATGAGGAATTTCCTCATGGGCAAAATATGGGGGAGGCGTGTAGCTTTTCATCTTGTAGCCATATTATTTAGGAACCAGAAGGGGGAGGCAGGTTTGTGTGACCCAGTTCCCAGCTTGATTTTTCCCTTTGGTTAAATGAGTTTGGGGTCCCAAAATTTAATTTCCTTTCACACAAGAAACATTGGAAAGCTTTCAACTGGGGTCTACCACTGAATGGTTGGTCTAGGATTCAAAGGTAGTGAAATGAATGTATAGATATATGTGGGTAAACCATTAAGAGCTTTTAATATTTGCCCCAAAGGAGAACTCTCTCATTCTGGAGGATCCTTTTGAATGTAATGATTCGGGAGAAGATTGCACTCGCAGTTCCACAATAACTCAGTGTTTGTTAACTCATAGTGGAAAGAAACCCTATGTCAGCAAACAGTGTGGAAAATCCCTTCGTAATCTTTTGTCCACTGAACCACATAAACAAATTCATACTAAAGGTAAATCATATCAGTGTAATCTATGTGAAAAGGCCTATACTAATTGCTTTCACCTTAGACGGCACAAGATGACTCACACTGGAGAGAGGCCATATGCATGTCATCTATGTAGAAAAGCCTTCACTCAGTGTTCTCACCTTAGAAGACACGAGAAAACTCACACGGGACAGAGACCATATAAGTGTCATCAATATGGGAAAGTCTTTATTCAATCCTTTAACCTTCAAAGACATGAGAGAACTCACCTTGGAAAAAAGTGTTATGAATGTGATAAAAGTGGGAAAGCCTTTAGTCAAAGCTCTGGCTTTAGAGGAAACAAAATAATTCACACTGGAGAGAAACCACATGCTTGTCTTCTATGTGGGAAGGCCTTCAGTCTGTCTTCCAACCTTAGATGACATGAGAGAACACGCACTGGAGAAAAGCCATATGAATGCCATTTATGTGGGAAAGCCTTCAGACAATGTACTAATCTTAAAGAGCATCAGAAAATTCACCCTGGAGAGAAAATTATAAACTTCTTCAGAACATATTCTGACTTTAGATGACACGGTGTTAGGAATGACAAAGGTAAGGAATGTGGAAGAGACTTCAGCTGTAGTTGTAGCATCTAAACATGCCAAAGGACTCACATTTTGAAGAAATACTGTAATCAACATGGAAGATACTTCAGTTACCTTTATTCTTCAGTCCACATCAATAAATTCATATGGAAGAGAAATTGTATGACATGTATGTACCAAAGACTTGTTAGTGATCTGAGCATAAGTGACATGAGAGAGCTGAAACTGTCAATATAATCAACTAAAAGTCTTCAGCAACAGCTATAACTTAAAACATGTGGGACTTTCAGGTAGAGAATCTCTAACTCTGCATTCAGTGTGAAAATGTTTTTATTTGCAATTTATTGTCAAATAACATGAGAAAACTTTACTTGGATGAACCCTTTATTTGTATTTTCTGTGAATGAACATTCAGCCAAGCACCAGGCTTGATGTTCACAAGAGAAGAGTGACAAAATGCTGCTAAAATGGAAAATAAGAGAGGAAAGCCTTCATGAGCTAAATAAGAAGGGAAAATCTTTCCAAGGGCAATGAATTCTCTTGGAATACCAAATACTTCTTACTGGAGAAGTTATGCAATGAAAAATCATGAGAAATCCTTTCTTCATAGAGCAACACATGTGGCACATGTGAGATTTCTCACTGGACAAAACATGGTTAGCATCTTGAAAGGAGAAAATTCTTTAGTGGTAATTCATTTCTTAGTTGACATTGAGTTTCTCACATTGAGGAGCTATCAAACTTGAAAATCACTGTGGAGAAACCTGATAGATTTCTCATCAGAAAAGTGAGTCAAGAAGTTGGACCCCTAGAAAAAACTCTTAACACATACTTTAGCAAAATAATTCAGAAATTTGAGAAAATATCTATTCATAAAAATGTGGCATGTAAATGCATAATAGCAAAGTGACCAGGGAATAAATTGCGTGCAGAATTATATAAGAAATCTCATTAAACTTTTCCAAAAGATCAATACTTACAAATATTGAAAGAATACAATCTGTTGTTGAAAAAACTTAGTATGTTGGCAAAGCCCTTGTTTCATTTATGCGGCCCTAACAAATGGATTTGCACCTGCACTCCTTGGGTGAGATTCTTGGTCGAGATTCTACCCCAACTTCTGAGTCTCCCCAGTCTTCAACAGCTCTTTCCTCACAGCTCACCTCCCTTTACTTCAACGTCCACTAAAACCACTTGTTTCCATCCAACCCTCGAGTTGACACACCAGGGATCTTCAGCCCCACTTGCTAGATTTCTCAGTGTGTCATTGCATAGATTTAGCAGGGAAATGGAGGCTGTATCAAAGACACCTTGTATATGCATTTGGGTGTCCGCAGCCCTTTCCTCTGTCTCTAGGCAGTTAACTGGGATCAGAGAATAAGGCAGCTCTTCTCTTCTATCCCTCAGAAGACTCTTGAAATTTTGTCCCTGGAGCCTCTCTAACTGGAAGTAGCAGTTCATCTCATAACACCCCACATTTTATTCTGGTAAGTCCTGAGTTATTACACAGAGACAGACACAGCTGTGCTCCTTTTACTGCAGTCCAGAAGATAAAACACCAGCATGATAAAACAGCCGAACCTGTCAGCCACCTTGCAAGCCTTTCCTATATTTGATTCAATGTACTTTTCCTGAAGCAAAATGAAAGTTCTCACAGAGGGGCCCTCCTCTGCCTTGTCCTCAGAATTGAAAAATGTATTGTCCGTGAAGGAGCCTCACCACTGAACCTAAAACTGAAGAGAAAATGTTTCCTGAATATTAAGTGGGATGACTTGAAATTTTGCCAAACAGGCACAATCTTAATACGATCGGCCTTACTAAGGCTAAATGGCCTTATCCATGGTTGAAGTTGACACATCATTATATTTTAAAATCTCTACAAGTGATTGATTTTACTCTGCAGCCAGGGTTTATGTCAAGTGTGAGGATAATGAGCAAGAAATTCAAGCCCTTGGCAAACTGGTTGGAGAGGCAAGGACTGTGTCCAGGCAGAGCTCATATCATTATTTATTGTTTAATCTATTTAATTAAATATGTAATTTACCCACAAACTGTGACTGACATTATATGTACTCCTGAACCACATTAAGATGTACTATTTGTGCTGTGAAATTCTATGGGATTTGACAAATGCATGGTGGCAGATCTCCAGCCATTATTAAAGCGTAACACAGAATGCTTCTCTTATTCAAGCTCGTCTTCCCTCCACATAGAGGGAATCAATCGGCTTTTGTATACTGATTTTTGAATTTGCTTCTTTATTTCCATCTTCTTTAATTAAAGCACAAGGTATCATACTCAATTTCCATTTGATCTTCCAAAAGAAAAGTACTGAATAATCTACACCTGAATTTCAGTGATTCAGACTCAGGTCCACCGCTAAGGCCAAACGTCCTGTGCTGCCACCTCATGGCCGACAGAGGGCAATGAAACCCATCTTTCCGGCCATGCAGGGCGCATGCGCGGTCTGCCTCCCGCGGCGGGCCGGGTCTCCAGGGAGGACCTGAGTTTTCTTCACCCATGGTCAGGGAAGCGCCATCGCCCTGGCTTTGAGGCTGGGGCCTCCGGGGAGGTTCCGGTAGGGGCTTTGAAGAGGCCGCTGTTTTTGCAAGGCCGAGACGGCGGGCCCTGCGCAGGCCGCCCTATTCCGCGCCCTCAGGGCGTCAGTATCCGCCTGAGGCCGGATACCCCCTCTGGGCCCGGATGCCCCCGCTGGCCCCGGAGCATCCTCGGCGCTGCCCTCCCAGAGCCCCGCAGAGGCTGAGGTGGCGCGGGGGCGGCCCCGGCTCCGCGAGAAGCGGCGGCAGCGAGGGCTGGAGGACCCGGGCTACGGGGCTCCGGGGCGTCTGGCCTGGTTGGGACTGAGCCCATCCAGGGACTGGGACTCTGGGATTCTGGTGTAGGTGGATCCGGGGCAGGCTCAGGACCAAGTCCCTCTCCTTCCACCAAGGAGCGCCCAGAGGCCGGCGGGAGCTCCAGGTTCACCTCCTCCTCCTCCAGGTGTTTACTTTTCCTTTATTTCTGTGAGGCCAGAAATTGCCGCCATCCTTCACATCGGTGAATCGGGACCCTAACACTCATTACCTCAGGTTTATTGTTATTGCCATTAACAGTGTTGGTGGCATTATCACTAAGATCATCATTGTTGTTATTATTGTCATTCATGATTATTAGCAGATGTGTTCATCATTTTGTCTCACTATGCATATATATATATTTGGGATTGGTTTTGTATGACGTTGAATTGAGCTTCTTTAATCTTGACCAGTGTTGTCAGATTTCTGAAGAGCATTCCGGAGGACATCTCCTGCCTTTCAGCGCAGCCACAGAATTTCGTGGGCACAGGAGAGCACCTAGAATATTCCCCTTTCATTGCACAGCAGCTTTGGGAAATAGTGGCTTCCTGGCTCTGAGATGAGGTAGAAAAGACTGGATACTGGGGCAAGTGTTAGCACCTCCACTGGTGTTTTTATGAAGCTAAGAGCACTGTCTCCCAAGTAGACTTAGAATAAAATCTGATGGCTCTAAAGGGCTATGGCTGCCCTTCCTGGGACTTCCTGGGAACCTTTAAACCTTCTGTGGTTCCTGGAGTAGGTAGGTTGCCAAGTCTGTGCCTCATATGGTAGCACCAGTCTTTTCTGGGCCAACAAGGGCACTTAGAATGTTTCCAGAAGCTCAGGCATGCCGTCTCTGTTCCTCCCTTCTGTTCAATGGCAATTCCCTGGGTCCCTGGCTGTCATAGAACGTCCTGCAGAAGGTTGGGCTTGGGTGACTTCCTGGCCAGCCTTCTCAGGCAGTCATCTTTGAAAACCTTGAAGAGACTCACAGAGGCCATTCACTGGTATTTCATGACTGCAAGTGGGGTTTCTGGATCCTTGAGTTTACTTGGAATATTTGAATGGCTCTGAATGGCCAAGAAACCCTCCCTGGTCTTAGAAGCTGCCAAAAGCTATTACTGGGCCTCTGAAGAGACTTTAAAATTTTTCCAAGTACATTTGGGCATAGGAAACTTTTCCAGGTCTAGCTGAGCCAGCTCAGGTCGAGTCCTGAAAAACTGGTGGGTACTGGGGGATCTCATCTTATGAAAGAGCAATTGGTGGCAAAGCTGGGTCTCCAGGACAGCTGTGTGTGTATATGTCTGTAGAACATGCCTTGTAGTCATCTTTGGTAACTGAACACCATTTGTGAATGGATAAACTATATTCATTGCTGTACAATAATGAAAAATCCATATTAACAATGGCAGTAGTAAAAATATTGATGGATATTAACAGGAATAATGATCATCATGATACTAGTACTAATGGTTTTAATAGTGATAATAATACTAACCCTATGGACTTGGGACATATAAGTTTTCCATAAGTGGATAATAGGCATAAATATTTGGCTGTGTAGGGTTATTTCAAGTCCCAAAAAGCAAGGATGAACATCTAGAACGAGAAGAAAAACAATCTGGAGGTCAGTATGTGCACACCTGGGGACTCCTGTGTTAACTTCTGGTGTTTCAGCCTAAGAGAGAATGTTAATATAACCCTGGTCCTGGAACACCATGCTGACCAACACCTATCAGCTTTCAGGAGATAAGACAGCTGGCTGATGGGGCAGGGATCCAGAGAAGGCACGGGTCCACACCTGCATATGTTGCCCAGTGGCAGAGTTCATGACAAGCAATAAGCCCCAGGACAATGTCATTCCCAGCAACCTGGCTGTCATCTGTCTTTCATGGCCCCTCTCTACTGGTACCCCTAGACATTGGCATGTCCTCCAGAGGCTGTAGGAGGGCATGATACTCAGTACTCTCCCACGTGCAGGAGGCAAGAAAGATGGAAACAGCTAAATACCATGGCTTCTGGATTTTTTTTGGTGGGCATGGCATATTTTGCATTTGCTTTAATAATGTTGGAACCCAGTCAGTGGCTTGCAATACAGATCTAGATGACTCTGGACACCTGTAGAGATTTTGACAATTTCCAGAAGGTCACAAGTTCTTGGAGGACTTTTTCATGAGTTCTTTGACTGAAAAGGTGGTTCAAAGAGCTTCTATACCGACTTAGAAAATGTTGCAGAGGCCAGGTGCGGCGCCTTATGCCTGTAATCCCAGAACTTTGGGAGGCCAACGCAGGTGGATCATGAGGTCAGGAGTTTGAGACCAGTCTGACTAACATGGTGAAACCGCCTCTCTACTAAAAATACAAAAATTAGCTGGGTGTGGTGACACGCACCTGTAATCCCAGCTACTCAGGAGGCTGAGGCAGGAGAATCGCTTGAACCTGGGAGTCAGAGGTTGCAGCGAGCCAAGATCGCGACACTGGACTCCAGCCTGAGCGACGGAGTGAGACTCTATCTCAAAAAATAAATAAATAAATAAATAAAAAGGAAAAAAAAGAAAATGTTGCAGACACTCTGGTGAACAGGTAGGCCCTCTCCTGCCACTCCAGATAAAAGTTTCTTGGCCACAAACCTGATTTAGCAATATCCCTTCATCTTAGGTGGGTAACAGAAAGCCATTCATGACCTATCCAAGCATGGAGAGGGGATTTGACTTAGAAAACTGTTAGGTGGACTAGTTGGTGAAAGAAAGTGCATTCTAGGGCTCACAGGCCTACACATAGAGTTGCTATCACATAAAGCATATGTACGAATTCTTTCTGAGACCATGGCAAGATGAGGGTGCACTTCATCAGTCTCCTATGCTGGTATGAATAGGTACTTGCCTGAAAAATAAAAGAATAATTCAGGAAGCCCATTCTTCTACAGGACACCAAGCAGTACAGTAGGATTCCTGGGGTTGCTGTGGTATTTATGTTTTAAGGTTGTCTTTTAATCATCTTCAGCAAATTCAACAGTCTTCAGGAACATAAAACAATTATTCAACATTGCATAAAAACGACCACAAATATATCCATGATAAAGAACTGTATCAATATAATAATAACATTAATAACAATCATAATGGTGATGATATAAATGTCAATTTAATGAAGAGAGTAATAGAAAAGCAGATATTTAAGAACATATTCCTGTAAGCCTGTGACAATGTTCCCATACGAACCCTCATGTTATTGATTAGATGGAGAAGCTTAGGGCTACACCTTGAAATATCTTCTGTGATGGCAAAGAAGAGTGGCAGTAGGGAGAATAATTCTGAGCCACATGAGAGCATGGGCAAAAGTGGAGATACCTGTGCCATGTGGAAATGCATTACAAATGGACTATGGCAAAGGGTCTGGCCAGAGTCTTGCCTGACACAGGTCGTACAAAAGCCTTCAGTAGTTCACCCCAAGAAATAGCTGGTCCAGGCTGTAGATGAGAGACACTGGGCAGACAGATCCACACATGCCTCCTGAGTCTCAGAAGTCTGGTGTGCATTGAACATTAAGCCCCTAGCCTACTGAGACTTCACCTCCCAGCTGCTCTTCTACCATCTGATTCTTGAGCCCCATCACGTTAGTGTCATCTCCATACTGGAATTGCCAACAATGTCTGATGGAGGGTTTCACCCAGGATACTTGGTACCGGCAGTGTATGAAATACCAGAAGGGAGGCTCCAGGGCTTCCATAGAAGACACATTCAAAAGTTACTCAGGTGATCAAATGGTCATCTCAGAGATTTTCAGTAGAACTGCAGCATTTTGTCAATACCTGAGTGAATGCAGAAACTATCCAGAGGCACGGGCATTCTAGGAAGCTCCCTATGTAAATCAAATACAAGGAATATCTACTTCTGGGCTCAAAAGCTAACTTAGAGAAAAAAAAAAGTGAGATGCTGGCAGAAGGCAAATAACTCCACTTCAGTTCCCAAGAGAAAAATGGTTCTGTAATCTCTGAGTTTATTTGGAAAAATTTTGGAGCCTCAGGAAGACCGAGTATATCATTCCTGATGTTTCCAGGACAGATTGGACTGCTTAGGCCTTTGGGAATATTCTAAGTCCTCTCAGGTTTCCATGGGAGACTGTAACTCTACTCCTAGAGCTCACACCACCCCCGAGCAAGCTCATTGTTTTCTAAATATTCCAAGAAAGCCCATCCAGGGTATGCTTGTATTGGTGAGTTTCACTTTGGACTGGCAGGAGAAGACTGAGAATGATACATCCTGAGTTCACTTGGTAAAGGTAGGGGAGCCAAGAAGTCCAGATCTGGAGAGCACCTGAAACACCAGATGGCAGAAGGACAGTAAGGAGGTAAAGTCAGCTATGGAGTTGGAGCTTCATGTTTACTGCATGTAGGATTCTGAGTTCCAGGACTGATGGGCTGGTGGGGATCAGAGACGTGTCTTCCTTGCAGGGAGCCAGGCCAAACCAGCCATCTGGTTGCACTACTGAAAGCTTTTGTGTGCCCAGTGGTGGGCAGGACACAAATCACAGTCCCTTCACCTCTGGCTGGTAGTTCTTGATGAGAGAGGTTTGCACACAAATGTTCATATTAGCCCATGGTCTCCTGCGGCTTGCTTTTCTTTCACCTCCTGTTTTTGATGTTTGCCATCATGGAACACATTTCATAGAGAAATTCTTTGACTCTGACTCCAAATTACACAAGGAGGACACAGTCTGTGAAGTTTTCATATATTTAGGGGAAGCTCCACATTAATTTTTGTATCCTTACATTTATATTGTCTCCAGTATTAAAATTCATACTATTTAGGTCATTGAGTTCATTATCATGATTATTAATTATTTTTCATATATCGTTTCTTTTTATTGATTAATTTTTGTGGCAGCTGTTATATAACAATCACTAGAGTTTCCCTATTCATGAAAGATGTCCAAGTTAATGGAGATCACTAGGAGTGTTACTTTACAGGTATGTAAATACAGATAATCTTGGCTGGACTGTGGCTATATTGTCTGGTGTCCCTTTGAGGGTGAAGCCTCTTGTATTATTCTAAGTGACCTCTGGAGAAAGCAACTGTCTCATAATTGCAGGGACGACTTGAGAAGGCATCCTGAGCCTATGCAGAAATGCAGAAACACTTCCATGATCTAAACAACCTATGTGAAGGCCTGAAAGCCAAAGCAAGATCCTCTTATTACAAAGCTGTCCAACAAAATTTTTCCAAGTAACACTGGAGGTCCATCAGTCACTCTTCCTGGTCTGGAAATGCCAGAAATGTCCTCCTTGGTCCTTCTGAGAGTCAAGATCTTTTCAAAATCACCTCAGGAGCCACAGAACCACTCCATCCTACCTGAAATTGCAGGATGACTCTTCTTTTGACCAGAATCTCAAAAATATATTCGTTGATAGTATTGATTCCTGGGAGCCGCCATTGCTTGCAAAAGATGTGCCAGAGACTAGACATTTTCTGTCTCCTCACTTGTCCAGGGAAGACTGAAGTTTTACTGAAACACAGCGATGGGAAGCTGACCCTCTGAGCAGCCTCAGGATTTTCTAAGTCTTCCAAGCAGAGTGGAAATACTGGTGAGGACCCATTGCACCCCCTGATGGTCTGGAATCACATAGGATGATGCTTTCAAAGAACTCTAGGTGGAGATACATTTTCTGAGATATTCCAAGGAGGAGGGACACAATCGGACCAGATGTTAGAAGGACAGCTGAGCATTAAGTGCCCATGTAGTGTTTGCAGCTTAGTGTCCCATGCAGAAGGGGAACCTGGGCCCTGGTGTTAGAATTCAGTGTAATTCTGGGTTCCTGCTTTCCTTCCAGGAAATCTCACTTCCAACTGGATGTCTGGATGAACTACTGAAAGCTGCTGAGTGTCCTGCAGCAGGTGAGCTGTGGCCAGAGCCCAAGGATGAAGGGGGCTCCCTCACTCTGTGACTGTGAAGAGGAAGCCTGAGGTGTAGCAGGCCCAGGCCCCAGAAGTATGGAAAAAATGAGGTAGGGAGGGAGGGGACCTCAGGAGAAGACTGAGGTCTACAGAATCCCAGGGTCAAGGGGATGGTGCAGTGTCCTGGCACTATCCTTGATGTTTCAAGAGGGGTGAGAATCCATCTCCTGAGTAAAAGCTTCACATGGGGTGAGGAGGGGAGAATTGAACAGAGAGGAAGCAGGGAAGGCCAAGACAGCGACCAGCCTTACAGCAATTTTAACCAGAAATGGACACAGACCCTGGACCCCATCACAGGAGTGCAGGCCTAAGACTGTCTCCAGGTGATGCATAGCTCCCTTGTCAGGTTAGTGGGTGCAGGGATTGTGACGTCTGCAGTGGTGTGGAAGGCTGGGCAATGGGAGCAGCTTACTGGGCTGGACCAGAAATACTGAACTTCTTTTCCATCAGTGAAATCCGCTTCTAGGTCAGAAAAAACTGCGAGTTCTAGAGAGGCAGGGCCTAGGAGGAGGTCAGGTCCTGAGCCTTCCTGGTTTGACCCCTTCCCACCCCCTGTGTTTCTGGGTCTGTCCTCACTTCCACCCAGCGGATCCTGAGTCTCTTCCTTTGAGTCCCTGTGAGTGTGTTGTGTGCAGTGGGGCCGGGCTGCTTCATCCACTGCACGTTAAATGTTTCCAATACTTTCCGGCCAAAGCTTAGAGTTGTCAGACCACTGACTTTGAATGTTGGCCTGGTTCCTTGTGGAACAGAGTAATAGCTATTGAAGTTTAAAGTCACTTTCCTGTGTGGATGGTGAAGAGGCAGGCTGTTCAGGCATAGCTGTCCTCAGGCCTGGAGGGCTGTGGAGGTCACCGTGGGCGGTGGGTGGATCCGGAACCTCTGTGGCTCTAGACTTTCAACTATTTCATTTTTTCTTTTGTAGTTTTTGTTTGTTGCTTGCTTTTTTACAATGAGAACTAGAATGTAAGATGCTAAACTCAGCCTGTGGGGAACATGGATTTTCACAACAGCAACCACAGAACGTGGTTTCCATTTCTATTCCCTGTTCATGTGGGAGGCAGAGAAGGAAATCAGGTGCTCAGTTCCAGGGACATCACAGGACTAGGACATGTGCAGTGAGGGTGGAAGGCAGAGGCATTGCTTTAGGGCAATAAAATTATTGCATGCACACACATATGTATGTATATGGATGTATGTACACAAACATGCATATTTATAGATTCTGTTCTCCCTCTGTCTATATAATTTTTTTATTTCACACTTGATATGATTTCTAAATTTAAATACCTTTGAGACAAAGGTGAATTGTGAAGGGATTTAAAAATGTCAGTGAAAAATGGAATTAACAATAAAAATATAAATATAAACTTTATTTCTCAATATAAGCTTTACTGAGGTCCAGACACTCCATTAAAGGATGATCCCAGCCATTCAGTCCATTGCTAAACAACTGAGGGTAATGGGAATTTAACCGTGTCAATGCAGTCTTCTATTATTAACTAAAGAAAAATGGGTGCCCTTTACAGTTATACAGTTATTTTAAGGTTAGGGAAAAAAAGGTCAGAAGAAACCAAATCAGGACTGTAATGTTGATGCCTAATAATTTCCCATGAAAACTCTTGCAAAATTACCCATGTTTGATGAGAGGAAGGAACAGAAGTGTTGTTGTGGTGCAGAGGGACTCTCTAGTGAAGCTTTACAGGGCGCTTTTCTGCAAAAGTATTTGCTAATTTTCTCTAAGAACTCTCCTAGTAAGCAGATGTTATCGTGCTTTGACCTTACAAAAAGTCAACAAGCAAAATACCTTGAGCATCCCCAAAACCTCCATGGCTTTTGCTTTTGAGAAGTTTGCTTTTGCTTTGACTGGACCACTTCTACCTCTTGGTAGCCATGGCTTGAATTGTGCTTTGTCTTCAGGATCTTATTGATAAAGCCAGTTTCACTCCCTGTTAAAATTCTTCAAAATAATGCTTCAGGATCTTGATTCTGCTTGCTCAAAATAGTTACTAATAGCTCTGCTTTTGTCCACTGCTGATCTAGGCACAAGGGTATTTGGGACTCATCAAATGTAAAGTTTCTCAACTTTCACGTTATAGTCAGTATTGTGTAAGCTGAACCAATTGAGATGTCTGTGATGTTGGCTACAGTATCTCTTGTTAATTGTCAATCCTCCTCAATGAGAGCATAGAAACGATTTTTTTTTCTCAAAAATTGGTATGGATGTCCCTCCTCTGTTGACTTCATCTTCAACATTGTATTATCTCTTCTTAGAATAAGGTATCCGTTTGTAAATGACTGATTCTTCAGGTCATTTTTCCCATAGACTTTTCATAAAGAATAATTTATTTCACCATTTTTTGTACCCCAGCTTCACCGTAAATTTGATGTTTGTTCTTGCTTCAGGTTTGACAGAATTCATGTTGCTGCCATAGAGGGGCTCTTTTCAAACTGATGTCTTAAATCTTGTTCAGATATGTTAAAACAGGGCCAGGCATGGTGGCTTATGCCTGTAATCCCTGCATTTTGGAAGGTTAGAAAAAATAAAGTTTTTTAAAATTTTATTTTATTTCATTTTAAGTTCTGGGATACATGTGCATGATGCGCAGGTTTGTTACATAGGTAAATGTGTGCCATGGTGGTTTCCTGTACCTATCAACCCATCACCTAGGTATTCAGCCCACATGCATTAGCTATTCATCCTGATGCACTCCCTCCCCACTCACCCACAGACAGGATCCAGTGTGTGTTGTTCCCCTCCCTGTGTCTATGTTCTCTCATTTTTCATCTCCCACTTATTAAGTGAGAACATGTGTATTTGGTTTTCTGTTCCTGCATTAGTTTGCTGAGAATAATGACTTCCAGCTTCATCCATGTCCCTGCAAAGGACATGATCTCATTCCTTTTTATGGCTGCATAGTATTCCATGGTGTATATGTATCACAGTTTCTGTATCCAGTCTATCATTGATGGGCATTTGGGTTGATTCTATGTCTTTGCTTTCATGAATAGTGCTGCAATGAACATACCCATGCATGTATCTTTATAATACAAGAATTTATATTCCTTTGAGTATATATGCAGTAATGGGATTGCTGGGTCAAATGGTATTTCTGATTCTAGGTCTTTGAAAAATCACCACAGTCTTCCACAGTGGTTGAACTAACTTACATTCACACCAACAGTGTAAAAGTTTTCCTATTTCCCCACAGTCTCACCAGCATCTGTTGTTTTTTGACTTTTTAATAATCACCATTCTGACTGGCATGAGATGGTATCTCACTGCGGTTTTGATTTGTATTTCTCTAATGATCAGTAATGTTGGGCTTTTTTTTCATGTTTGTTGGCTGCATAAATGTCTTCTTTTGAGAAGTGTCTGTTCATGTCCTTTGCCCACTTTTGAAATTTTTACATTTTTATTTTTTAAGACAGAGTCTTGCTCTGTCACTCAGGGTGGAGTTCAGTGGCACAATCTCGGGTCACTGCAACTTCTGCCTCCCAGATTCAGGCGATTCTTCTCTCTCAGGCTCTTGAGTAGTTGGGATTACAGGTCCGCACCACTACATCCGGCTAATTTATTGTATTTTCAGTAGAGACGTGGTTTCACCAGCTTGGCCAGGCTGATCTTGAATTCCTGGCCTCAAGTTATCTGCCCACTTCACCCTCCCAAACTGCTGGGATTACAGGCATGAGCCACTGTACCCAGCTTTTGCCCACTTTTATATGGGGTTGGATTTTTTACAGTTTTGGGTTTTACATTTAAGTCTTAATCCATTTTCAGTTCATTTTTGTATAAGGTATAAGGAAGGGGTACAGTTTCAGTTTTCTGCCTATGTCTAGCCAATTTTTCAAGCACCATTTATTATTAAATAGGGAATCCTTTCCCCATTGCTTGTTTTCATCAAAAATAAAATGGTTGTAGATGTGCAGTCTTATTTCTGATATATCTATTCCATTCCATTGGTCTATGTGTCTGTTTTGTACCACTACCATGCTGTTGGGTTACCGTAGCCTTGTAATATAGTTTGAAGTTAGGTAGCATGATGCCTCTAACTTTGTTATTTTACCTTAGGATTGTCCTGGGTATATGGGCTCTTTTTTCATTCCATATGAATTTTGAAGTAGTTTTTTCTAATTTTGTAAAGAACGTCCATGGTAGTTTATGGGAATAGCATTGAATCTATGAATTACTTTGGGAAGTATGGCATTTTCATGATATTGATTCTTCTTACCCATGAGCATGGAATGTTTTTCCATTTGTTTGTGTCCTCTCTTATTTCCTTGAGTAGTGGTTTGTAGTTCTCCTTGAAGAGGTCCTTCACTTGCCTTGTTAGCTGTATTCCTAGGTATTTTATACTCTGCAGCAAATGTAAATGGGAACTTATTTGTGATTTGGCTCTCTTCTTGTCTATTGTTGGTGTATAAGAATGCTTGTGATTTTTGCACACTGATTTTGTATCTTGAGAATTTACTGCAGTGGCTCATAAGCTTAAGAATCTTTTGGGCTGAGATGATGGGATTTTATAGATATAGGATCATGTCATCTGCAAACAAAGACAGTTCAACTTCCTCTTTTACTATTTGAATATGCTTTATTTCTTTCTCTTGGCTGATTGCCTCGGCCAGAACTTCCAGTACTATATGGAGTAGGAGTGGTGAGAGAGGGCATCCTTGCCTTGTGCCGAATTTCAAAAGGAATGCTTCCAGCTTTTGCCTATTCAATATGATATTGGCTGTGGGTTTGTCAAAAATGACTCTTATTATTTTGAGATATGTTCCATCAATACCTAGTTTCCTGAGGTTTTTAACATAAAGGAATGTTGAATTTTATCAAAGATCTTTTCTGAGTATACTAAAATAATCATGGGGTTTTTGTCTTTAGTTCGGTTTACATGGTGAATTATATTTATTGATTTGTGTTTGTTGAACCAGCCTTGCACCAAAGGGAAGAAGCTGACTTGATCTTGGTGGATAAGGTTTTTGATATGTTGCTGGATTTGGTTTGCCACTATTATATCGAGAATTTTTGCATCAAAGTTTATCAGAAATATTAAACTAAAGTCTAGTAAACACATTGAAAATAATAACAGACTGATTAAAATACTAAATAATATGAATCCTAAGTGTTCTCACAACTGATTTATAGAGTAAAAGCATTGTTAAACCAAATGAGCTTGGCCAGAAACTGTATAGAGTCTGAGATGTTGTCTGAACTTCCAGTTACTCATTGTGAGGTGGAACTGCAGTAACTATATTTGGTGCAAAATTTCATGTTGATGGAAGCTGAGATGTCCTGCAGTCTCAGAGGGACAGAATTCTGGTGTATCTCCCTTTGGCCTATGAGGAATGAAGATTTAGGCCCTGAGGGTTTTGTCAAAATTTATAAGATGTAAGAAATGGGGACATCTTTAGGCCATGAGGCAAGGCCTAGAGGTGTAAAGAAAACAGCTTCTGACCCAGGGCTCATGAAGTCAGCATAGTGTCAGAGGCGATGGTGGAGTGAGCATAGTATGGTCTTTGGAACCATTCCTTCCCCATATTTCTTCATAGGCCAAGTATGCGCAACCAGGGGGCATCTCGGGCCTGATGAGCAGAGTCCTGGAGAGATAAAGGGGCAATCCTGAGGAAGAGACTTGACAGGGAGGAAGGAGCCACCATTTTCACTGCTGAGAAAACTACTCCTCCCTAGTAAACCATAGGATTTTCCTTGGTCCAGTGAGAGTTTTCCTGAGTGAAGAGAAAAGAGAGAGAAAGGGACTGATGTGTTATCTGTTTCTACCACCTGAAGTGATTCTGAAACTTTGGGGGACAGGAGAATTATCTTCAGAATCATGAGCAATCCAGATGCCATGATTACACATGAGAGACTGAAAGTTCTTATCTCTGGGGGGTAGGCACTAGGCATTGATATTCGTTAAAGCTCATTCACTGATTACAAAGTGAGACAAATAAATACTCTGCTGCAAGATTTATTCATGACATATTATTTCACACACAATTCAATTGTCTTCAGCACAAAGAGCTCTTGGTTCCCTGCCTGCGGACACCCTGTAACTGGGTCTTCCAAATTCATTCTTCTGGATGTAAAAGAGGACATAGGCCTGTTGACTCAAAGGAGAAGTGATACCAGAGGCAGTGACCTCGGCATCATCCATTTTATACCACTGGCCTTCTTGAGCTTTGACACAAGAGAAGTAATGTCCGTTGTGACAACTCCACCCGGTGACGATGAGAACAGCATAGAGGACATAGAAAAGAGGTCCTGTGTTCTGCTGAGACATGTATGGCTGCATGTCAACGCACTCAGGATATTGCACATTCTTGGCAAGTCTGTTGCCTGTGACATCGGAGAATCTCTTCAAGACAAGGATGAGGACCTTGGCAGAAGTGTGTAAAGTTAACGTCTTGGCGGCAGGCGCCTTCTGGAGACAAAGACCACAATGATAGGCATTCTCTCCATTGAGTTCTTCGGGCTTCACCAACTGTTCCTAAGCTTGCTTGACACTCTGAGCTGCCTGGATATCCAGGGCGATATCCAGGTAAGGGTCGAAGGTGTCTGAAATGCCGTGGAAGTAGAGACACTTGATTTGAGATCTCTAGTACCCTCCAAATATTTGGTGGATGAGGGTGGTGTCCTTGCAGTGATGATCTAGCTGCTTGTGCCCGGGAAGGCATGCCTTTCTAATGGCATCCACAGTGAATATGAGAAATTCATGGGCATCTTCCTGCTTGCCTCTATGGAAGCCAGCAGCCAATGCCTGTGAGGGCTGGATGACATGGCCAGGACGGTGGAGGTGCCCGTGTGCTGTGAGCTTCCATAATACAGAGCATGCAGCACTTGGGACGATGACACATTTGAGAGAGCTCCCAGGACAGCATGTAGTTGGCAAGGGGCAGTGTGTATGTCAGGCACTGCAGGGAAGCATTCAAGTAGCAGGTATTTCCCATATTCTGGAGACCAGCTCCCACCGCAGCAGGTCTCCTGCTACTCGGAGGAAGCTTCTCCCTGGGAGCAAGCTGTCTTGTCACAGGAGCCAAATCGTCACAGAGGTCGACACGGGTCTCCGATGAGAGTGGTGACTTCTCAGGGAGAGAAGTCCGCTGGATTTCAGCAAAAGCTGCATCTGGCCGAGAAGATGTGAGTTTTGAAAAGTGGTTGAACTGCCACTCACCTCCCAAGTAGAGTGAGTCGTCCTCCATGTCGCCTGGAACAAGGATCACAAGGTTTTTCTGCTGGGACCGCAGGTTGCAGAAAGACGCTATCTTTTCCGAGAGAGTCTTCAAATAACGAGTTCTCTGGCCAAATCAGCCCTTACATAACTCATCCGCACCAAGAGCGAACACGCCACCCGCACATAAGGTGCGCGATAAACCAATCAAATATCAGCACTCAATTAAGGAATGAGTCACAGGGTGTGTCCCCTTGCATCGCTGGGAATTCAACAGACACAGCCCACATCATGACTTCTAAAACACCTGCATCAAATTACTCCTCAGGATGATAGGCACATATAATATGATTGTAACCGGGTTGGGACAGTGGCCACACAGTTGCCTTATTTTAGGTAAAAGAATGTCAGGGAAGAAATCTTTATCTATGAAACCGTGTGTGTGTCTCTCTCTGTGTGAGTGTGTGTGTGTGTGTGTGTTTGTGCTGGGATGTACTTCCGAGTATGTGCTTTTGGCAGATACCATCATCCTTTCAGCGATAGAAGGAGAAGTCTGAAGTGCGCTTTCTGACCTGAGAATAGGCAATGAAGTATAGTAATTAGCACAGCATATATTTTTCCTCAATAAAAAAGGAGAGATCCGTGGAATCAATCACACCTCCCAGCGATAACCTTTCCATAATCAGCCTAATGATTCTATATCCGAGTGAAATTACCTGCCAGTGGAGAAAAAGACAAGTCTTTACATTAAATGCTCTTGTGGAAGCTAGATTGCTGAATAATAAAGCATTAAGTCGTAGAAACATGCACTGAAGTTTGAAGAGATACTCAGTGCACAAACTAGACTGTAAAAGACTTTGGGGAAATAATGGAATCACCGAGAGACTAACTGATGACATTCCGAAAATTTATATTTGCCAGAAAAGAGAGATGGTCAAGACATTGTATAGTGAGTGGTTTTGGACGTGCGACGGCAGTTTAAGAAAATATGAAACAAAAAACTTGAGAAATCAGAAGGTATCCCAACTATAACCTTTGTTTTACAAAAGAATTGATGAAAATAAAAACAACGTATCTCACAGCACGCGTGATAATATTTTCATACGTATGTGATAATGGAGCAACATTTGATAGAGATGAATGAAAATTTCTAAATTTGACAAAAGCAAACAACAAAAATTACACCGTAGAAAAGCGTGGGTGACGGCAGTGACGCCCTGTCTCAAGAAGTAAACATCCGAGAGATTTAAAAGTGGGGAGTGAAACCAAGGATAGCATAACATTGTTAATACTGGCCCTTGTTTCAGTGGGAAAAGGCAAAAGTAAGCCGTGTGTCTCCTAGATTCTCGCATGAATTGTTCAGGATATGAGATGTTGCCTCCATTTCCAGTTACGCATTGTATGGTGGAATTGCAGTTAGCACATTTGGTGCCAAAATTTTAATGCTGTCGAAAATGGACATGTTCCCTGAACTAAGAGGGACATAATTTGGGTGTGTCTCCAGGCTCTCTGGCTTACCAGGATTGAAGATCCAGGCTCTAGGGATTTTCCCAAAATGTCTTAGACAGTAAGCACTGGGGCAGAATTGAGGCCCGGCGCCAAGGTCTCGAGGTGTAAAGAAACAGCCGTGGCCTCAGGGCCCATGAAATTCGGATGATTTTAAGGAGGATGGTGGAATGAGAGGACTGTGATCTTTGGCCCCGTTTCTTCTCCCTTGTCTTTTCATGGGCCAGGTGTGCTCCATCAGAAGGCTTTCTGTGCCTGATGTAAAGTGTCCTGGGTGAAGAAAGGGCACTGCTTAGAGAGGTGCTCCACAGGCAGGAAGGAGCCACAATTTTCAGGAGAATGATCCCCAGAAGCATGAGCAATCCAGATGCCGTGGCTTCACACAAGACGTTGGAGGGTCTTATTCCTGCAGCCGGGACCTGGGCATCGGTGTGCTTTAATGCTCATAACTAATTTTGAGGGGAGCCCAATCGATAACCTGTCTGCAAGTCATGCTCATCACACTGTAGTTTTCACACACGTCACACAGAGACCCTGTTCGTATGCACATTTGGGTGCTTGAGCAGGGTTGTGCCCAAGATTCTGTGGTTCTACGGAGCCCTGAGTTGTGACCTGGACAGCTTTCCTCAGGGGTTGGTCAACTTTGATCACTGCACCTAACAAGAAAGGGACCATGAAATCTAATCAGCAAATACAGAAAAGGAAGGGGCCATTTCCCACAATAATTTCCACAGAAACACCACGTCGGATAAATAAGTCTGATTGCAGGACAGGGACTGTGTTTCAGAGATGCAGCTTTCGCAGCTGGACGAATGACCCGGAATCTCCTCAAATGCCATTTGTAAACACACCAAATGAGGTTTATTTCAGGGCTTTCTGAATGTATTTTAGATGAATACACACACTCCAGTGTTTGATTTCCTTTAGTATCAATGAGAATTAGTTCCAAATGACTTCCGTGCCAGTGGGAAAATTTTCCGTTTCCACGCAATGGAAGTGGACACCGTGAAACAGGTAAGTCGGTCTGTCTGTTTCCCGCATTATGTGGGTTCCAGCAAGAGCACAAGTCCCAGGGCACCTGAGGTCCATTCAGAAACCAAAATAAAATGGGCGAGCCAGGGTAAGAAAGAAGAGCACCGTTCCTATCTTCCAATTGAATTCCAGTATCCACTATTCAAGGTGGCAAGAATGATCCACGGATGTACCACATGAGCAAAATTTCACCTTCTCTTGACGACCAACAACTGACGAAAGAAACAAACCCCAAGAGGAAATAGTAAACCATGTCCCCTGCAATAACCTCACACGCAAACCTACAGGTCAATAGGTCACATTAAGAAATACACACTGAATGTCATCTACCATGAACACAAACACACAGACAGTCCCTCCAGAGGTTCGGAAGACTCACGACCCCAAAACATGATGTTTCCCATATGTGGGCTCATCCTGAGACGCAGCCATCACTATCCAATTGTCCCTGTTGTAGAGACAGAAACTGGGGCTCCTCATTACTTTATGTAGGATTCACGGTGTTCGTGTTTGTGTGGGTGTGGGTGTGTTTCCGTGCGCGCTTGTGGGTGTATTTGTGTTTGTGTGTGTGTGTGTGTACCCCTCAGTGTGGGTCGGTACTTCCACTCTGATCACTGGCACACAAGCAGAGATCTCTTGCTGTGTTTGTTCTTCCCTTTGGATCTCCTGGTCCTCCCTTGCAGAGAAGCGAGTGTGCCAGTGTTCATGGACTCCTGATCTGTCGAGTTCATCGAAGAGAGGTTTAGCAGGGAGCTTTGCTGTTCAGGATGGTGGTTTTTCATCCCACACTTGTATTTTGATTGATGAATCACAAGTACGTTGGGAGGCAGGGTACCTTCAACTTTTCTGACGTTGAACTCAGGCTTCATTTTGTTTTGCTCTTGGGGGAATTTCCAGTGGTCTAAGGTGCTTTCCTCAGTGGCTCTTTCCACCAAGTGCTCGTCCAACTCGGGTACCTGGAGGCAAGGGTGGTCTCTCTTGAGCTCTCCTTGCGTTGCTGGCCTGTCTGTGTCTTCAGCGCCAAGGGCTCTTGGTTCCCTGCCTCTTGACACACTCTCACTGTGTCTTTCCCATTCACTCTTCTGGATGTAAAAGAGGACATAGGCCTGTTGACTCAGGACAGAAGTGATGCTACAGACAGTGACCTCGGCATCATCCATTTTATACCACTGGCCTTCTTGAGCTTTGACATAAGAGAAGTAATATCCGTCGTGACAACTCCACCCAGCGTGGACCAGCACAGCATAGAGGACATAGACAAGAGGTCCTGTGTTCTGCTGAGACATGTATGGCTGCATGTCAAGGCACTCAGGATATTGCACATTCTTGGCAAGTTTGTTGCCTGCGACATCGGAGAATCTCTTCAAGACAAGGATGAGGACCTTGGCAGAAGTGTGTAAAGTTAACGTGTTGGAGGCCGGCGCCCTCTGGAGACAAAGACCGCAATGATAGGCATTCTCTCCATTGAGTTCTTCGGGCTTCACCAACTGTTCCAAAGCTTGCTTGACACTCTGAGCTGCCTGGATATCCAGGGCGATGTCCAGGTAAGGGTCAAAAGTGTCTGAAATCCCGTGGCAGTGGAGACACTTGATTTGAGATCTCCAGCAGCCTCCAAATATTTGGTGGATGAGGGTGGTGTCCTTAGAGTGATGATCTACCTGCTTGTGGCCGGGAAGGCATGCCTTTTTCATGGCATCCACAGTGAACATGAGAAATTCATGGACATCTTCCTGCTTGCCTCTATGGAAGCCAGCAGCCAATGCCTGTGAGGGCTGGATGACATGGCCAGGACTGTGGAGGGCCCATGTGATGTGAGCTTGCATAGTACAGAGCATGCAGCACTTGGGACGCTGACATGTTTGAGAGTGCTCCCGGGACAGCATGTAGTTGGCAAGGGGCAGTGTGTATGTCAGGCACTGCAGGGAAGCGTTCTCGTAGCAGGTATTTCCCATATTCTGGAGCCCAGCCCCCACCGCAGCAGGTCTCCTGCTACTCAGAGGAAGCTTCTCCCTGGGAGCGAGCTGTCTTGCCACAGGAGCCAAATCATCACAGAGGTCGACACGGGTCTCAGATGAGAGTGGTGACTTCTCAGGGAGAGAAGTCCGCTGGATTTCAGCAAAAGCTGCATCTGGCCGAGAAGATGTGAGTTTTGAAAAGTGGTTGAACTGCCACTCACCTCCCAAGTAGAGTGAGTCGTCCCCCATGTCGCCCGCAACAAGGATCACAAGGTTTTTCTGCTGGGACCGCAGGTTGCAGCAAGACGCTATCTCTTCCGAGAGAGTCTTCAAATGACGAGCTCTCTGGCCGCATCATCCCTTATAGAACTCACCCCCACCAGCCGGGAACACCCCACCCACCCATCAGGTGCGCGATAAAACAATCAAATATCAGCACTCAATTAAGGAATGAGTCACAGGGTGTGTCCCCTTGCATCGCTGGGAATTCAACAGACACAGCCCACATCATGACTTCTAGAACACCTGAATCAAATTACTCCTCAGGGTGATAGGCACATATAATATGAGTGTAACCGGGTTGGGACAGTGGCCACACAGTTGCCTTATTTTAGGTAAAAGAATGTCAGGGAAGAAATCTTTATCTATGAAACCGTGTGTGTGTCTCTGTGTGTGTGTGTGTGTGTGTGTGTGTGTGTGTGCGCTTGTGCTGGGATGAACTTCCAAGTATGTACTTTTGGCAGCTATCATCATCCTCTCAGCGATGGAAGCACAAGAAGTCTGAAGTGCACTTTCTGACCTGAGAATAGTCAATGAAGTATAGTATTTAGCACAGCGTATATTTTTCCTTAATAATAAAGGAGAGATCCGTGGAATCCAACAGACCTTCCAGCGATGACCTTTCCACGTTCAGACTATTGATTCTCTATCCGAGTGAAATTACCGGCCAGTGGAGAACAAGACAGGTCTTTGCATGAAATGCTCTTGTGGAAGCTAGGCTGCCAAATACTAAAGCATCAAATGGTAGAAACATGCACTGAAGTTTGAAGAGATACTCAGCGCACAAAGTAGACTGTGAAAGACTTTGGGGAAATCATGCAATCACCGAGAGACTAATTGATGACATTCCCCAAATTTATGTGTGCCAGAAAAGAGAGATGGTCCTGACATTGTATAGTGAGTGGTTTCGGACGTGCGGCGGCAGTTTAAGAAAACATGAAACAAAAACCTTGAGAAATCCAAAGGTATCCCAACTATAAGCTTTTGTTTATTAAAGAACTGATGAAAATCAAAACAACGTATCTCACAGCATGGGTGATACTATTTCCACACGTATGTGATAATGGCTCAACATTTCATAGAGATGAAATAAAAAGTTCTAATTTTGACAAAAGCAAACAAGGAAAATTATACCGTAGAAAAGCCCGGGTGACGGGAATGAGGCCCTGTCTCAAGAAGAAAACATCGGAGACGTTTAAAAGCAGGGAGTGAAACAGAAGATAGCATAACCTTTTTACTGCTGGCCCTTGTTTCACAGGGAAAAGGCAAAAATAAGCCGTGTGTCTCCTGGATTCTCGCATCGATTGTTCATGATCTGAGATGTTCCCTCCATTTCCAGTTATGCATTGTATGGTGGAATTGCAGTTAGCACATTTGGTGCAAAAATTGTAATGCTGACGAAAGTGGACATGTTCCCTGAACTAAGAGGGACAGCATTTGGGTGTGTCTTCAGGCTCTCTGGCTTACCAGGAATGAAGATCCTGGCTCTAGGGATTTTCCCAAAATGTCTTAGACAGTAAGGAACAGGGCAGAATTGAGGCCCGGCGCCAAGGCCTCTAGTTTTAAAGAAACAGCCCTGGCTTCAGGGCCCATGAAATTCGGATGATTTTAAGGAGGATGATGGAATGAGAGGACTGTGACCTTTGGCCCCGTTTCTTTCCCTTGTCTTTTCATGGGCCAGGTGTGGTCCATCAGAAGGCTTCGTGCGCCTGATGTAAAGTGTCCTGGGGGAAGAAAGGAGCACTGCTTAGAAAGATGCTCCACAGGGAGAAAGAAGCCACCATTTTCAGGAGAATGATCCCCAGAAGCATGAGCAACGCAGATGCCGTGGCTTCACACAAGACGTCGGAGGGTCTTATTCCTGCAGCCGGGACCTGGGCATCGGTGTGCTTTCATGTTCCTAACTGATTTTGAGGGGAGCCCAATCGATAACCTGTCTGCGAGTCATGCTCATCACACTGTAGTTTTCACACACGTCACACGGAGACCCTGTTCGTATGCACATTTGGGTGCTTGAGCAGGGTTGCGCCCAAGATTCTGTGGTTCTACGGAGCCCTGAGTGGTGCCCTGGGCAGCTTTCCTCTGGGGTTGGTCAACTTTGATCACTGCACCTAACGAGAAAGGGACCATGAAATCTAATCAGCAAATACAGACAAGGAAGGGGCCATTTCCCACAATCATTTCCACGGAAACACCACGTCGGATACGTAAGTCTGATTGAAGGACAGGGACTGTGCTTCAGAGGTGTAGCTTTCGCAGCTGGACGAATGACCCGGAATCTCCCCAAATGCCATTTGTAAGCACACCAAATGAGATTTTTTTTCAGGGCTTTCTGAATTTATTTCAGTTGAATACACACACTCCTGTGTTTGATTTCCTTTATTATCAATAGGACTTAGTTCCAAATGACTGACATGCCAGTGGGAAAATTTTCCGTTTCGACTCATTGGAAGTGGACCCCGTGAAACAGGCAAGTCGGTCTGTCTGTTTCCGGCGTTATGTGGGTTCCAGCAAGAGCACAAGTCCCAGGGCGCCTGAGGTCCCTTCAGAAACCAATGTAAAAACGGCGAGCCAGGGTAAGAAAGAAGAGCACCGTTCCTATCTTCTAAATGCATTCCAGTTTCCACTATTCAAGGTGGCGAGAATGATCCACGGATGTGCCACATGAGCAAAATTTCACCTTCCCGTGCCGCCCAACAACTGACGAATGAAACACACCCCAAGAGAAAATAGGAAACCGAGTCCCCTGCAATAACCTCACACGCAAACCTACACGTCAGTAGGTCATATTCAGAAATACACAGTGAATGTCATCTACCATGAACACAAACACACAGACAGTCCCTCCAGAGGTTCGGAAGACTCACGACCCCAAAACTTGATGTTTCCCATGTGTGGGCTCATCCTGAGATACAGCCATCACTATCCAGTTGTCCCTGTTGTAGAGACAGAAACTTGGACTCCTCATTACTTTATGTAGGATTGACGGTGTTCGGGTTTGTTTGGGGGTGTGTGTGTGTGTGTTTGCGTGCGTGCTTGTGGGTGTATTTGTGTGTGTGTGTGTGTGCGTGCACCCCTACGTGTGGGTCGGCACTTCCACTGAGATCACTGGCACACAAGCAGAGCCCTCTTGCTGTGTTTGTTCTTCCCTTTGGCTCTCCTGGTCCTCCCTTGCAGAGAAGCGAGTGTGCCAGTGTTCATGGACTCCTGATCTGTCCGGGTCGTCGAAGAGAGGTTTAGCAGGGAGCTTTGCTGTTCAGGATGATGGTTTTTCATCCCACACTTGTATTTTGATTGATGAATCACAAGTGCGTTGGGAGGCAGGGTACCTTCGACTTTTCCGACGTTGAACTCAGGCTTCGTTTTGTTTTGCTCTTGCAGGAATTTCCAGTGGTCTAAGGTGCTTTCCTGAGTGGCTCTTTCCACCAAGTGCTCGTCCAACTCGGGTGCCTGGAGGCAGGGGTGGTCTCTCTTGAGCTCTCCTTGCTTTGCTCGCCTGTCTGTGTCTTCAGCGCCGAGGGCTCTTGGTTCCCTGCCTCTTGACACACTCTCACTGTGTCTTTCCCATTCACTCTTCTGGATGTAAAAGAGGACATAGGCCTGTTGACTCAGGACAGAAATGATGCTACAGACAGTGACCTCGGCATCATCCATTTTATACCACTGGACTTCTTGAGCTTTGACATAGGAGAAGTAATGTCCGTCGTGACAACTCCACCCAGCGTGGACCAGCACAGCATAGAGGACATAGACAAGAGGTCCTGTGTTCTGCTGAGACATGTATGGCTGCATGTCAAGGCACTCAGGATATTGCACATTCTTGGCAAGTTTGTTGCCTGCGACATCGGAGAATCTCTTCAAGACAAGGATGAGGACCTTGGCAGAAGTGTGTAAAGTTAACGTGTTGGAGGCCGGCGCCCTCTGGAGACAAAGACCGCAATGATAGGCATTCTCTCCATTGAGTTCTTCGGGCTTCACCAACTGTTCCAAAGCTTGCTTGACACTCTGAGCTGCCTGGATATCCAGGGCGATGTCCAGGTAAGGGTCAAAAGTGTCTGAAATCCCGTGGCAGTGGAGACACTTGATTTGAGATCTCCAGCAGCCTCCAAATATTTGGTGGATGAGGGTGGTGTCCTTGCAGTGATGATCTACCTGCTTGTGGCCGGGAAGGCATGCCTTTTTCATGGCATCCACAGTGAACATGAGAAATTCATGGACATCTTCCTGCTTGCCTCTATGGAAGCCAGCAGCCAATGCCTGTGAGGGCTGGATGACATGGCCAGGACTGTGGAGGGCCCATGTGATGTGAGCTTGCATAGTACAGAGCATGCAGCACTTGGGACGCTGACATGTTTGAGAGTGCTCCCGGGACAGCATGTAGTTGGCAAGGGGCAGTGTGTATGTCAGGCACTGCAGGGAAGCGTTCTCGTAGCAGGTATTTCCCATATTCTGGAGCCCAGCCCCCACCGCAGCAGGTCTCCTGCTACTCAGAGGAAGCTTCTCCCTGGGAGCGAGCTGTCTTGCCACAGGAGCCAAATCATCACAGAGGTCGACACGGGTCTCAGATGAGAGTGGTGACTTCTCAGGGAGAGAAGTCCGCTGGATTTCAGCAAAAGCTGCATCTGGCCGAGAAGATGTGAGTTTTGAAAAGTGGTTGAACTGCCACTCACCTCCCAAGTAGAGTGAGTCGTCCCCCATGTCGCCCGCAACAAGGATCACAAGGTTTTTCTGCTGGGACCGCAGGTTGCAGCAAGACGCTATCTCTTCCGAGAGAGTCTTCAAATGACGAGCTCTCTGGCCGCATCATCCCTTATAGAACTCACCCCCACCAACCGCGAACACCCCACCCACCCATCAGGTGCGCGATAAAACAATCAAATATCAGCACTCAATTAAGGAATGAGTCACAGGGTGTGTCCCCTTGCATCGCTGGGAATTCAACAGACACAGCCCACATCATGACTTCTAGAACACCTGAATCAAATTACTCCTCAGGGTGATAGGCACATATAATATGAGTGTAACCGGGTTTGGGCAGTGGCCGCACAGTTGCCTTATTTTAGGTAAAAGAATGTCAGGGAAGAAATCTTTACCTATGAAACCCTGTGTGTGTCTGTGTGTGTGTGTGTGTGTGTGTGTGTGTGTGTGTGTTTATGTGTGTGTGTGCTCGTGCTGGGATGAACTTCCAAGTATGTACTTTTGGCAGCTATCATCATCCTCTCAGCGACAGAAGGACAAGAAATCGGAAGTGTGCTTTCTGACCTGAGATTAGTCAATGAAGTATGGTATTTAGCACAGCGTATTTTTTTCTTTAATAAGAAAGGAGAGATCCGTGGAATGAAACAGAGCTTCCAGCGATAACCTTTCTACGTTCAGCCTATTGATTCTCTGTGCGAATGAAATTACCTTCCAGTGGAGAACAAGAGAACTCTTTGCCTGACATGCTCTTGTGGAAGCTAGGTTGCCAAATAATAAAGCATCAAATGGTAGAAATATGCACTGAAGTTTGAAGAGATACTCATTGCACAAAGTAGACTGTGAAAGACTTTGGGGAAATCATGCAATCACCGAGAGACTAATTGATGACATTCCCCAAATTTATGTGTGCCAGAAAAGAGAGATGGTCCTGACATTGTATAGTGAGTGGTTTCGGACGTGCGGCGGCAGTTTAAGAAAACATGAAACAAAAACCTTGAGAAATCAGAAGGTATCCCAACTATAAGCTTTTGTTTATTAAAGAATTGACCAAAATAAAAACAACTTATCTCACAGCATTGGTGATACTATTTCCATACGTATGTGATAATGGATCAACATTTCATAGATATGAAATAAAATGTTCTAATTTTGACAAAAGCAAACAAGGAAAATTATACCTTAGAAAAGCCCAGGTGACAGTAGTGAGGCCCTTTCTCAAGAAGAATACATCGGAGACGTTTAAAAGCAGGCAGTGAAATAGAAGACAGCATAAAGTTTTTAATACTTGCCCTTGTTTCACAGGGAAAAGGCAAAAATAAGCCGTGTATCTCCTGGATTCTCTCATCGATTGTTCATGATCTGAGATGTTCCCTCCATTTCCAGTTATGCATTGTATGGTGGAATTGCAGTTAGCACATTTGGTGCAAAAATTGTAATGCTGACGAAAGTAGACCTGTTCCCTGAACTAAGAGGGACAGAATTTGGGTGTGTCTTTCGGCTCTCTGGCTTACCAGGAATGAAGGTCCTGGCTCTAGTGATTTTCCCAAAATGTCTTAGACAGTAAGGAACAGGGCAGAATTGAGGCCCGGCGCCAAGGCCTCTAGGTGTAAAGAAACAGCCCTGTCTTCAGGGCTCATGAAATTAGGATGATTTTAAGGATGATGATGTAATGAGAGGACTGTGACCTTTGGCCCTTTTTCTTTCCCTTGTCTTTTCATGGGCCAGGTGTGCTCCATCAGAAGGCTTCCTGCACCTCATGTAAAGTGTCCTGGGGGAAGAAAGGGCACTGCTTAGAAAGATGCTCCACAGGGAGAAAGGAGCCACCATTTTCTGGAGAATGATCCCCAGAATCATGAGCAAGCCAGATGCGGTGGCTTCACACAGGTTGTTGGATGGTCTTATCTCTTTAAGCGGGACCTAGGAATTGGTTTTCTTTAATGCTCACAACTGATTTGAGGTGAGCCGAATTGATATTCTGTCTTCGTGTCATGCTCATTGCACTTTAGTTTCCACACATGTCACACAGAAACACGCTGAATAAGCACATTTTTGTTCTTGAGCAATATTTCACCCAAGATTCTGTGGTTCTACCGTGCCCTGAGTTCTGTCCTGGATATCTCTACTCTTGGGTAGGTCAACTTTGATCTCTGTACCTAATGAGAAATGGACTATGAAATCTAATCAGCAAATATACAAAAATAAGGGGCCATTCTCCACAATTGTTTCTCTCCGGTAGGTCGTGTTTGGTAACTGTATCTAACAAGAAATGAATATTTGACGATTCCTAATCAAAAAATTTCTTGTTTTTTTGCCATTTTAGTTAATTCTTTTAACGTTTAAATAGAGTTTAAAACCCGAAATTTGGCATGAAATCTAATCGTCAAATACACAAAAGGAAGGGGCCATTCTTCAAAATCTTTTCCTCTGAAAGACCACCTCTGATAAACAAGTCTCGTTTCATTACAGGGATCCTGCTTCCAAGATGCAACTTTCACAGCTTCATGATTGACCCAGAATCTCCTCCAATGCCATTTTTTTACCCGCAAAATGAGATTTATTTCAGGGCTTCCGGATTTTATTTTAGCTGAATACATCCACTCTCCTGTTTCAATTTCTTTCAAACGCCTTTAAATAATTATCTTGCTGCATCAGCCCTTATTTAACTACTGTCCACCCACCGAGACCATTACATTTATCCATCAATTACCCTATTTACTAATGAAATATCAGGATTCAATTAAGTTTTTTGTCTTAGGTTGTATCCTCTTGCATTCCTCAGAGAATTTAATGGACACTGCTTACATTGTGACTATGGAAGGGTTGAAGCAGATTTACTTGTCAGTATTATGAGCAAATATGTTAGGAGTGGAACCGGGTTAGGATAGTAGCTAAACATTTGCCTTATTTCATGTATAACAATGCTATTTAACAATTGTGTACATATTAAACAGTTTGTGTGTATGAGTGTATTTGTGTGTTTGTTTCTGGATGTGTGTGTATGCCTTGAGAAGTACTTCCAAGCATGTGCATCTGTGAGATAAGATCATTCTTTCAGTGACTAAATGCCAAGAAGTTATAACTACATTTTCTGACTTGAGAATTTGCAACAATGTGAGGTAATTAACACAGCATATTTTTTGTCTTAATTAAGATGAAGTGATCAATGGAGTCAAATAGACATTCCAGAGATAACCTTCCCATTTTTGGCCAGTTGATTCCATGTCATGTTGTAATGATCTGGCATTGGGGAGAAGACAAGTCTTTGCGTGAAGTGTTCTTGTGGAAGCAAGATATGCAAATAATAAGGCATCAAATAGGACTATTCCCTTCAATAGTGAATGTCGAAACCTTCACTTAAGTTTGATGAAATTCTCAATGCCCAAAATACATTGTGAAACACTTTCAAGAAAACATGCTATAAACCAGAGACTAATTGATGACATACACCGAAGTTATGACTGCAAGAAAAGAGAAATATTCATGGCATTTTTAATCCAAGGGTTTCTTGTATATGACAGCATTTTTAAAAAAGTCAAAATCAGAAAAGATTCACAAATTGGAAGATATCTAAGCTAAATCTTTTGTTTCTTAAAGGAATGATGAAAATAATTGCAATGTAACACACGGCCTGTGTGATAATGTTTTAATACATATCTAAAAATGCCTTAAAATTCAATAGAAATAAAATAACAACTTCTAAAACTTGACAAAAGGAAACAACAAAAATTACAAACTGGAAAATCCTGGCTGACTGGAGTGACATCCTGTCTCAAGAAGGAACAGACAAACACACAAACAAGCAAAGGATTCTAAAAGCAGGGAATCAAACAGATACTTGTACACTATTCTTCCTATTAGCAATCTTCATAGTAGGAAAAGGCAAAAACAACCCAAATGTGTGGCGAATTACTTCATCAGTTTTTTAGGATCTGAAATACTGCCTCAATTTTCAGTTACTCATTGTGGGGAGAACCTGCAGTTACCACATTTGTTCCAAAATTTTATGGTGATGAAGGTAAACCTGTCCGGCATTCTCAGAGGGACAGAATTCTGGTGTTTCTCCAGGTTCCTTGGCTTATCAGGAATGAAGATCCAAGCTGTATAGACGTTTTTCAAAAGTATGTACATACGTATGTATGTATGCATGTATGTATGTATGTATGTATTTCCTCTTTTTAAATTTAAAAAATACAGGATACATGTGCAGAACGAGCAGATTTGTTATAAAGGTATCCTTTGCTATGGTGGTTCGTTGCACCTATTGACTTATCCTGTAAGTTTCCTTCCCTCACCCCCAGCCCCCAACGGGCTGTGTTGTGTGTTGTTCCTATCCAGTCTAGCACTGAAGGGCATTTGGGTTGGTTTCATGTCTTTCCTATTGTATATAGTGCTGCAGTAAACATATGTGTGCATGTGTCTTTATAGTGGAATGATTTATATTCCTTTGGGTACATAGCCAGTAATGGGATTGCTGGGTCAAATGGTATTTCTGGTTCTAGATCCTTGAGGAATAGCCATACTGTCTTCCACAATGGTTGAACTAATTTACAGTTTCACCAACAGTGTAAAAACCTTCCTCTTTCTTCTCAGCCTCACCAGCATCTATTGTTTCTTAATTTTTTAATAATCGCCATTCTGACGGGTGTGAGATGGTATCTCACTGTAATTTTGATTTTCATTTCTCTGATGATCAGTGTTGTTGAGCTTTTTAAAAATATATTTGTTGGTTGCATAAATGTCTCCTTTTGATAAGTTTCTGTTCATATCTTTTGCTCACTTTTGATGGGGTTGTTTGTTTTTTTGCTTGTAAATATGTTTAAGTTCCTTGTCAACTTTGGTTATTAGACCTTTGTCAGATGGGCAGATTGCAACAATTTTCTCCCATTCTGTAGGTTGCTTTTTCATGCTGATGATAGTTTCTTTGCTGTGCAGAAGGTCTTTAGTTTAATTAGATCCAATTTGTCAATTTTGGCTTTTGTTGCAATTGCTTTTGGCATTTTTGTCATGAAGTCTTTGCCCATGCCTATGTCCTGAATGGTATTGCTTAAGTTTTCTTCTAGGGTTTTTATGGTTTTGGATTTTACATTTAAGTCTTTAATCCATCTTGAGTTAATTTTTGTATAAGATGTAAGGAAGGGGTCCAGTTTTGGTTTTCTGCCTATGGCAAGCCAGTTTTCCCAGCAGCATTTACTGAATAGGAGATCCTTTCTCCCTTGCCTGTTTTTGTCAGGTTTGTCAAAGATCAGATGGTCGTAGATGTGTGGTGTTACTTCTGAGGGCTTTGTTCTGCTCCATTGGTCTATATGTCTGTTTTGGCAGCAGTAGCATGCTGTTTTGGTTACTGTAGCCTTCTAGTGTGGTTTGAAGTTAGGTAGCGTCATGCCTCCAGCTTTGTTGTTTTTGCTTACAATTGTCTTGGGTATACGGGGTATTCTTTGATTTCATATGAAATTTAAAATAGTTCTTTCTAATTCTGTGAAAAATGTCAATGGTAGCTTGATGGGTACAGCATTGAATCTATAAATTAGTTTGGGCAGTATGGCCATTTTCACAATATTGATTCTTCCTATTCATGAGGATGAAATGTTTTTCCATTCATTTGTGTCCTCTCTTATTTCCTTGAGCAGTGGTTTGCAGTTGTCCTTGAAGAGGTCCTTCACATCCCTTGTACTCCTAGCTGTATCCCTAGGTATTTTATTCTCTTTGTAGCAATTGTGAATGGGAGTTCATTCTTGATCTGGCTCTCTGCTTGACTATTGTTGATGTAAAGGAATGCTTGTGATTTTTGCACAATGATTTAATATCTTGAGAACTTGGTGAACTTGCTTACCAGTTCAAGAAGTTTTTGAATTGAGATGATGGGGTTTTCTAAATATAAAGTCATGTCATCTGCAAACAGAGACAACTTCACTTACTCTCTTCCTATTTGAATACCCTTTATTTCCTTCTCTTGCCTGATAGCCCTGGTGATAACTTCCAATACTATGTTGAATAGAAGAGGTTACAGAGGACATCCTTGTCTTGTACCAGTTTTCAAAGGGAATGTTTCCAGCTTTTGCCTATTCAATATGATGTGGGCTGTGGGTTTGTTATAAACAGCTCTTATTATTTTGCAATATGTTCCATCAGTACCTAGTCTATTGAGAGTTTTTAACATGAAGGGATGGTGAATTTTATCAAAGGCATTTTTGCATCTATTGAAATAATTGTCTGGTTTTTGTCTTTGGTTCTGTTTATGTGATCAATTACATTTATTCATTTGTGTATGTTGAACCAGCATTTCATCCCAAAGATGCAGCCGACTTGATTGTGGTGGATAAGCTTTTTGATGTGCTGCTGGATTCTGTTTGCTAGTATTTTATTAAGAATTTTTGCATTAATGTTCATCAGGGATATTGGCCTGGATTGAGCAGGTGTGTGTGTGTGTGTGTGTTTCTACCTTGGTTTGCCAGTAGGTTGATGTGTGAGTGTGTGTGACTTTGTGTGTGTGTGGCGGGGGGTGGGGGGGCGGTGAATGTGCGATAGAGAGCCAAACTAGAGCAGAGGAAGTTCCCTGGCCTGCCATGACATTAAATGTTCTGAATTCAAGATACCAAGAGAGGCATGAGACCCACAGTTGAAACTTCATGATGTGGCCAGGTTTCAGGGGTTTCTGGGAGCTGCCAGTGGGCATATCTCAGGCTTGCTCCCACTGACAATCCATGTCTTCTCTCTAAATGGGAGATGGCTCTGTATGGAGAACAGGTAACAGAGAGCATGATGTAAGGGTTCTACCTCATACTCACTAGGAAAGAAAACAGTTTTCATCATCTCTCACTCCATTCCCATTGTAAATCTATAGACACAGGGGACAGTTACCTGAAATATTAGCATAGCTAAAGTCCTCAGACCAAATTAGATGTCCTACCTTCTCATGTGGATCAGATCCTAAAAAAACAACTGCTTCCTGTGGTCATTATCTTTTATCCCAGGCCATTTCCAATCCAGCGGAAGACCTTCTAGAAGAGGTGATGGGTGGGAGAGTGCTGGCATACTACGTGAAGCTACTATTTGGAGTTGGACACGAGTGCATGTGACCTTGTGCCACAGCGGGAATGTGAGCTGGATGACAAATGGAGATTTGGACTTGTGATAATTGGCCTCTGTGTCATTGTGTGGAAGACTGACTGGTCCCTTTATTTCCTGTAGCTTGACTACCACACAAATGAATCCACTCAAATGTTGGCAAGTGGAGCAGAGTCCCAGGACAGGTAAGGCACTTTGCCTGCTTTTTCTTAAGATCAATCCCCATGCCTAAAAATTAAAGTCACATCCCACACGATCATTAAAGTAGAGAGTGCATTCTGCAGGATGAGTGAAAAGGCATTTATGATTCTTGGGGGCAGATGTTCTACAGTAGCCTGTGCTAGTTCATGTCTTTCTGCAGATCACATTCTTAACCTCTAGAGAGCCTGGCAGGACCAGAGCCTTACCTTTCCCAGTCTGCAATCTCTACAGGTACAGAAACACCCCCAGTTCAAGGATCTTCACACCTGGATTTAGGCCTACTCCTGCAACTACCCCAGGTAAGTTTCCTTGTTCTTCAATGGCAAAGTTTGGACAATGCTGTTCAAACTCCAGGCAACAAGCAACATCTAGGAAATGTGCTTTTAGGTAGGGTCAGCATAATATCCCACCCTGGGAGACAGTTTTATTTTATAGTTGTAGAGGGTGATGCTGCTGGTGGCTCCCTCCCAATCAGCACCATTTGCAGCCTCTTTTGAAGATAGAGAACTGAGGGCTGTCCTTCGAATGGAGCAGTGTGATTCCAAAAAAAGAGATGCTCCTTGTGGTCCTGGGACCAGGGATAGGACTCCAGTTGAGCCTGGTGGAATAGGTCCTCGTCCTAACCCAATGGAGAGCCATGCAGCTGAGCTTGGGCGATGTGGTCCACGTGGTTGTTTCTGACTGTGTCCTGTGGTTGCTGGATGGCTTGCAGTTCCCTATGCAGATCCAATGCATCTTTTGCTTTTTTGCTTCTAGAACCTGGAATTTATATGTTCAACATGGAGCCATCCCAGCCATGACAACAGAGAATGTACCACTCTCACGTGAGTAAGAGGGGTAGGCAGTGCTCCTGTATCACCAGCCCTTAATGAGACCCTGAGGAAACCACATCATGGAGATCAGCCCTTCTCTCCTGTAAGGAACTCATCCTATGAAAGAGCAATTAGTGCCTGCAAGAGCTGTCTCTGGGACAGCGGTTCATGTCTATATCTGCAGGGTAACACTCATAGTCATATGCAGTCATATCCATAGTCATATCGGGAGTCAGACTCCAGTTTGACTGAGTGAATGGAGAAACTAAACATTTATTACTGAATAATAACATTAATAAACCATCTTAATGATAATAATAATAAACATATTGATGAGTATTAACAGGAATGATGATGATTATTATGATACTAATATCCATAATTAATAATTTTAATATTGATAATAGTACTAACCCTGTGGACTTGGGACCTAAAGAGCAGTTTCCCCTTACAATTATCCCATATTTGGCCACAGGGGGTAATATCGAGTTCCAGAAGGCAAGGATTAACATTCAGAAAAATAGGAAAAACAACCTGCAGGTAAGCATGTGCACACATGGGGACTCTATGGATAAATACTAAAGTGACTCTTGTTCTGGATCTCCATGTTAACAAACATGCACCAGCTTTCAGGAGGTAGGACAGCTGGCTGATGGGGCAAGGCTTCTTGAGGACATGGCAGGAGTCAGAAATCACACATGCTGCCCAGCAGCAGAGCTCATGACAAGCAGTAAACCCCAGCGAAAGGACCTGGCTGCCCTTTCTGCCATCTGCTCTCCCATGACCTCTCTTGACTGGTACATCTAGGCACTGGAGTAACCTTCACTGGCTATAGGAGGGCATAATCCTCAGTATTCTCCCACCTGCAAGAAAGACAAAAATTAATTGAATACCATGGCTTCTGGGTATTCTTAGTGGGCTTGACATATTTTGCCTTTGCTTTAACAGGCCAGTTATCCAGGCAGTGACTTTCAGTGCAGCTACAGTCACCTCTGGAAACCTGCGGAGACTTTAAAAATTTCCAGAAGGTCAGGAATTTTTGGAGACCTTTCTCATGGCTACATTGCCTGCAAAGGTGAATCAATAAGCTTCTGAACTGACTTAGAAAATGTTGCAGAGACTCTTGTGAACAGATAGACCCTCTCCTGCCACTCAGATAGACGTATCAGGGTCACACACACCTGATTTAACAACATGTCATTATCTCAGGTGGGCAACAGACAGCAATTTAGGACCTATCCCAGTGTGGATGAAAGACATTGAGTTGGCTTAGAAAAATGTTACATAGACTAGATGGGGCAAGAAAGCCCATTCTGGGTCTCAAAAGCCTGCACATAGAGTTGCTGACACATAAAGGGTATGTATAAATTCTTTCTTAGCCCATGAGATCAGGATGTACTTCATCAGTATACCATGCTGGTATAAAGAGATTCTTGCCTCCAAAGGGACTCAGAATATTTCAGGGAACCTGTATTAGTCCATTTTTACACTGTTGTAAAGACACTACCCCACACTGGGTAATTTACAAAGGGAAGGTGTTTAATTAATTCACAGTTCTGCATCGCTGGGGAGGCCTCAGGAAACTTACAGTCATGGTGGAAGGCAAGACAGAAGCAGGCACCTTTTTTCACAAGGTGGCAGGAGAGAGAAGTGAGTGCACAGAAAAAAAAAACCTCCTACTTTTAAAACCATCAGATCTCCTAAGAATTCACTCACTATCATGAGTATAGCATGAAGTAAACTTCTTTGACACATGGCGATTACAAGTCCCTCTGTCGATGTGTGGGGATAATAATTTGAGATGAGGTTTGGGTGGGGACACAGAGCCAAACCATATTATTCTGCTCCTGGCACCTCCCAAATCTCATGTATTTTATATATATTTCAAAACCAATCATGCTTTCCCAACAGTCCCCCAAAGTCTTAACTGTTTCCAGCATAACTCAAAACTCCAAGTCCAAAGTCTTATTTGAGACAAGTCCCTTCTGCCTATCAGCCTATAAAATTAAAAAAAAAAAGTTAGTTACATCCACAGTGGGGACCTCATGACCCTGACCAGGGCCCTATCCTACTGTGGCTCAACTGATATCCAAGATGCAAGACAAAGTCCTTTTTACTCTTTCCTCTAATCTCCTCTAGCAGAAGGAAGCGGTCTTTTTTGGAGCTGCAAGCTGTGCTGCCTGGGGTTGGGGGAGTGGTAATGCAAGTACTCCTTTAGCTCTCCTGGCTGGTGTCTCAGTAGGTTTTATGGCCACTCACCTCAGTACACTGGCTCTGAGTACAGTACTATTGTGTCTGCAGTAGTGTATGAGATGGAAAATAAGTCCCCATTCTCCAAGACTCTTCTTGAGCATCAAGGCTGCCTGATTGTTGAGATATAGCTACAGACTTTCCTCGCTGAGCCTAGCATGCACATGTTCCTCTGCTGGAAATAAAAACAAAAACAAACAAACCACCAAACAACTTCCCACAAGTGGAATGTTCTGGGACTCAAGGCCATCTAGATTATTTTGTCCCCAGGGTGCTCCCTTGATGTGGTGTGCTTCCTCTTTCCTCAGAGTAGGAGGCCATGAAATTCAGATTACTGCATATGCTGCTGCTGCTTCTCTGGGTCTAGCTACCCAGTGGGGATGCCGCACACCAGGCTGGTGCTCAAGAATGTCTGCAATGGATCCAGTGATATAATTTGTCCTCACGTCTCACAGCAGTGTGTATCAGCAGCTGATCAGATGGGGATGGCAGGGGAGTGTTGTAGACTCTGAAAGATTCCTTGGTTATAAATAGTCCTAGTGTGTTGTGTATTGGATTTCTCAAATGCCAGTTGTAGTAGTAATGAACTCATCACATGGACAGACTCAGGGCCTCCTGCTTAGCCAGAATGATGCAAGCAATGGTAAAAGTTGTGGTCACTCACAACTTTTCTCCTTCCTGGGTGCTATGTTATTCTACCTGCAGATGCTGTAAAGGACTGTCAGTAGGCCTTCAGCCAGGAGGTGGTGCTTCCAAAAGACTGCCAGCTGTGGTGGTAGTGGTGAGATTTGGACTTGCCTTATGTTACCCATTGGAGGCACTCTGGTGTCTCAGGAAATAAGTGGAGCCAAAGAGCTTCTAAAAGTTTCTTCAGTTATTTGTGTTAATCTACCAGGGTAGGTGGTTGAGCAAAGCCAGGTGGGAACTAGGTCAGGTAAGGTGATGCTCTGGCTGTCTATGTGTGGGACAAGCAGTGGCTCCAGTGGGAATTGGAAGGCTGTTCTTGGGCCACTGGAGTAATTTTCCAGAGAGAAGTGAAACTGTCACTGCCTCTGTACAAGGAGAGTCTATGTGAAGAATGGGGAGTAGCAGCTTGGTAGTAAGCCCCATCCAGCTCCCACACACTTGGCAAGGCAGGTCTCACACCCACAGTGTTCCAATGGGAGTAGCTAGCTAAGCTTCAAGAAGTCTGGGCTCAGAACTCAAAACTGACCCATACCATAAGTCTCCCCTATGGAGACAGCAACTGCAACCTTCAGGCCACACCCTTCCTGATCCACCTGCAGAGCAGGGGCCCCCAGCTCCTGTGCTTGCTGCTGCAGCACACTTCCCACTCACCTCTCAGTTCTGGCCTGGGGAGTTTGTCCCCAGTCAAGATTATATCACACATTTCATTTGGGAGGTTGTCTCAACCTGTGACAACCATCTGAGTTACCTGGCAGACTTCTAGGAGGTCCTGTCTGAGGTAGAATCAGCAATGGCTTCCCTCCATTCTACCAGAAACTGGGAATGTGCTGGAGATTCAAAGCACATCCCAATGCCACTCCTCATATACTCACCACTCTTCCCTAAATCAGCTCCAGCGCTGAGGAGGGTTAAGGCCTTCCCTCACGGCCTGGATTGATAGGTTTCCCAGTGGAAGCGTATATCTTAGAGTCAGTTACCCTCCTGTCACACCCTGGAAACTTACAATTTTCTGCCTAGCTTATGGTGTAAGCTGCATCCTGCTGTTTCTTTCAAATGGTCTGTGGCTTATTTCAATTTTCCTGTTAAATTCCTGTGTTGCTTCTTGAAAGAAAGTTCACAGTGTGAGTCTCTACACACCAATTTCTCTTTCCAAGTGCAAGAGGCAGACTAACAATGCCTTCAATCCACCATCTTGGAAAACAAAAGTAACAGTTTTCTCATTTTTAAAAGTTTTGTTAAGATATGTTAATGATTCACAAAGAAATAGTACTTGGGTGTATTTGAAATTAGTATTTATTCATTTATGTTGATAAGTGAAAATGCAAGACGGTTATCAAGATGGAAGTACTTAATATGTATATTTTAATATTCTTAGATGCAAATAACTTCACTTTTGATGTATTTTTATTTTGTTTCAGTTTCATTTCAAGTTAGGTTTAAGGGGTTCTTGATAATCTGACATGATAAGTGGTGTTGGAATTGGCATTAAAATCCACCATGCTCTACAGCACTTCATCCTTCTTCGGCAGGCACCAATTTGATCTTCTACTATGTTGCAGACATCTGTTCTGCAAACACCAAACAAATTGAGACAATGACCTTCCGCAGGACCCAAACCACCTCTTACTGAAGGAAAGAAGATCCAGTGAGATAGTTAGTCCACAAATGGAATGTAAATCCATAAACACTCTTAAGTAACAGAATAAATTTAGTATGAACGTTTTTATGTGGGAGCTCTTGACATGGTTGCTGCTCATATGTCAGAGACACATGCAGTTTAAGAAAGGTAGCAGTTCCAATCCTGGTTTGGCCCAACAGTCACTGCATTTTTGGTGGGGAAAAGGGATGTGGGAGGAGATGGTACCTCTTCATCTTTTTCTCTGGGTTTTCTGTCAGAAAGGGATGTTGCTTACTCCAGTGGCAAAAAATGCCAGTGTCTTCTGCCAGAGTGGGTTACTGAGGGCCCTGGTGCTTCCACCTTGTGGCTGATACAGATAGTCCCTTTCTGCTTTTGTTTCTAGCCAAAAAAGATGTTTCTGGCATCTCAGGTATGCTGATTTCAGCAGCTGTTTTTTCTATATGGCTATTTTTTTTTTCTTTCACTCTCTCTCTCTCTCTCTCTTTTTTTTTTTTTTTGTTGGCTTCACTGTGTTGCCATAGTTTCTTAAATGGTCCCTTGAACCCTCCCAGTGCTATTTTGGTTTGTACATAACTATCTATATATTTTTTTTCTTTGGGGGAGTGTGTAGAGCTAAAGGCTGGTATATGCTGCTCCTGCTCCCCGAAAGTGACATTATTCCCCTAAGCTAATATTTCAGGCTTTCAATTTATTCGTGGTTTCACCTGTTTAAACATAAGTAGAAATTACTTTTTCTCTCCATATTTAGATTTGATCTATCTACTTTAATTGCTAATAGTGTCTTAGTCATAGAATAGATTAGTTAGAAAAAAGTGTTTTTGACATTATAAATGATTCTTTCAATTTGTGTCTAAAAGTGGAAAATACTAGAAAGCTTAACATTTATTATTGTATTCAGACCAGTATTTCCTCCAGATGACCTTTATTACAACAAAGATAATTTAATGAAGATCTCTCTAATGGTAAAGCTGATGGCTTTGTGCTATTACAATATCCTTCGAATAAAGTGACAGTCTGGTGGAAAGAACAACTAAAGCAAGGATTAGGAAGAAAATAGTTAATACCTTCATTTTGGTCTCACTCTGCATTAAGAGTTGTCATCGTGTTAAGGGTTTATTATACATTAAGTAATTTAATGTTTATTTAATAATAAATGGATCCTATTAAATATGATTTTTAAAATTATAATCACATTACTTTTATTCACATCTGTCTACTGATGCCATTCCTAGATAAGAATGGTATCACATTATTTTATTTTTTTTTCATTTTGCCACATCTTTACTTACTTAGGTTTATGCTGTATCAAACAATGTATGTGTGCGAGTAATGGATGATTCAGGAATGCATGAGGAGGAGGTTTAAGCTCCTTAACCTTGAACAATTAAAATTAGCAACATAATATTGAAATACATACAGAACGCTCAAGTGGTACTTTCAAAATAGTGTATATTTCCTCTGTTTATTTGTAGCTTTTAAACCCAGCTAGAAGCATTCTATTTCCTTTAGGCACCATAAGTCTGAAAGTCTGTAGTGAAAACTACAAGTACTAAATGATGCTAATTCATGTGCTCCCACCTGTGGAAGAACTGAATGTCTTAGATAAAAAAAGATGGTGCAATTGGTGTACAAAGTATCTAGAATACAATTTGGTGGTGGTTTTTTCTGTTTCCATAGCAGAGTAACATATATAATATTGCCCTTTCATCAAGTTATTTAAATATGCCTTTGAACGGGGAGAATTGAAAATAATACTGTGAATCCTGGTAAACATTTTAAAATAATGAGAAGAATATTGCGTTTTCAAAGTCAAAATTTGTCTGATTACAACCCATATAGCAATTTCATAGCAAGCACTTCCTTCAATCCTATTAAAATCAGAAGGAAAAGAAGAATATCCACTGTCAATGTTGTATTGATATAGTTCTAAAAGTTTTGGACAATGAAATATGTTGTAAGAAGAGAAGTCAGGGGAGACTTGAGCCCATTGTTTCCTCTCACCTTCTATACCTCCCAAAATACCACTGGAATGTTGTAACATTTTGAAGAATCTATAGCAGTGTCCCAAATCATAGAATAGTATGAATACATCTGAATCTTTAATATCTCCAAAATATATAAAATAGGTGTGATTAGAATGAAAGAAAGATTTAGGCTTTTGGCCATGACTGCAAGTTAGCTGCTCTCAAATGACTGCTGCTATCGAACAAATACATTTTAGACGATCTCTTTGAAACATTTCTATTCTTGAAAATGGTTAGGCAAGTTCTTAAAATATCTCCTCTTTCAAACACAAAAACAGTCTGTGAACTGGAGCTTGAGCACTAGGCACTTTGTATTGGCTAGCTGATGGAGGTGGGTGAGGGTTTCCCATATCTTCTGGGAAGATCTGCTATTATCAACAATGCTAATGGTGGTACTACTGACTCTTGGGCCATCAGAAATTCCAGTTCGTTAATCCTGGAACTTCTATATTGAGATAAAGGATTGAGTCAGTTTCACAGAGGAAGTTTGAATAATAGCATTCTTATTTCAGACTGTAGAATGATGGCAGATTAAGGATGAGCAATGAGTTCATCATTAAAAATGATCAGGTAAGAAAGAAACCATGAATAAAAGTTAATGAAATGAATAGCACATTTAAATCCTTGAAAACTAAATGTATTGAAATTGTCAATGTGGAGAAATAATTAAGCAGCTGTGTATCGATTGTTTAAAGAAAAAATCTACTATTACAAAGATGTAAAAACAATAGTAAAGCTATATAGATGATAGAAAAAATGGGCAGGTCTGGCTGGGCATGGTGGCTCATGCCTGTAATTGCAGCACTTTGGGAGGCCGAGGCGGGTGGATCACGAGGTCAGGAGTTCAAGAACAGCATGCCCAAGATGGTGAAAACTTGTCTCTACTAAAAAAAAATGTATATATATATATATATATTAGCTGAAGATGGTGGTGGACACTTGTAGTCCCAGCTACTCAGGAGGCTGAGGCAGGAGAATCACTTGAACCCAGGAGGTGGAGGTTGTAGTGAGCCAAGATTGCAACACTGCATTCCAGCCTCGGCAACAGAGTGAGACTCTGTCTCCAAAAAAACAAAACAAAACAAAACCAAAATGCAGTTCTAAATTAAAAAATTTTAAAAATTAATGCAAGTTATTAATGATATATTAGATATAGGTAACAGGATAATTAGTAAAGAAAAAAATGCTTAAATGATATACCCAGAATGTAGCATGGAAACACAAGGTCTAACATTTATTTAATTCAAATATGCGGGAAGAGAAGTGTAAGAGGATTCACCATTTCAAGAGATTCTCAAAAAGAAATTAAGAAAAAGTATAAATCCATTGATTCAAAGAATATATTTCTAACAGATGATATAAAAATAAATTCACATTAGTTAAATTATAAAATATTAAAACCAAACACCAGACCATACAAACATTGAAAAAAGGACAATTTATAATGAAATAATATTTATCTGAATATCATAGTGAAGCACAAACTAAAAATGAATAAACTAGTATCAACAAACGTTGAGAGAACATAACTGTTAATATAGAATTGGGTACTCAGTAATGTTGTCTTTCAAGAACAAAAATAACAATACAAAATTGACAGATAAAAACTAAAATTGTTCACTACCAAGAGATCTGCAGCAAATAAAATTTCAAAGGCTATATATCAGGAAGAAAGAATTTAACCCAAAAGCTGATCTCAGAGTCAACTTGGAATTCCATAAATATCACTAAACTGATGATAATAGTAATACTTTCTGACATGGGGGGATTCTGGAAAGAAGTGAACTTTTACTTTTGTTTAGAATTTAGAAAGTTATAGAAAAATGCTCTTGCCCTGACAAAAGAATAAGCTGGATAATCTATAGATCATAGATTTCATTTTAAAAGACAGAGCTGAAGTCTTTAAAAAAAGCTAATTAACTTAAATTCAGAGTAATGAAGCCCTACTGAAAAAAGAACGGATCCACACATGCTTTGTGTGTACCTGAGTTGCAGCAGCAGAAGCAGGAGGAAGCTGCCCTTGATGGAGATAAGAAGGAAACAAGTGAACCTCAAGCAAATGTTGAAAGGCTGAGTGTGGGCTTGTGATAGTTTAGCATCAGTAGGGGCCCAAACACACTCACTCTCATTCACTCACTAATGATTTAATGCTTTTCTTTTCTTTCTTTCTCTTTCTTTCTTTATTCTTCTTCTTCTTTTTTTTTTTTTTTTTGACGGAGTCTCACTCTGTCGCCCAGGCTAGAGTGCAATGGCACGATCTCGGCTCACCGCAACCTCCGCCTCCAGGGTTCAAGTGATTGTCCTGCCTCAGCCTCCCGAGTAGCTGGGACTAAAGGCATGTACCACCGCACCCGGCTAATTTTTTGTATTTAGTAGAGAAAGGGTTTCACCGTGTTAGCCACTGACCTCGTGATCTGCCGGCCTCGGCCTCCCAAAGTGCTGGGATTACAGGCGTGAGCCACCGCGTGTGGCCCCACTAATGGTTTTTTCATGACCTATCTTGTGTGCTCCTAGGTAAGATCAGATGGAGAGCAGGAGAACTACCTGAGACACTTTTGAGGGACAGGCATGTAGGAACTGGTGCAATTTGAGGTCAGAGCAAGGTAAAGGTCTCACTGTGAGAATCGAGGAAAACCCTGTGTTACTGGGGAGTGGGTTGGGGAGCTGAGAGAATCCCCCCTTCACTCTCTGTTCTCACAGGTGCATAAGAAGAGAGGCATGATGAGGTCTGAAGGCAGGGCAGGGCCGGTAGCTGAGAGAAGTAGTTTCTCTGGTCTTTCACTGAGTGTGTGGCAGCTACTGCCC
The DNA here is from genome assembly GCF_000001405.40 of Homo sapiens. Lineage (NCBI taxonomy): Eukaryota > Metazoa > Chordata > Mammalia > Primates > Hominidae > Homo > Homo sapiens. The sequence continues at coordinate 7,314,903 of NC_000008.11, read as the reverse complement.
GAGGTTGGGCAAGGGATGGGAGCCCTGAGAGATTCTTGAGGTGCAGAGATAGAGGCTTGCTG